>NC_000005.10:80412837-80715867 GCF_000001405.40 Homo sapiens
GGGATACCTGTACATAAACAGTCAAATAGTACTTCAAGGATTATAATGAAAAACTGTCTGGGTGTGGTGGCTCACGCCTGTAATCCCAGCACTTTGGGAGGCTGAGGCAAGAGGATCACATCAGCCCAGGAGTTTGAGACCATTCTGGGCAACATAGTGAGACCTTGTCTCCACAAAAAATAAACAAAATTAGCTGGGTTGTGGGGCACACACCTGTTGTTCCATTTACTTGGAAGGCTGAGGTGGGAGGATCGCTTGAGCCCAGCACGTGGAGGCTATAGTGAGCTAATATCGTGCCACTGCAGTCCAACTTGCGCAACAGAGTGAGACCCTGTCTCAAAAAAGAAGAGAGGGCTGGGTGCGGTGGCTCATGCCTGTAATCCCAGCACTTTGGGAGGCTGAGGCAGGAGGATCACCTGAGGTCGGGAGTTCGAGACCAGCCTGACCAATATGGAGAAACCCCATCTCTACTAAAAATACAAAATTAGCCAGGCATGGTGGCGCATGCCTGTAATCCCAGCTACTTGGGAGGCTGAGGCAGGAGAATCGCTTGAACCTGGGAGGCGGAGGTTGCAGTGAGCTGAGATCGCGATATTGCACTCCAGCTTGGGCAACAAGATCAAAACTTCATCTCAAAAAAAAAAAAAAGAAAAAAAAAAGAGAAAAACAACAATCTTCTGCCCCAGTCCTTCTCACCCCTGAATCCCACTCTCCAGAAGCAGTCTTTCTCAATCAGTGCTTTCTGTCTGAATCACTGAACAAGAAAAATGATTTGAGCAACTATTTTCTTAATTCTCCCAAAGAGGGTAGGTAGCTAATAATATGATGGATGCATAGGAGAGAAGTTAGTTTATTACATAAAATGGAAGCCTTAGGGCATTAAAGATTAATTCTCTCGCCGAACCTTAATTGAGAAAGGCTGCTCCAGAGTCAGTGACTTCAATTCCTTATCACTTCCAGTTTTTTAAAATGACATATTTAGATATATGGCGATATCCCCTCCCCATTCCCATCCTAATGCGATTTGAAGTATAGTTTACTCATTTCCTATTACAGAAGATGGGAGTTTAGGTTTTTTGTACCAACTCCTACCTTTAAACACTGCATTTCACTTCCCCTCTCCCCTCTATATTCCCAAATTAGTTACATGTTAACTTTTAGTTATTTGGTGTTTACCTCATTTTAACTATGTAAATATTGTATGTAGCTGAACAAGGTAAGTGTGAGGTTATTTCCTTTCTTGTATAATTTTTGTTTTTCCTAGTTAATATCTTAATTCTTTTGTACATGTACCTTTTATATTTCTTTATAAATAAATGTTTTATATCTTTTTAATGTGTCTTTTGTATTCTTTATTTGATCTATTAATCTCTTGAACCAGATACATCAGTCTCCTCTTAGTAGATTCAAACACATCTGATAATCTGTTTTGCGACATCTTTCCTGCCTCCATCTTGATGGGTTGCTCTCTAGGCCTGTTGCACAACTCTCTTCCTGGACTGCCCTTTTACAGTCATCTGTGAATTGCATTTGTCTCTTCTGTGTGGGTAGCCTCTTTTTCTTGGATTTCAGGTTTTCCTTTTTCTTGGTGTCTCCCTTATATTGGCAGAGTATGTTTTTGAGTAGCTTCCTGAGAGAGACAGAATGGGATGCACATATTTTGGGTTCTTGCATGGTCAACCATTTTTTTATTTAACCCTCACATTTATGATAACCAATCCTTTGATTGTGACCTGTTATATCTCTTTGGAAGCGTTTATATTTATTCAGCAAGTATGTATTGAGCACATTTTATGTGCCGGGCACTGGTCAAGACATTTTGAATATATAGGTGAACAAAAATACAAGATTCATGTCCTTATAGAGCTTAAATTCAGGGAGGGAGGAGTTGTTCAACAGCAAATATAATAAATAAATTATACAAAACATTGGGAGTTTGTAAAGTAAATAACTGCTTTAGAAAAGAGAAAAAAGAGCAGGCTGGGGTGGGAAGTTCAGGAATGTTGGGGAAAGGAGAGGTAGGGGATGCAGACTGTAGTATTAAATGGGGTGATCCTCCCTTCAACCATTCAGGTGTTCTGAAATTTCACAATGATGTTGGTTGGTAAGAGTTTTTCATTCATGTGTTGGGCCCCAAATGGGCCCTTTCCATTTGGAGACCATATCCGTGGTTTATTTGACAGTTTCTTCTTTCCCTCCCTTCCTTCTTTCTGGACTTCTTTTATTAGAATATTAAACCTCATTAGATTGATTCTCTAATTTCTAATATTTTCTCTCCTGTTTTCTATCCCTTTCTGTTCTGTTTTCTAGGATATTTTCTCAACTTTATTTTATAACACCTTGATTGCATTTTTAAAAATAAACATTTTATTTTGGAACAGTTTTAGATTTACAGAATTATTGCAGACAGTATAGAGTTCCTATATACTCCACACCCAGTTTATTATTAACATCTTAGATTAATATGGTACATTTGTTATAATTAGTGAACTAGTATTGATACTTTATTAACTAAAGGCTATACTTTATTCGCATTTCCTCATTTTTCCTCTAATATGCTTTTTCTGTTCCAGGATCCCATCCAGGATACCACATTACATTGAGTAGTCCTGTCTCCTTAGGCACCTCTTGATTGTGATAGTTCTCAGACATTCCTTGTTTTTGATGCTCTTGAAAGTTTTGAGGGTTACTGCTCAGGTGTTTTGTAGAATGTCAGTTGAGATTTGTCTCATGTTTTTCTCGTTATTATATTGGGGTAATGTGTTTCGGAGAGAAAGACAACAGAGATAAAGTACAATTTTCATCAATACATACTGTCAGTGTGACTTGCCACTTTTCTTTTTTTTTTGAGATGGAGTCTCCCTCTATCACCCAGGCTGGAGTGCAGTGGTGCGATCTCAGCTCACTGCAACCTCTGCCTACCGGGTTCAAGCGATTCTCCTGCCTCAGCCTCTTGAGTAGCTGGGATTACAGGCACGTGCCACCACACCCGGCTAATTTTTGTATTTTTAGTAGAGACGGGGTTTCGCCATGTTGATTAGGCTGGTCTCCAACTCTTGACCTTGTGATCTGCCCGCCTCAGCCTCCCAAAGTGCTGGGATTACAGGCGAGAGCCACCACGCCCGGCCAACTTGCCACTTTTAATGTTAACCTTGATCACTTGACTTGAGGTAGTGTTTGTTAGGTTTCTTCACTTTGAAGTTAGTATTTTCTTTTTTTCTCCCTTTCTGTATTCTTTACTAGAAAGTCACTGTGCGCTGCACACTTAAGGAATGGGGAGTTCTACTTCCTTGAGAGCAAAGAGTCTAAATAAATTATTTGGATTTTTTTTTTATTTTTTTGCGTGGGAGATTTGTCTTTTCCCCAATTATTTATTCAATCATTTACTTACGTCAGTATGAATACATAGATTTTTTTTTTTTTTTTTTTTTTTTTTGAGACAAAGTCTCGCTCTGTTGCCCAGGCTGGAGTGCAGTGGCGTGATCTCGGCTCACTGCAACCTCCGCCTCCTGGGTTCAAGCGATTCTCCTGCCTCAGCCTCACAAGTAGCTGGGATTATAGGCACGCAGCACCATGCCCGGCTAATTTTTGTGTTTTTAGTAGAGATGGGGTTTCACCATGTTGGCCAGGATGGTCTCGATCTCTTGACCTCAGGTGATTGCCTGCCTCGGCCTCCCAAAGTGCTGGGATTACAGGCGAGAGACACTGCGCCCAGCCGATTTTTTTTTTTTTTTTAATGTGTTGGGTTATACTTCAGTACTGCTCTTTTATTTTGTCCCAGCTTTGGCCTTTGGGAGTTCTTTCACTTGGGTCTTGTATCTCTTTGACATACTCCCATTGTTGTATGTGTGTACATCAACTTTTACTTTCTGGCATTACAAGATGCTCTGTGCTCATTTTGTTTATTTCCTGCCCTAGTTTTAGAAACAGCCATTTTTCCAAGGAGACTTGGTTCCTTTTGTTGGAGAATTTTATTAGAAACCAAGATCTGGGTGCTAAGTATGTTCGTTGCCCCTGGGATGTTACTGCTTCTAGGCCCTCTAAGCTGACAAACACAAGGAGATATGTTAGTATATGTGTTTATACTAACCTGTATTACACATATATCTGTAAATATTTCTATGTGTGACCATCGGTATCCATATTAAGCTGAACATGAATTTATATTGATGTCTTCAGTTCAAATCCATTACCATATAGATTATTTTATCTTCCTCCCCTGCCATAACCTCCTCCTTCAACAGGGAGAAACTTGGCTTCCACGATCAGTCGTCCATTTACTTACTTGTTCAATTTCAGTATACAGATATAGTGATTTCAGAATTGTTAACCTGTACCACCATGGAAAACAACTTTATCAACTAGGGTAGAGTGCCTGTCTTTTCTTTCTTTAGTCTTACATATTCCACTCATTTCCAAAGGTCAGCACCTTATTCCTACGTCCCCTGTGATGAGGTTGTTTCATACATTTGGAATATAGTTAGACTTTTTGTCGCAGTCTGCATGCCAATCTAGGATCCCCCATTCTCCTAAATAATTTTTTGAAAATTTGCATGTTGAGGTTTATTCTTTATGCTTTGAAGTTATATGGTTATTAACGTGATTATCTTATATTCACCATTACTACCCTAAAAAGTCTGTGCTTCACATATCCAACTCTCCCCCACTTTAAACCACTGGCTATCATTGGTGTTTTACTGTCTCTGTAGTTTTACCTTTTCTAGAATGTTACATAATTAGAATCATGTAGTATGTAAATTCTTTCACTTGGCAGTATACAGTAAGATTCACTCGTGTTTTTGTGGCTTGATAGCTTCTTTCTTTATATCACTGAATAATATTCCATTGGATAGATGTGTGATGGTTTGTTTATCCAAATACCTAATGAAGTACATCTTGATTGCTTCCAGTTTTTGGCAGTTATGAATAAACCTGTTTATATGCATTCACATCCAAGTTATTGTGTGAATGTAAATTTTCAAATCAGATGAGTAAATACCTAGTAGCACATGATTGCTGGATTATATGGTAGTAGTAAGTTTTGTAAGAGACCGCCAAATAGTCTTCCAAAGCAGCTATACCATTTTGCATTCTCACTGGCAATAATAAGATTTTCTCTTGTTTGGCATTGTCACAGTGACATTCTAGTAGATGTGAAGTGGATATCTCATTGTTCTAATCTGCAGTTCCCTAAAGACAAATGATGTTCAGCATTTTTCATATTCTTATTTTCCATCCTTATATCTTCTTTGGTAAGATGTCCATTCAGTACTTTTGCCAATTTTAAAATTGGATTATTTTCTTTCTTCTTTTCCTTTTCTTTCACTTTTTGCCTTTTCTCTCCTTTCCTTTCCTTTCCCCTCTTCTCTCCTCTTTCTCCTCTCCTCTCTCCTTTCTCTTCTCCTCTCCTCTTTCCTTTCCCCTCCTCTTTGCTCTTTCTTTTCCCTTCCCCTCCCCTCCCCTGCCCTCCCCTCCCCTCCCCCTCCTTTCTTTTCGACAGGGTCTGACTCTGTTGCCTAGGCTGGAGTGCAGTAGCACGCTCATACCTCACTGTAACCTTCAACTCCTGGGCTCAAGCTATCCTCCCATCTGAGCCTCTCAAGTAGCTAGAACTATAGGTATGCACCCCCACACCTAACTAATTTTTAATTTTTTTCTTAGAGATGAGGTTTCTCTATGTTGCCCAGGCTGGTCTTGAACTCCTGGCCTCAAGTGAACTTCCCACCTCAGCTTCTTAAAGTGCTGGGATTACAGGTGTGAGCCACTGTGCCTGGCCTTGGATTATCTTCTTGTCAAATTTTAAGAGTTCTTTATAGAGTTTTAGATACAAGTCCTTAATCAGATATGTGTTTTGCAGATATTCCAGTCTATGGCTTGTCTTCTTATTCTCTTAACAGTATCTTTTGCAGAGTGCAAGTTTTACATTTTAATAAGATCAAACTTACCATTTTTTCTTTCGTGGATCATGGTACTGGTATTGTATTTAAAAACTCCTCACCAAACCCAAGGTTATGTAGATTTTCTCCTGTGTTTTCCTGAAGAAATTTTACAATTTTGAATGTTAAGTTTAGGTTACCCACTTTGAATATGTTTTTATATAAGGTGTAATGTCTGTGTCTAGGTTCATATTTTTCATAGAGATGTCCAGTTTTTTCAGCACCTGTTATTGAAAAGACTGTCCATTCTCCATTGAATTGCCTTTGCTCCTTTGTCAAAGATCGGTGTGGGTTTTTTTTTTTTGGGGGGTCTTTTTTTTTTTATGCAGGGTCTCACTCTGTTGCCCAGGCTACAGTGCAGTGGTGTAATCATGGCTCTCTGCAGCCTCAGCCTCCCTGGTTTCAGCTGATTCTCCCACCTCAGCCTCCCAAGTAGCTGGGACTACAGGCGCATGGCACCATGTCCAGCTTATTTTTTATGTTTTGTGGAGACAGAGTTTCTCCATGTTGCCCTGGCCGGTCTTGAACTCCTGGGCTCCAGCATTCTGCCTGCCTCTGCCTCCCAAGTGCTGGGATTATAGGCGTGAGCCAACCATGCCTGGCCATTTCTGGGGTCTATTCTGTTTTATTGATCTACGTGTCTGTTCTCTTGCCAATACCAAATTGCCCTGATTACTAGAACCTTCTTGTGCATCTTTAAATTAGGTAGTGTGAGTCCTCCAACTTTGTTCTCCAGTATCACTTTAGCTATTCTAGATTCTTTGTCTTTTCTTATTTTTATTTTTAGTAGAGACAGGGTTTCACCATGTTGGCCAGGCTGGTCTCGAACTCTTGACCTCATGATCCGCCTACCTCAGCCTCCCAGAGTGCTGGGATTACTGGCATGAGCCACTGCGCCTGGCTGATTCTTTCTCTTTTCATATAAACTTCAGGATTAGTTTCTTGAGGCCTACAGAGTAGCTTGCTAGGATTTTAGTTGGGATTGCACAAGAATCTAGAGATCAGGTTGGGAAGAATTCATGTCTTTGGTTTTTTTTTGTTTTGTTTTATTTTTTTGAGACAGAGTCTCACTCTGTCACCCAGGCTGGAGTGCAGTGGTGTGATCTTGGCTTACTGCAACATCCGCCTCCCGGGTTCAAGCGATTCTCCTGCCTCAGCCTCCTGAGTAGCTGGGATTACAGGTACACTCCACCACGCCTGGCTAATTTTTGTATTTTTAGTAGAGACGGGGTTTCACCATGTTGGTCAAGCTGGTCTTGAACTCCTGACCTCGTGATCTGCCCACCTTGGCCCCCCAAAGTGCTGGGATTACAGGCGTGAGCCAGCGCGCCTGGCTTTTTTTTTTTCTTTTGAGACAGAGTTTAGCTCTGGCACCCAGGCTGGAGTGCAGTGGCACAATCTCAGTTCACTGGAACTTCTGCCTCCCAGGTTCAAGGGATTCTTTTGCCTCAGCCTCCTGAGTAACTGGGATTATAGGCGTGTACCACCACGCCCAGCTAATTTTTATTTTTATTATTATTTATTATTATTTTTTATTATACTTTAAGTTCTAGGGTACATGTGTACAACGTGCAGGTTTGTTAACATATGTATACATGTCCCATGTTGGTGTGCTGCACCCATTAACTCATCATTTACATTAGGTATATCTCCTAATGCTATCCCTCCCACATCTCCCCACACCACGACAGGCCCTGGTGTGTGATGTTCCCCTTCCTGTGTCCAAGTGTTCTCATTGTTCAATTCCCACCTATGAGTGAGAACATGCAGTGTTTGGTTTTTTGTCCTTGCGATAGTTGGCTGAGAATGATGGTTTCCAGCTTCATCCATGTCCCTACAAAGGACATGAACTCATCCTTTTTTATGGATGCATAGTATTCCATGGTGTATATATGCCACATTTTCTTAATCCAGTCTATCATTGATGGACATTTGGGTTGGTTCCAAGTCTTTGCTATTGTGAATAGTGCCGCAATAAACATATGTGTGCATGTGTCTTTATAGCAGCATGATTTATAATCCTTTGGGTATGTACCCAGTAATGGGATGGCTGGGTCAAATGGTATTTCTAGTTCTAGATCCCTAAGGAATCGCCACGCTGTCTTCCACAATGGTTGAACTAGTTTACAGTCCCACCAACAGTGTAAAAGTGTTCTTGTTTCTCCACATCCTCTCCAGCACCTGTTGTTTCCTGACTTTTTAATGATCGCCATTCTAACTGGTGTGAGACGGTATCTCATTGTGGTTTTGATCTGCATTTCTCTGATGGCCAGTGATGATGAGCATTTTTTCATGTGTTTTTTGGCTACATAAATGTCTTCTTTTGAGAAGTGTCTATTCATATCCTTCGCCCACTTTTTGATGGGGTTGTTTGTTTTTTTCTTGTAAATTTGTTTGAGTTCTTTGTAGATTCTGGATATTAGCCCTTTGTCAGATGAGTAGATTGCAAGAATTTTCTCCCATTCTGTAGGTTGCCTGTTCACTCTGATGGTAGTTTCTTTTGCTGTGCAGATGCTCTTTAGTTTAATTAGATCCCATTTGTCAACTGTGGCTTTTGTTGCCATTGCTTTGGTGTTTTAGACATGAAGTCCTTGCCCATGCCTATGTCCTGAATGGTATTGCCTAGGTTTTCTTCTAGGGTTTTTATGGTTTTAGGTCTAACATTTAAGTCTTTAGTCCATCTTAAATTAATTTTTTATAAGGTGTAAGGAAGGGATCCAGTTTCAGCTTTCTTTTTATGGCTAGCCAGTTTTCCCAGCACCATTTATTAAATAGGGAATCCTTTCCCCATTTCTTGTTTTTATCAGGTTTGTCAAAGATCAGATGGTTGTAGATGTGTGGTATTATTTCTGAGGGCTCTGTTCTGTTCCATTGGTCTATATCTCCATTTTGGTACCAGTACCGTGCTGTTTTGGTTACTGTAGCCTTGTAGTATAGTTTGAAGTCAGGTAGCGTGATGCCTCCAGCTTTGTTCTTTTGGCTTAGGACTGTCTCGGCAATGCGGGCCCTTTTTTGGTTCCATATGAACTTTAAAGTAGTTTTTTTCCAGTTCTGTGAAGAAAGTCATTGGTAGCTTGATGGGGATGGCATTGAATCTATAAATTACCTTGGGCAGTATGGCGATTTTCATGATATTGATTCTTCCTATCCAAGAGCATAGAATGTTCTTGCATTTGTTTGTGTCCTCTTTTATTTTGTTAAGCAGTGGTTTGTAGTTCTCCTTGAAGAGGTCCTTCACATCCCTTGTAAGTTGAATTCCTAGGTATTTTATTCTCTTTGAAGCAATTGTGAATGGGAGTTCACTCATGATTTGGCTCTCTGTTTGTCTGTTATTGGTGTATAAGAATGCTTGTGATTTTTGCACCTTAATTTTGTATCCTGAGACTTTGCTGAAGTTGCTTATCAGCTTAAGGAGATTTTGGGCTGAGACAATAGGGTTTTCTATATGGGGTTTTCCTTTTCTTGTCTTATTGCGCTAGCCAAGGCTTTCCGTATTATGTTGAATAGGAGTCATGAGAGAAGATATCCTTTCCTTGATCCCAATACTTGAGGCAAGGCAGTTTCTTATTAAGTATACTGTTAATTGTAGATATTTTATACTTATTCTTTATCAGATTGAAGAAGTTTCCCTCTACTCATAGTTTGCTAAGAGTTTTTCTCATGAATGTATATTGTATTTGTTTTGTTTTGTTTTTGAGACAGAGTCTCGCTCTGTCTGTTTCCCAGGCTGGAGTTCAGTGGCGTGATCTCGGGTCACTGCAACCTCCGCCTCCCGGATTCAAGTGATTCTCCTGCCTCAGCCTTCTGAGTAGCTGGGATTACAGGTGCCCGCCACCATGCCAGGCTAATTTTTTTATTTTTAGTAGAGATGGGGTTTCACCATGTTGGCCTGGCTGGTCTCAAACTCCTGACCTTGTGATCTGCCCGTCTCAGCCTCGCAAAGTACTGGGATTACAGGCATGAGCCACTACGTCCAGCCTGGATATTGTTTTTATTAGCATCAATTTATGTGATTATATATGTCTTCCTTAGTTTGTTAATATGGTAGATTATATTGATTAATTTTGAAATGTTGAACCAGCCTTGCATACCTGGATAAATCATATTGGTCATGATGTATAATTTTTCAATACATTGTTGGATTCAATTTGGCACCATTTTCTTGAGCATTTTTATACCTATGTTCATGGGCAATATTGGTCTGTAGTTTTCCTTTCTTGCAGTGTCTTTATCTGGTTTTGATATTAGGATAATGCTGGTCTTATAGTATAAGTTAGAAGTGTTCCCTCTGCTGCTTTTTTCTGGAAGAGATTATAGAGAATTGGTATTATTTTTTCTTTAGATGTTTGGCAAAATTCAGCAGTGGATCCATCTGGATCTGGTGATTTATTTTTATGGAACGTTATTAATTATTTATTTAATTTTTAAAATAGATGTAGGGATTTTGGGTTATCTGTTTCTCCTTGTATGACTTTTGGCCGTTTATATCATTTGAGGAATTGGTTCATTTCATCTAAATTACCAAATTTGTGGGCAGAGTTGTTAATAATATTCCTTTATTATCTTTTTTGTATCCGTGGCATCAGTAGTGATGACTCCTCTTTTATTTTTGTAATTGATCGTTTATGTCTCTGTTAATTAGCCTGGTTTATCAATTTTATTGGTCTTTTAAAGGAATGAGTTTTTGTTTAATTGGTTTCCTCTATTTCTCTATTGTTTTCCTGTTTTAAATTCCATTGATTTCTGCTCCAATTTAATTTTTATTTTTTATTTATGTATTGAGATGGAGTCTTGCTCTGTTGCCCAGGCTGGAGTGCAGTGGCAAGATCTCAGCTCACTGCAAGCTCCACCTCCCAGGTTCACGCCATTCTCCTGCCTCAGCCTCCCAGGTAGCTGGGACTACGGGCACCCGCCACCATGCCTGGCTAATTTTTTTTGTATTTTTTAGTAGAGACGGGGTTTCACCTTGTTAGCCAGAATGGTGTCGATCTCCTGACCTTGTGATCCGCCCACCTCGTCCTCCCAAAATGCTGGGATTACAGGCGTGAGCCACTGCGCCTGGCCGATTTCTGCTCTAATTTTTATTTTCCTACTTGTTTTAGGCCAAAATTATTTTTGTTTTTCTAGTTTCCCAAGGTGGATGCTTATTGATTTTAGATTTTTTTTTTCTTTTACTTTTTCTTTTTTTTGAAATGAAGTTGCACTCTTGTTGCTCAGGCTGGAGTGCAATGGTGGGATCTTGGCTCACTGCAGCCTCCACCTCCCAGGTTCAAGTGATTCTCCTGCCTCAGCCTCCCGAGTAGCTGAGATTACAGGTGCCTGCCACCATGCCCAGCTAATTTTTGTATTTTTTAGTAGAGACGGGGTTTCACCATGTTAGCCAGGCTAGTCTCGAACTCCTGACCTCAGGTGATCCACCCACCTTGGCCTCCCAAATTCTTTTTCAATATATGCATTTTTAATGCTGTCACTGTCCCTTAAACAGTGCTTTCACTGCAGCTCACAAGCCTTGCTTGAATTTTAAGATTTCTGCGATCAGGTTCCATGACCTTTTTTTGTTCTCTATATGTAGTTCTTATTTATGGCTTCCTGTTCCTGTTTCATGGTTGCATTGCTTTTTTGTCTCTGAGAATATTAATTAGCTTCTTTGAAGTTTTATTCTGCCTCCTGCATTGTGTCTTCCTCCAAATTCCTTTTTTTTTTTTTGAGACAGGATCTTGCTCTGTTGCCCAGGCTGGAGTGCAGTGGTGTGATCTTGGTTCACTGCAACCTTTGCCTCCTGGGATCAAGTGATTCTCCTGCCTCAGTTACCTAAGTAACTGGGATTGCAGGCATGCACCACTATGCCCAGCTAATTTTTGTACTTTTAGTAGAGACGGGGTTTCACTATGTTGGCCAGGCTGGTCTCGAACTCCTGACCTCAAGCAGTTCACCTGCCTTGGCCTCCCAAAGTGTTGGGATTACAGGTGTGAGCCACCACGCCTGGCCTCTGAATTCCTTTTGTTTGTTTGGTATCTGTTTATTTTGTGCACTCTTCTATGTGCGTGGTATAACCACAATTTAAAAATTGAAACAAAAAAAGGTAACATGCTTCATTGAATTAAGATGCCAAACCAATGTTATTGAAAATTCTTCTGAAGTGTACCTGTTAGTTTTAAGTTTGTTGCCAGCATAATTATTGTTCATTTGAAAGCGACCTTTGCTCTCTGGCTGTTCTATCTTTGGGGTTTAGTAGTTTTACAATAGTGTGTCTAAATGTGGATTTCTCTTTGTATCGTCTGGTGTAATATGTTACCTGTATCTGTTGAGTTGGCTTTTTCATCAATTCTGGAAAAACTCCCAGCATTATCTTTTCAAATATAGTTGTTCCATGCTGTCTTTTCTCCTTAGAGTACTCCATTCTCATTTTGTCTTCAATACCTTTTAACCTAGTTTTTGTATTTTTCTCTTCCTCGTCCCTCTGGGCATTACTTTAGGTAATTTCTTCAGATAGGTCTTCGATGTCATTCAGTTCTCTCTTAAGCTCTGCCTAATTTTCAAGCCCATTTTTAAAGTATCTCTTATTTATTTATTTGTCTGGACCTCAGATGTCCTTAGTTGATGGCACACAATCATAATTAGTTCTTGTAAAACCCTCTTATTTGTTTATTGTCTTTTACTCCCGTTTACCCTTCCTAGTCCCCATGCTAGGTAGCCAAACAGATGTGTTTAATAATGTATATTCTTTTGTTTGTATTTATTATTACAAATTTGTATAGTTTCATTGTATTTTTAAAAAGTAAGAGTTTGCAATGGATTGGAGGTGTAAGAAAAATATTTACCATAGGCAGTTTGAGGAATGTTGCTGTACAGTGTTTCACCTTCCAGGATTAGCTTAGTTGATTGCTTTCTTTTTATGTTATTTAACTTGTCCCTTATGCTTGACTTTCCTGTAAACATGCAGTTAGTTTGATTAGATTCAGATGCAGTTTTTTTTAGGCAGTAATATTTTTTAGGTGATATTGTTCTTCCACATTTATTGATGGTGAAATTGATTGTTGGGTTTGGATGTGTTGACTTGATCCCACCATTATAAAGTTCCCCGTAAACCTTTTTCTCTAGCCTTGTAAACATCCATTTATAGCCATGGCCTAGTCTGTTTATTGCATTCGGGATTATGAAGAGATGAATTAAAAATTTTTAACATCCTTTTGTACTTATTAACTGGAATTCTTATCTAAAGAACTTTTCATCAGTAATTATTTTGTTACAAAGTATATTTTGTAAATAAAGGGCAGGATAAATTTTTCTCTTTTAATGACAAAGCTTTATTGAAATATAACAGAGGCTTAATCACATCATATACCATGCTCATGAATTGGAAATTTCAATATTATTAAGGACAGGGTTCCCCGGATTGAGATATATATATATATATGTGTGTGTGTGGTGTGTGTGTGTGTGTGTGTGTGTGTGTATGTGTGTGTGTCTGTGTGTGTGTGTGTGTGTGTGTGTGTGTGTATATATATATATATATATATAATTAAATTTAAAGTTCCAGGATACATGTGCAGGATGTGCAGGTTTGTTACATAGGTAAACGTGTGCCACGGTGGTTTGCTGCACCTGTCAACCCATCATCTAGATATTAAGCCCCACATGCATTATTTATCCTGATGCTCTCCCCTCACCACCACCCCCCCACCCCAGCAGGCCCCAGTGTGTCTGGTTCCCCTCCCTGTGTCCACGTGTTCTCATTGTTCACCTCCCACTTATTTTAAGTGAGAACATGAGGTGTTTGGTTTTCTGTTCTTGCATTAGTTTGCTGAGAATAATGGCTTTTAGCCTCATCCATGTACCTGCAAAGGACATGATATTGTTCCTTTTTATGACCACATAGTATTCTATGGTGTTATATATACCACATTTTCTTTATCCAGTCTATCATTGATGGGCATTTGGGTTGATTCCATGTCTTTGCTATTGTGAACATACACATGCATGTATCTTTATAATAGAATGATTTCTATTCCTTTGGGTGTATACCAGTAATTGGATTTTGCTGTGACAAATGGTATATCTGATTCTAGGTCTTTGAGGAATCGCTACACTGTCTTTGCATAGAAGTGTTCCTATTTCTCCACAGCCTCACCAGCATCTGTTGTTTCTTGACTTTTTAATGATTGCCATTCTGACTGGCCTGAGATGGTATCTCATTGTGGTTTTAATTTGCATTTCTCTAATGATCAGTGATGTTGAGCCCTTTTATGTTCATTGGCCATATAAATGTCTTTTTTTTTTTTTCCTTTTTCTGGAGAATGGGGTCTCGCTATATTGCCCAGGCAGGTCTCGAACTCCTGGGCTCAAGCTATCCTCCTGCCTCTTGCCTCCCTGAGAGCTGGGATTACAGGTGTGAGCCACTGCGCCCGGCCACACATAAATGTCTTCTTTTGAAAAGTGCCTGTCATGTCCTTGGGTAGGATAAATTCTTGATTTTTTTCCTTTAATTGATCAATTCTCAGAATAATTGGTTAGTGCCCTGCTAACCCTCCAATGAGTGGTATGTTTTGTTTTTGTCTTTAGTATGATTTGATCTTTTGTTTTTTTAAAAAAAATCTATTTGATTTGTGTTTAGTCCTTCACAGTTTTCATTCATTTGATGCTCACTTGTCCCATTTAAGCCAGTGCCCTTCAACTTGGCTTTTGTCCTTTTGATATTATCCCATTACTTATTGACAGATTCCTGTGAGGTTTCTCGGGCTTATTTGGTGGAGTTTCTGTTCCAGACCAGAGGTTCGTCTACTTTTTTCATCTTTTCATAAAACTAACTGTTAGTTTCTTGTGCCTCTGTCGTATGCTTTTTTTTTTTTTTTTTTGAATTTTTGCTCTTAGTTTATTAGTTTTCAGTCTTTCTTCTTTTGTAGTATAAGTGTCTAAGGTGGCCAGGTGCAGTGTCTCATGCCTGTAATCCCAGCACTTTGGGAGGCTGAGACGGGCAGAAGACTTGAGGTCATCGAGACAGCCTGGCCAAAATGGTGAAACCCCCACTCTTCTAAAAAAGGTTCAAAAGTTAACTGAGCCTGGTGGCGCACGCCTGTAGTCCCAGCTACTCAGGAGGCTGAGGCAGGAGAATCGCTTGAACCTGGGAGATGGAGGTTGCAGTGAGCCAAGACAGCATCACTGCACTCTAGCATGCGTGACAGAGCGAGACTCCATCTCAAAAAAAAAAAAAAAAAAAAAAAAAGATGCGGTTCCAAGATGGCCGAATAGGAACAGCTCCAGTCTACAGCTCCCAGCGTGAGCGACACAGAAGACGGGTGATTTCTGCATTTCCAACTGAGATTTGAAGAGAGCAGCGGTTCTCCCAGCACGGAGTTTGAGATGTGAGAACGGACAGACTGTCTCCTCAAGTGGGTCCCTGACCCCCGAGTAGCCTAACTGGGAGGCACCCCCGAGTAGGGGCAGACTGACAACTCACATGGCCGGGTACCCCTCTGAGACGAAACTTCCAGAGGAATGATGAGGCAGCAACATTTGCTGTTCAGCAACATTCACTGTTCTGCAGCCTCCGCTGCTGAAACCCAGGTAAACAGGGTCTGGAGTAGACCTCCAGCAAACTCCAACAGACCTGCAGCTGAGGGTCCTGACTGTTAGAAGGAAAACTAACAAACAGAAAGGACATCCACACCAAAACCCCATCTATACGTCACCATCATCAAAGACCAAAGGTAGATAAAACCACAAAGATGGGGAAAAAACAGAGCAGAAAAGCTGAAAATTCTAAAAATCAGAGTGCTTCTCCTCCCCCAAAGGAACGCAGTTCCTCACCGGCAATGGAACAAAGCTGGACAGAGAATGACTTTGATGAGTTGAGAGAAGAAGGCTTCAGACGACCAAACTTCTCCGAACTAAAGCAGGAAGTTCGAACCCATCGCAAAGAAGCTAAAAACCTTGAAGAAAGATTAGACGAATGGCTAACTAGAATAACCCATGTAGAGAAGTCCTTAAATGACCTGATGGAGCTGAGAACCATGGCATGAGAACTACATGACAAATGCACAAGCTTCAGTAGCCGATTCGATCAACTGGAAGAAAGGGTATCAGTGATTGAAGATCAAATGAATGAAATGAAGCAAGAAGAGAAGTTTAGAGAAAAAAGAATAAAAAGAAACGAACAAAGCCTCCAAGAAACATGGGACTGTGTGAAAAGACCAAATCTACGTCTAATTGGTGTACCTGAAAGTGACTGGCAGAATGGAACCAAGTTGGAAAACACTCTTCAGGATATTATTCAGGAGAACTTCCTCAACCTAGCAAGGCAGGCCAACATTCAAATTCAGGAATACAGAGAATGCCACAAAGATACTCCTCGAGAAGAGCAACTCCAAGACACATAATTGTCAGATTCACCAAAATTGAAATGAAGGAAAAAATGTTAAGGGCAGCCAGAGAGAAAGGTCAGGTTACCGACAAAGGGAAGCCCATCAGATTAACAGCTGATCTCTCAGCAGAAACTCTACAAGCCAGGAGTGGGGGCCAATATCAACATTCTTAAAGAAAAGAATTTTCAACTCAGAATTTCATATCCAGCCAAACTAAGCTTCATAAGTGAAGGAGAAATAAAATCCTTTACAGACAAGCAAATGCTGAGAGATTTTGTCACCACTAGGCCTGCTGTACAAGAGCTCCTGAAGGGAGCACTAAACATGGAAAGGAACAGCTGGTACCAGCCACTGCAAAAAACATGCCAAATTGTAAAGACCATCGATGCTAGGAAGTAACTGCATCAACTAACGAGCAAAATCACCAGCTAACGTCATAATGACAGGATCAAATTCACACATAACAATATGAACCTTAAATGTAAATGGGCTAAATGCTCCAGTTAAAAGACACAGACTGGCAAATTGGATAAAGAGTCGAGACCCATCAGTGTGCTATATTCAGGAAACCCATCTCACATGCAGAGACACACATAGGCTCAAAATAAAGGGATGGAAAAAGATATACCAAACACATAAAAAAGGCAGGGGTTGAATCCTAGTCTCTGATAAAACAGACTTTAAACCAACAAAGATCAAAAGAGACAAAGCCATTACAGACTGGTAAAGGGATCAATTCAACAAGAAGAGCTCACTATCCTAAATATATATGCACCCAATACAGGAGCACCCAGGTTCATAAAGCAAGTTCTTAGAGACCTACAAAGAGACTTTCACTCCCACACAATAATAATGGGAGACTTTAACACCCCACTGTCAACATTAGACAGATCCACGAGACAGAAAGTTAACAAGGATATCCAGGAATTGAACTCAGCTCTGCACCAAGCGGACGTAATAGACATCTACCGAACTCTCCACCCCAAATCAACAGAATATACATTCTTCTCACCACCACATTGCACTTATTCCAAAATTGACCACATAGTTAGAAGTAAAGCACTCCTCAGCAAATGTAAAAGAACAGAAATTATAACAAACTGTCTCTCAGACCACAGTGCAATCAAACTAGAACTCAGGATTCAGAAACTCACTCAAAACTGCTCAACTACATGGAAACTGAACAACCTGCTCCTGAATGACTACTGGGTACGTAACGAAATGAAGGCAGAAATAAAGATGTTCTTTGAAACCAACGAGAACAAAGACACAACATACCAGAATCTCTGGGACACATTCAAAGCATGTGTAGAGGGAAATTTATAGCACTAAATGCCCACAAGAGAAAGCAGGAAAGATCTAAAATTGACACCCTAACATCACAATTTAAAGAACTAGAGAAGCAAGAGCAAACCCATTCAAAAGCTAGCAGAAGGCAAGAAATAACTAAGATCAGAGCAGAACTGAAGGAGATAGAGACACAAAAAACCCTTCAAAAAATCAATGAATCCAGGAGCTGGTTTTTTGAAAAGATCAACAAAATTGATAGACTGCTAGCAAGACTGATAAAGAACAAAAGAGAGAAGAATCAAATAGACGCAATAAAAAATGATAAAGGGGATAACACCACCGATCCCACAGAAATACAAACTGCCATCAGAGAATACTATAAACACCTCTACACAAATAAACTAGGAAATCTAGAAGAAATGGATAAATTGCTGGACATATACACCCTCCCAGGACTAAACCAGGAAGAAGTTGAATCTCTGAATAGATCAATAACAGGCTCTGAAATTGAGGCAATAATTAATAGCTTACCAATCAAAAAAGTCCAGGACAGGACGGATTCACAGCCGAATTCTACCAGAGGTACAAGGAGGAGCTGGTACCATTCCTTCTGAAACTATTCCAATCAATAGAAAAAGAGGGAATCCTCCCTAACTCATTTTATGAGGCCAGCATCATCCTGATACCAAAGCCTGGCAGAGGCACAACCAAAAAAGAGAATTTTAGACCAATATCCCTGATGAACATTGCTGCAAAAATCCTCAATCAAATACTGGCAAACTGAATCCAACAGTACATCAAAAAGCTTATCCACCGTGATCAAGTGGGCTTCATCTCTGGGATGCAAGGCTGGTTCAACATATGCAGATCAATAAACGTAATCCAGCATATAAACAGAACCAAAGACAAAAACCACATGATTATCTCAATAGATGCAGAAAAGGCCTTTGACAAAATTCAATGGCCCTTCATGCCAAAACCTCTCAATAAATTAGGTATTGATGAGACGTATCTCAAAATAATAAGAGCTATTTATGACAAACCCACAGCCAGTATCATACTGAATT
Organism: Homo sapiens; assembly: GCF_000001405.40. Taxonomy (NCBI): domain Eukaryota; kingdom Metazoa; phylum Chordata; class Mammalia; order Primates; family Hominidae; genus Homo; species Homo sapiens. The sequence continues at coordinate 80,431,492 of NC_000005.10, forward strand.
GGCAAAAACTGGAAGCATTCCCTTTGAAAACTGGCACAAGACAGGGATGCCTTTCTCACCACTCCTATTCAACATAGTTTTGGAAGTTCTGGCCAGGGCACTCAGGCAGGAGAAGGAAATAAAGGGTATTCAATTAGGAAAAGAGGAAGTCAAATTGTCCCTGTTTGCAGATAACATGATTGTATATTTAGAAAACCCCATCGTCTCAGCCCAAAATCTCCTTAAGCTGATAAGCAACTTCAGCAAAGTCTCAGGATACAAAATCAGTGTGCAAAAATCACAAGCATTCTTAAACACCAATAACAGATAAACAGCCAAATCATGAGTGAACTCCCATTCACAGTTGCTTCAAAGAGAATAAAATACCTAGGAATCCAACTTACAAGGGAGGTGAAGGACCTCTTCAGGGAGAACTACAAACCACTGCTCAATGAAATAAAAGAGGATACAAACAAATGGAAGAACATTCCATGCTCATGGATAGGGAGAATCAATATCGTGAAAATGGCCATACTGCCCAAGGTAATTTATAGATTCAGTGCCATCCACATCAAGCTACCAATGACTTTCTTCACAGAATTGGCAAAAACTACTTTAAAGTTCATATGGAACCAAAAAAGGGCCCGCATTGCCAAGTCGATCCTAAGCCAAAAAAACAAAGCTGGAGGCATCACGCTACCTGACTTCAAACTATACTACAAGGCTACAGTAACCAAAACAGCATGGTACTGGTACCAAAACAGAGATATAGACAAATGGAACAGAACAGAGCCCTCAGAAATAATACCACACATCTACAACCATCTGATCTTTGACAAACCTGACAAAAACAAGAAATGGGGAAAGGATTCCCTATTTAACAAATGGTGCTGGGAAAACTGGCTAGCCATATGTAGAAAGCTGAAACTGGAATCCCTTCCTTACACCTTATATGAAAATTAATTCAAGATGGGTTAAAGACTTAAATGTTAGACCTAAAACTATAAAAACCCTAGAAGAAAACCTAGGCAATACCATTCAGGACATAGGCATGGGCAAGGACTTCATGTCTGAAGCACCAAAAGCAATGGCAACAAAAGCCAAAATTGACAAATGGGATCAGATTAAACTAAAGAGCATCTGCACAGCAAAAGAAACTACCATCAGAGTGAACAGGCAACCTACAGAATGGGAGAAAATTTTTGCAATCTACTCGTCTGACAAAGGGCAGATACCCAGAATCTACAAAAAAACTCAAACAAATTTACAAGAAAAAAACAAACCAACAACCCCATCAACAAGTGGGCGAAGGATATGAACAGACACTTCTCAAAAGAAGACATATATGCAGCCAAAAAACACATGAAAAAATGCTCATCATCACTGGCCATCAGAGAAATGCAGATCAAAACCACAATGAGATACCGTCTCACACCAGTTAGAATGGCGATCCTTAAAAAGTCAGGAAACAGGTGCTGGAGAGGATGTGGAAAAACAGGAATGCTTTTACACTTGGTGGGATTGTAAACTAGTTCAACCATTGTGGACGTCAGTGTGGCGATTCCTTAGGGATCTAGAACTAGAAATACCATTTGACCCAGCCATCCCATTACTGGGTATATACCCAAAGGACTATAAATCATGCTGCTATAAAGACACATGCACACATATGTTTATTGCGGCACTACTCACAATAGCAAAGACTTGGAACCAACCCAAATGTCCATCAATGATAGACTGGATTAAGAAAATGTGGCACATATACACCATGGAATACTATGCAGCCATAAAAGAGGATGAGTTCATGTCATTTGTAGGGACATGGATGAAGCTGGAAACCATCATTCTCAGCCAACTATCGCAAGGACGAAAAACCAAACACCGCATATTCTCACTCGTAGTTGGGAATTGAACAATGAGAACACCTGGACACAGGAAGGGGAACATCACACACCAGGGCCTGTCGTGGTGTGGGGAGATGTGGGAGGGATAGCATTAGGAGATATACCTAATGTAAATGATGAGTTAATGGGTGCAGCACACCAACATGGGACATGTATACATACGTTAACAAACCTGCACGTTATGCACATGTACCCTAGAACTTAAGGTATAATATAAAAAGTATATAAAAAAAACTCCAGAGAAGTTTATAGAAAGAGATGACATGTAAACCCTGCTGAAAAATAGTTTCATTTGTTAGAATATAATTGTCTTCCACTAAAAAAAGAAAAAAAAAAGCATTTAAGGCTCTAAGTATCTCTTGAAGTACCACTTTTCCTGAATCCCAGAGTTTTTATGTGCATTATTTTTATGCGTTTGTAGTTTGATATGTTGTATTTATAAGTAGTTTTAGCTTTCCATTATGAATTCTTCTTTGACCCATGAGTTATTTAGGTAAGTGTTTAAAAATTTACAATAGTTTATATATGCAAATATTATGTTGTTAGAGTTGGTTTTCATGTCATTTTTACATATACAGGGGCAGTTTCCCCAACTAAATTGTATATTCCTTAAAGCAGCACTCTTAAATTTTATTTCTGTGTCAATTTCTTGACTGTGTTTCCTGGCATGGAATACATGGCATAAAATTTGTTATGTAATTAAATGAAATATTATTATACTTTCTATTTTTTAGGCATACAAGAATTAAATTCTGAATAAGTCTGCAGGTAGGATGGACAGTTATTTTAAAGCAGCTGTCAGTGACTTGGACAAACTCCTTGATGATTTTGAACAGAACCCAGGTTTGTTGATTTTCCATTTTTGCCGCTAATGGGATTTAAAAATATCTGTAATTAAGTTATCTCAGGTATACAGTAATATTAGCAAAATTTTCTTTCAATTTTGGTCACGTTATCTTCTGCAAAAAGTTCATTTATTTCATAATAAGATGTTAGTTGATTCTTAGACTGAATGGGACCCATAGCCAGAAACAGAAGTAAGGAACCTAGAAAGTTTTTTTCTAGATACAAATTAGCTATAAGACAGACATTTCTTTTCTTTTCTTTTCTTTTTATTTTTGAGACAAAGTCTCATTCTGTCTCCCAGGCTGAAGTGCAGTGGCACAATCAGAGCTCATTGCAGCCTCAACCCCCGAGGCTCAAGCATTTCTCCCACTTCAGCCTCCAAGTGGGACCATAGGTGCATGCCACCATGCTGGCTAATTTTTCAGTTATTTGTAGAGACAGAATCTTCCTATGTTGCCCAGGCTGGTCTCGAATTCCGGGGTTCAAGTGATCCTCCTGCTTCAGCCTACCAAAATGTTGGGATTATAGGCATGAGTCATGTACTTGGCCCCAGAAAGACCAACATATGAGCAAGCTAAAAGCAACTTGAGAGTTCTGCATGAATTGATATTTCATTACAACAAGAGATGGTATTTTATTTTATTATTATTTCTTTTTTGAGATGGAGTTTCACTGTTGTTGCCCAGGCTGGAGTGCAGTGGCGCCATGTCAGCTCACTGCAACCTCCACTTCCCGGGTTCAAGCACTTCTTCTGCCTCAGCCTCCTGAGGAGCTGGGATTACAGGCACCCCCCACCATGCCTGGCTAATTTTTTGTTTGTTTGTTTGTTTCTGAGACGGAGTCTCACTCTCTTGTCCAGGCTGGAGTGCAGTGGCATGATCTCGGCTCACTGCAACTTCTGCCTCCCAGGTTCAAGCGATTCTCCTGCCTCAGCCTCCCGAGTAGCTGGGACTACAGGTGCCCACCACCATGCCCAGCTAATTTTTGTATTTTTAGTAGAAACGGGGTTTCACCATATTGGCTAGGCTGGTCTCGAACTCCTGGCCTTGTGATCCACCCGCCTCAGCCTCCCAAAGTGCTGGGATTACAGGCCTGAGCCACCAGGCCCGGCCTAATTTTTGTATTTTTGGTAGAGATGGGGTTTCACCATGTTGGCCAGGCTAGTCTTAAACGCCTGGCCTCAGGTTATCCGCCTGTCTCAGCCTCCCAAAGTGCTGGGATGATAGGCGTGAGCCACCACGTCTGGGTGTTATTTTCTTTAAAACGAAGACTAGGAAACTGGAAGTCAAAACAAAGACGTTGGATTGTTTTTTAGTTCTTCCTTAGTCTGGTTTTTATAGTGCAACTAAGTTTCTTTTTTTTCTAAGAGACAGGGTCTTGCTCTTTCACCCTAGCCGGAGTGCAATGGTGCAGTCATAGCTCACTGCAGCCTTGAATTCCTGCCCTCAGGCAATCCTCTCACCTCAGCCTTCTGAGTAGCTGGGACCACAAGTGTGCGCCAGCATGCCCGGCTAATTTAAAAATGTGTATATTTTTTACAGATGGGGTCTCACTGTGTTGCTCAGGCTGGTCTTGAACTCCTGATCTCAAGTTATCCTCCGACCGTGGCTTCCCAAAGCGCTGGGATTACAGTTGTAAGCCACCATTCCTGGCCACAACTAAGTTATTTTTTTGAGTGGAATTTTTATCACTTTATGATATCTACATTCAAAAGTAAAATCCAGGAAGTAATTTAAAGTCAAATAAAAATAGCTTTGGGTTCTCTCTCCTGCTGCCTTGTGAAGAAGGTGCTTCTCCTTTGCCTTCTGCCATGATTGTAAGTTTCCTGAGGCCTCCCTAGCAATGCAGAACTATTGGCTTCTTTTATCTGGATGTGGCTGTGGCCATCAACAGCTCCAGATTCACACTGACAAGTCTCCTTCCTTTCTTCAAATTTGGAGTAACAGGAGAATGCCTCTTAAGTGGCCCATCTTGAAACCATCACATGCCCATCACCGTGGCCATAGCGTGTGATGCTACTACAATTGGCAACCTCAATTAGAGCACCACAGGGGAGTGAGGGTAGGATCCAGGTGACAGAAAAATGAACAAGTAGAAAGCCAACTTGAGGAGTCCTCCCAAACAAAGCAAAGATCAAGGACATCAAATTATCAGAGCAACTATGCATGAGATCAAGATCTAAGGACATTCGTTTATGCAGTCAGTTAGTCATTTCTTGAACACTTAAGTTTCAGGAATTATTTTAAGCAATAGGGGTGTAAGTCAGAAAAAAAAGAGACAAGGTCCCTGCACTTGTGACACTTACTTTCTAGTTAATTGAAACAGCCAATAATCACAAACAAGATAATTTCAGATAAAAATAAATGCTCTAAAGGAAATACAAAAATAGTTTTGGAGGTGATTTGTGTTTTGCAAAAGGATAATCTATGTTCTTTTAAAAAAGTGTATTTAGTTTAGAAGTCTTGGGAAACATAATATGTTTAATAATTTTTATTTGATTTAAGTCTCCCGAATAACACTGTTTCTCTATTTCAGATGAACAAGATTATCTCCAAGATGTACAAAATGCATATGATTCTAACCACTGCTCAGTTTCTTCAGAGTTGGCTTCCTCACAGCGAACTTCATTGCTCCCAAAAGACCAAGAGTGCGTTAATAGTTGTGCCTCATCAGAAACAAGCTATGGAACAAATGAGAGTTCCCTGAATGAAAAAACACTCAAGGGACTTACTTCTATACAAAATGAAAAAAATGTAACAGGACTTGATCTTCTTTCTTCTGTGGATGGTGGTACTTCAGATGAAATCCAGCCGTTATATATGGGACGATGTAGTAAACCTATCTGTGATCTGATAAGTGACATGGGTAACTTAGTTCATGCAACCAATAGTGAAGAAGATATTAAAAAATTATTGCCAGATGATTTTAAGTCTAATGCAGATTCCTTGATTGGATTGGATTTATCTTCAGTGTCAGATACTCCCTGTGTTTCTTCAACAGACCATGATAGTGATACTGTCAGAGAACAACAGAATGATATCAGTTCTGAATTACAAAATAGAGAAATCGGAGGAATCAAAGAATTGGGTATAAAAGTAGATACAACACTTTCAGATTCCTATAATTACAGTGGAACAGAAAATTTAAAAGATAAAAAGATCTTTAATCAGTTAGAATCAATTGTTGATTTTAACATGTCATCTGCTTTGACTCGACAAAGTTCCAAAATGTTTCATGCCAAAGACAAGCTACAACACAAGAGCCAGCCATGTGGATTACTAAAAGATGTTGGCTTAGTAAAAGAGGAAGTAGATGTGGCAGTCATAACTGCCGCAGAATGTTTAAAAGAAGAGGGCAAGACAAGTGCTTTGACCTGCAGCCTTCCGAAAAATGAAGATTTATGCTTAAATGATTCAAATTCAAGAGATGAAAATTTCAAATTACCTGACTTTTCCTTTCAGGAAGATAAGACTGTTATAAAACAATCTGCACAAGAAGACTCAAAAAGTTTAGACCTTAAGGATAATGATGTAATCCAAGATTCCTCTTCAGCTTTACATGTTTCCAGTAAAGATGTGCCGTCCTCATTGTCCTGTCTTCCTGCGTCTGGGTCTATGTGTGGATCATTAATTGAAAGTAAAGCACGGGGTGATTTTTTACCTCAGCATGAACATAAAGATAATATACAAGATGCAGTGACTATACATGAAGAAATACAGAACAGTGTTGTTCTAGGTGGGGAACCATTCAAAGAGAATGATCTTTTGAAACAGGAAAAATGTAAAAGCATACTCCTTCAGTCATTAATTGAAGGGATGGAAGACAGAAAGATAGATCCTGACCAGACAGTAATCAGAGCTGAGTCTTTGGATGGTGGTGACACCAGTTCTACAGTTGTAGAATCTCAAGAGGGGCTTTCTGGCACTCATGTCCCAGAGTCTTCTGATTGTTGTGAAGGTTTTATTAATACTTTTTCAAGCAATGATATGGATGGGCAAGACTTAGATTACTTTAATATTGATGAAGGCGCAAAAAGTGGCCCACTAATTAGTGATGCTGAACTTGATGCCTTTCTGACAGAACAGTATCTTCAGACCACTAACATAAAGTCTTTTGAAGAAAATGTAAATGACTCTAAATCGCAAATGAATCAGATAGATATGAAAGGCTTAGATGATGGAAACATCAATAATATATATTTCAATGCAGAAGCAGGAGCTATTGGGGAAAGTCATGGTATTAATATAATTTGTGAAATAGTTGATAAACAAAATACAATAGAAAATGGCCTTTCTTTAGGAGAAAAAAGCACTATTCCAGTTCAACAAGGGTTACCTACCAGTAAGTCTGAGATTACAAATCAATTATCGGTCTCTGATATTAACAGTCAATCTGTTGGAGGGGCCAGACCTAAGCAATTGTTTAGCCTTCCATCAAGAACAAGGAGTTCAAAGGACCTGAATAAGCCAGATGTTCCAGATACAATAGAAAGTGAACCCAGCACAGCAGATACCGTTGTTCCAATCACTTGTGCTATAGATTCTACAGCTGATCCACAGGTTAGCTTCAACTCTAATTACATTGATATAGAAAGTAATTCTGAAGGTGGATCTAGTTTCGTAACTGCAAATGAAGATTCTGTACCTGAAAACACTTGCAAAGAAGGCTTGGTTTTGGGCCAGAAACAGCCTACTTGGGTTCCTGATTCAGAAGCTCCAAACTGTATGAACTGCCAAGTCAAATTTACTTTTACCAAACGGCGACACCATTGCCGAGCATGTGGGAAAGTAAGTTATAAAAATCTTTTAAGTCTTTTGTTCTTTTGAGACATTTTAAACAAATACAATGTGATAGAAAAGGCTGATGAACAGATAATTACAAGATTGAGTTAGTTTAAAATCAGTGTTTTTCATCTACCAGTCAGGGAAATATATAAAGCAGTGTCATTTTGCAGATTGCTTGATGGTTGAATAAATGTTACATTGTCAGGGGCATTAAGTACATGCTGGGAAATGAGAAACAATTATTTAGTTACTAATTTTTGTGACATTTAAGAATATTTGTTCTTATCTCTCTAATATTGACACATTAAATATTCCAGATTTGGTCAGATTCCCCTTTGTCCTTGAACATTTAATTTCAAGACCAATCTACAGCTAGTGTTGTGATCAATGCCCAGGGAAACACTCCAGAGCAAATTGGCTTCCACAGGGTTCAGAATACTGAAGCTGACCTTGAGTTCTGACTGATAACAGTCAAGATAAAAAGATTGTCTATAAATTCTAAGGGTTGCCCATAGAAATCCTATTACATTTTTATTCAGATTTTTCAGTAATATGTTGGTTTCAGATCAGTCCTATTTTTTTTTAACAAAATAACATTTTACTTTAAAAAGTTTTAAATGAAGAACTACAGAGAACTTTTTAATATTATGAACTTATTCATTAAAGATAGTTTTTGTTCCCTTTCCAATGAACAGAATTGATTTAAAGGAATTCTCCTTATCAGAAATATGGTATCAAATTGCAGAAACCTCATTTAAGTTACAAAAAAAAGAATCATTTAAGAATTCCTATGATTATGGTGATTAGGAAATGATTTATACAATAAGGAAAAAGAATTTTGGTTAATTAGGTTTAGGACCTCCCCACACTGCCTCTAGTAGGTGTAAGTATTCTTGAAACAAAGACAAATTTGATATTTTATTCTTTATAGGTATTTTGTGGTGTCTGTTGTAATAGGAAGTGTAAACTGCAATATCTAGAAAAGGAAGCAAGAGTATGTGTAGTCTGCTATGAAACTATTAGTAAAGGTGAGTATTAACTTGATATATTTTCTTCCAGTAATTGAATATATCTTAAAATTAATTGGATTGTGACAAAGATAAACTTCTTTATTTTCTTAAGGCAAGGACCTAGTGTTGAATTATCTGGCTTAGGTGGGACATCCCAAGGCTTGGTTTCTCTTCTTTTTGTTCCACTCTCACAATTAATACTACCAATCTGGAAAGGAAGCATTCAGTTTCTGGAGTGGCAGTTCATTAACTTTTAACAGGTACCAAGTCCCTAAATGCTGCATTTCATCTGCCTATTTGTTTTTGTCATCATCATTGTCATGTTAATCATCTTAATCTAAATAAACACTTACAGATACCTACCAATAGTAGTACTCAATATTATGTATTAATAGCACAGGGCAAGATAATAGTTCACACCCTTTAGAAAATAACAACCTAAAATGAGAGTAGAAGATAAGGTGGTAATATTTATGATTTTATAAATTCATAGGACTGCCACACTATTTGCACATTTTTGTCTCATGTTTTTTTCTTTTCTCAACTTTAGAATTTTGCATATGTACACTTCCCATTATTTCTTTGGCTCTCTAATTAGCTACAATTATTAGCAATATTCTTGGTGGTCTTTGAGTTCTCACAGGTGTGTGTGTGTGTGTGTGTGTGTGTGTGTGTGTGTGTGTGTGTGTGGTGTTTTTTTCCCCAAGTCCATGTTTATTCTTTTGAGTACCACTTGGCATTTTCAAAGATTCGTTGACAGTTTAATTCCTAGCAAATATTACTTGGGCCTTTTTTGACCAGACCTGTGCACTAGCTCAGGCACTGCTTCCTGTTAGCCAGGGGAATGAATACCTGATAATAATTTGTTTTTCTCTTTTGAATGAAGATAACTTTTTTCAGCAATTCTCCAAAAAGCTCTGATGTGAGTCTGTTAGCCTGAGGTAAGCTGCTTTTCTCCCTGCTGTTGACCTCTGCTCTGGAAGATAACAAAGCGTAAATCTTTTTATGTTTCCATGTTACCACCATTGTTTATGAAGAGGTTAGTTTAAGTGCTTATAGTTGTTTTGTTTTTTCTTATGCTGTTTCAGTAGCCTAGAAGATGACTGCTGGTGCTGTTAGCCAAGGCAATCTGCTAGAATTCAGAAATTTTAGAGCAAGCTCCCATATAATTATCTCCCCCACTTAAAAAGAAATTAAACATCCATGAAGATTTGAAACGTTATTTATGTTGACAGGTCAGATTTTTGGGTGAACATTCAGACATATTTTGACTCTAAGGGTCCAGGAGGGGAGAAGATATGATCATTAAAGAAATTCAGTAGAATACTGAGATCAAGCTTTGGTTTATCAAAGAAAATACTGTGGAATGAGCTTATTTAGTTATCTGTTCAAATTCTATTTTGATGTCTTATAGCATATAGTTTCATTTATGGTGCTATTTGTCATTAATTCATATGCCACAGGAGAGCATAAATAAAAGTTAATACCAGCTTTAGGGTTGAAAATAATAGAAGTGATCATTTAAAATAATGGTATCAAATAAGAAGAGAAAGACGGTTCATGGGTTGTGAGACATATGCCATGAAGGATTGGAAGAAAAAGATAATTTGAATAGAGATTGTAGATAATGAGAAAGCTGTCCTGAGATTATGTGAGTTTCAAGGAAGCACACGTGAATATCAATAAGTAGATTTGAGGCAAGTTAGAAATTACTTTGAAATCCAGAGTAAAGTGTTTGGATTTCACTTGGTTAATGGAAGCCATTTTATGAGTGCCATCATTCAGTGGCACTTGAGGAAGATTGTTTTAGCAGTGGCAGCATTGATAGCAGATCAGTTTGGAGAAATGCTGAAGGGAGAGCTATCAGTGTTCCTTATTTTTTGGATGAAGAATCACTCAGCAGTATTCAGGCACTATTCTGCATTCTGAAGTTCAAGCAGAGAGCAAAATAGAAGCTATATTCTCATGAAATTTATGAATGTATGTAGAGATGGATAGTAAACAAAAAGATATCAGATGGTGATAATACCCTAAATTAAAAAATTTAAAAAGTGTAAGAGTGATAGATAGTTAACAGATTAGTGGCAAAAGGAAATTTTTTCTTTTTGAGATGGAGTCTCACTCTGTCACTCAAGTTGGAGTGTAGTGGTGTGATCTCAGCTCACTGCAACCTCCACCTCCCAGGCTCAAGCAGTCCTCCCACCTCAGCCTCCCTAGTAGTTGGGACCACAGGCACACACTACCACGCCCAGCTAATTTTTTGTATTTATGGTAGAGATGCGGTTTCACCATGTTGCCCAGGCTGGTCTCAAAGCAATCCTGAGCTTAAACGATCTGCCTGCTTTGGCCTCCCAAAGTGTTGGGATTACAAGCATGAGCCACCGTGCCTGGTCTTAGGTGGTATTTTTTATAATGTGATCAGAGTAAGGCTTTATGGTAATATGACATGTGAGCAGAGTCTTGAAGGAAGTGAGATAATGAAGCCGTGTGAGTACGAGAAGAACATTCTAGGCCAAGGGAATAATAGGAGCAAAGATTCTAAGCTGGAGGAATACTTACTTGAAGAACAAGGAGGTCTGGGTAGCTGGGCCATAGTGAATGAGTGGGATTGTAGTGAGAGATGAGGTCAAACAGGTAACTGGGAAAGTGGAGGAGGTAAGGATGAATTATGTTGGGTCTTGTGAGCCATTGTAACAACTTAAATTTTCACTTTAGGTAGCCATTAAAGGATTTTAAACAGAGGAATAATGAGATATGATTTATGTCTAAAAGAATCTCTCTAAACTATGTTGGAAATAGACTCTAGGGGTACAAGGGCAAAAACAGAGACAGTCATGTAATAAGGGTTACTCTCTGTAGATATCAAACATACACCAGATATAATATTGAAATAACTTATTGGTAGCTTATCAAAGTGGCATGCTGCCAACTAAAGAGCCTGTGCTGGCTACTCAGACAGTATCTTTGCCAAGTGCTACTTCTTTTTCTTGATTAGCCATTTCTTTCTTTCTCCTTACAACTTGAAAAATAGAATATTTATTGTAATTTACTTTGAAGTAAATTCCAAAAACATCTGAGATTTTAACACTATTGTTTTCCCCTTTATAGCTCAGGCATTTGAAAGGATGATGAGTCCAACTGGTTCTAATCTTAAGTCTAATCATTCTGATGAATGTACTACTGTCCAGCCTCCTCAGGAGAACCAAACATCCAGTATACCTTCACCAGCAACTTTGCCAGTCTCAGCACTTAAACAACCAGGTGTTGAAGGTAATAGAAGAAAACTGTGTCTTAGACTAAAGATAAATTATTGAAATAGAAATTCTCTAATGTAGCCAGAGTCTAGTCAGGAAAGAGAAACCAGACTAGGTATCAAGAGAGATTTAATACAGGGAATTGGTTACACATGCAGGCTGGAAGACTGGAAGAGCAAAAAGGCTGTGCTCAAGTGCCGCAGCAATTAGTAACTGCAGGAAGCAACCACCACAACTGGAGTTTGGGGCTACAAAAGGGGAGAGGCTAGAGCTCAGTACAGGAGCACCAGGAGGTGCTTGGATCTCAGATGTGGGAGTCAGAAGCCCTGGTCACAGCACCATGAAGAGGCCTCATATAGTTGGTACTCAGATGACTAAAGTAGACCTCCAGATTTGATGTTAGGAGTACTGAAAATCATGAGTCTAGCAGCTGTATCTGTTGGTGGTGCTGCTGCAAAGATCCTGGCAGGAACCAGAAACAAAGAATTCCTTCTTATTTCTTCCCACCTTATGGTCTCCCACCAGTGCCTGCTATTGGAAAAAGCTGACCAAAGCCAGTAACAAGAGAGTCTGGGAATTGCACTTTCCAGACTTCCAGCCTGGCATCCAAGAGCCCACTGTAGAGGGTGAGCTTGGGTTTGAGAGGCAATAGGTAAATAATTGTTCTATCTCCTTTTCCTTAAAATCTATTTTTAATTGTGTATTTTACCACAGAAATAATATTTTTTAAATCTATTTTTAAATCTTTGAGTTGTCTGTTCTTTTTTACAACCTGTCATCAATTAGCATCTTGGGTAAGGCACATGTAGGTCTTTAAATATGAATTATTAGTCTGTAACATGCTAGAAAAGAATCATAAGTATCAGTTAAAGGCAAATTTGAATCCTATTTTTGTGGACTTCAGTTTATTACTCAGTAACTATTTTCCATTTATTATAATGAAATAAGGAGACTCAGCATTATATGGTCGTATATTATAGCTCTAAAGATGAATAATTTGTGTTTGAAAATATGTATATATTCTATTGATAACCCAAATGATTAAATTATAAAAATGTTGCAAATACAAGAAAGATATCTTATTTAATATGTCTACCTACATTGCAAAAAATATGTATATATAATTCAAATTTTTTCAGAGTTATCTTTATGATGTTCTGGAAAGCAGACATTGAACTTTTTTTTTTTTTTTAAAGTATTCTAAAATCATCTGGCAGAGATTTTCGTAACCTTCCTCTATGGATGCTTTGTAAGAAAAGAGAAAAATGTTTATGCTGATATCTAGTTATTTCCTTCAAATTTGAAAGGAAATATTGATACATATGAATAAAATTCAGTATCCACATTATAAGAACAAAAAATGTTATGCTTCTCTTGTTAAATAAAAGAAAGAAATGTCCTGTGGTAGTAAGAAATGTCCTGTGATATTAAGACATTTCAAGTGATCCTGTTACCTTTTTTTAGGTTTTTAAATTTCTTTTTTTCTTTATATATATATATGAAGAATATATAGATAAGCAATATATATATATGCTTCAGTCTACTGCACTTTTCATCACTGTACTTTAGTCCCTAAATTTTATTCAGTCTCTACTCCTTACTCACACAAACAGCCTCAATAATACAGGCTTTAAATCGTCCTTCCCTGTTGTCTTTAAGGTGTAATCTCTCCTATCTACTCCTCTTCAGAGTGATTCCCAGACCCACCTCTGGTCTAATATGCTATGAATTAGATAGATCTCCTGTCCATTCCTTTTCATAGTATATGATTGCCAAGGCCACTCCTGCTCCCTTTGTACGAATTAGATAGAAACAGACTCCACTTAGGATAGAGGAATCACAAAAGGCCATTTCTCTAGATCTTTGTAGCCCTGAGAATTCAGGGGTTGCCAGTGGATAGCAAAAAGCTTTTGAAAACATTTCACAATCTTTTTGGCATTAAATCATTGCCATATTACCAGATTCAAATGTTTTACTTTTTCAATTGATTCTAGGACTATGTTCCAAAGAACAGAAGAGAGTATGGTTTGCAGATGGTATATTGCCCAATGGTGAAGTTGCAGATACAACAAAATTATCATCTGGAAGTAAAAGATGTTCTGAAGACTTTAGTCCTCTCTCACCTGATGTGCCTATGGTAAGGAATTCAAAGAATAACTTAATTGACTAAACAAAATTTTATTTCGTAGATAATTCCTGGTGTGATTATTAGAGTGCTTTTTTTTTTTTTTAACACTTTGAGCTTCCTAAAATAAGAGATGTATTGATATAGTGAATATATTTTAGATTTTACCCCCTTTAAAAAAAAGAGAGAGACAGTCTTGCTGTGTTGTCCAGGCTGGAGTGCAGTGGCATAATTACCAGTCACTGCAGGCTCTAACTCCTGGGCTCAAGTGATGCTTCCACTTCAGCCTCCCAAGTAGCTGGGATCACAGAAGTGAGCCACCATGCCTGGTTTAGACTTTACTGTTAAAAAAAATGTTTTTTTAATTACTTTTTTTTTTTTTAGAGATGTGGTCTCACTATTTTGCCCAGGCTGGTCTCAAACTCCTGATCTTTAGTAATCCTCCCATCTCATCCTCCTGAGTCATTGAGATTACTGGTATAAATCACCACACCTGGCAGATTTTACCTTTTTTTTTTTTTTTTGAGATGGAGTTTCTGTTGCCCAGGCTGGAGTGCAGTGGTGCGATTTCAGCTCACTGCAACTTCTGCCTCCCGGATTCAAGTGATTCTCCTGCCTCAGCCTCCGGAGTAGCTGGGATTACAGGCATCCACCACCACACCTGACTAATTTTTGTATTTTTAGTAGAGACGAGGTTTCACCGTGTTGGCCAGGCTGGTCTCAAACTCCTGACCTCAAGTTATCTGCCCATCTCGGCCTCCCAAAGTGCTGGTTATTACAGGAGTGAGCCACCGTGCCTGGCCCAGATTTTACCTTTTTTAAATGTCAGTTTAAGAGACTGGTTCTCACACTTTCAGCTTCAGGACCCCTTTATACTCTTATTGAGAACCCTAAAGTGCTATAGATTTCGTGGGTTGTACCTATTGATAATTACTATATTAAAATTAAAATTCAGAAATTTAAAAAATATTTATTAACTAATTACAAAATAAGGCTATTACATTAGCAGAAATAATATTTTATGAAAAATTTTTTTCAGAACAAAAGTTTAGTGAGAATAATGGCATTATTTTACATTTTTGCCAATTTCTTTAATGTCTGGCTTAATAGAAGACAAACATATTCTCACATCTGGTTCTACATTCTGTGTGTTTTGATATGTTATTTTTTTTGTTAAATTATATGAAAAAAATTCTAGGACCTCACCAATTCCCTGAAAGTGTCTTGGGGACCCCAGGGATCTCTGAACCACATTTTGAGAACCAGTGGTATGGGGAAATGTAACTGAGATTTAGTAATTTAATTTATACTAATATCTATTTAGTTATTTTCAAACATTCAAGAAAGTATGTGATGGTGATATTTATGCTTACATTTACACAAATGTGCTAGGTGTTAAACAGAAGATATATAATATAGAATCCAGATCACTAAGAATTCTCATTGTAAAGTGGCACATACTCATAGAAGCAACTATTAATGTATGAATTAGTAATGTTTTATGCATTAAATAGATTTATTGAGCATCACTTTGTGCCAGTCACCTGGTCGATTCTGGGTACGTATATTAGAAAAGATGGATACTAGGCCTGGCGCGGTGGCTCATGCCTGTAATCCCAGCACTTTGGGAGGCCGAGGTGGGCGGATCATCTGAGGTCAGGAGTTCAAGACCGCCTGACCAACATGGCAAAACCCCGTCTCTACTAAAAAAAATACAAAAATTAGCCAGGTATTGTGGCGCATGCCTGTAGTCTCAGCTACTAGGGGAGACGGAGGCAGGAGAAAATCACTTGAACCCAGGAGGCAGAGGTTGCAGTGAGCCAGGATTGCGCCAATGTACTGCAGCCTGGACAACAGGGTGAGACTCCATCTCAAAAAAAAAAAAAAAAAAAAAAAAGAGAGAAAAGATGAATATTTATCAGCTCTGTTGAAATTTACATTTGGTAGAAACATATGCTGTTTGTCAAGAGTTCATGAGCTAGACTTTACAAATAGCCGTAATTACCATGGGTATGTTTCCTAGCTAGCACGCACTGTCAATCTGTATTAATGAAAATTCTCAACAGGCTAGTAAATATTGAGTTCATAAATGGTTCTTATTTAATACTGACTTTGTACAGTCTAAAAAGAAAAAGGCTTTATTGAAATAGTCTTTATGGGTAGTTTTTTCCAGGTGGTTACTCTTGTGGAATATAGCTAACGCACTGCTTCCTAACCACTCCCCTCCCCTTCTTCCTGCCTTGTCCCTCCTCCCTGCCTACCCAAGGGTTTTTGGCTATCATAAGAAGGGGAGAGACTTGGATTGAACTAAGCTTGCTCACTGTGTGATATGGTATGGGATCTTGAAGTTCTTCTTGCCTCATTTTTTCCAATCTTAATATTAAGTCATTAATACCTGCCTGAGCATGCAGTAAAACTAAAACCTTATGCTTCTTAATTCCTTATGCTCCTGAATTTGAAGAATCAAAATGGTACTGTTTCTTGGGAAATTTGACTTTAAGAGAATTTCTGAACGCATTTTGGTTTTTATTTATTCTTATTAAAAAGATATGTTTGGCTATAGTGATCTCATTTCATAGTTGAACAGAGAATATGAACTGATTTGTTATTTTTTTTATTACATATTTTACAGACAGTAAACACAGTGGATCATTCCCATTCTACTACAGTGGAAAAGCCAAACAATGAGACAGGAGATATTACAAGAAATGAGATAATTCAGAGTCCTATTTCTCAGGTTCCATCAGTGGAAAAATTGTCTATGAACACAGGAAATGAGGGGTTACCTACTTCTGGTTCATTTACACTAGATGATGATGTTTTTGCAGAAACTGAAGAACCATCTAGTCCTACTGGTGTCTTAGTTAACAGCAATTTACCTATTGCTAGTATTTCAGATTATAGGTTACTGTGTGATATTAACAAGTATGTCTGCAATAAGATTAGTCTTCTACCTAATGATGAGGACAGTTTGCCCCCACTTCTGGTTGCATCTGGAGAAAAGGGATCAGGTAGGGAAGCAGTTATTTAAATTTAAAAAGATTTAAAAATATATACTGATGAATTTTATCTGTGACATATGAAATGTATTTTTTTAACTTAGTTTGGTTGCAATATGTACTAAGGCTGGTAACTTTTGTTTACAGAAAGTCTTATTATATAAAAACAAATTCTAAAAATATTTGAACTTTTATGATCCATTTATCACATCTGGCCCACTAATTTCGAATGATTAAGTCTATGAGGGAAGCTCATAGACTTTTAGCCCGAAGAAATATTTCCATTGTATTAGAATTTTGACACTGTATTATTACTATTTTTTTTTAGGAGCATGATACCTAAAGAAAAGAGCATTAGATTGGATGGCAAAGCTAGGAATTTTAGTTCCTTGTCTGCTACTTTTTACATCTATGACTTGTAGTGTGTTAATCTCCTTGGGCCCCAGTTTCCTTTGTAAATAGAACCTAGATGATTTCTAAGGTCCTTTTCAAGCAGGAGATTCTATGGCTAACCCCCACCCCAGAGTGGTTTCTAGGATAGACACTTGTCACTCCAGGCATTATGTCACATTCTGCAATATGAAATGGCGGTTCTCTGCGTGATAATGTAGAGGAATGAAGCTTTGGATTTCTGTTCTGTCAGTGGGAGCCATTACATGAACCTAGCTGTAGTGGCAAAAATATAGTAAGCCCTATTCTTTGTATGCCATGCATATCTTTCTATTGATTGTCAAGATCTTTTTTTTTTTGCTACCTGGTCACTGATATAGGCATATGGTAGCAAGTAGCTGATATAGGCATGTGGTAACAAGCAGCATATATAACGTGGCTCTAGACTACTTTCATAGACTTGTAAATATCAAAAATTATAAATGGAGTGCTTACCAAACTGGAATCTACTTTATAAAAACGTTTGTCTTCAAACTTTGAAGGTGCTAAAATTATATACATTTGCTGTTTAATCAACAGTATAAATATACTATATGTAATATATGCATTACAGTATTAGTAACTTTACATGGAAAGAGGTAAAAATTAGTATATAACAGTTGTCTGGGGTGTTGATTTTATGAAACATGTTTGCTTCTGTTTTTAAATTTGATCAGGCCACTGGTGGATTTATAAATTTGTTTTTTTCATTTGTAAGCATATTTAACAGGATATTTATCCTGATTAATATATTACTTTCATCATTTAGTGCCTGTAGTAGAAGAACATCCATCTCATGAGCAGATCATTTTGCTTCTTGAAGGTGAAAGCTTTCATCCTGTTACATTTGTCCTAAATGCTAATCTACTCGTGAATGTCAAATTCATATTTTGTAAGTAATAATTTATCCTTATTTGCTTAATTGGTAAGCAGGATTTCTGAATTAATTACATCTTCAGGTTAGATTTTGACTGGCCATGGTGAAAAATAAGCAGGATTGGATATTGGTTTTTCAGCCACATATGACTGTAAATAAATTTTGCAAATTTATGTTCAGTAGGACTTGAAACATGAGCTTACAGATTTTTATTAGCATCCCTGTCAATCTTAGGTTAAGGTCATGGGCTTATATAACTGAGCTGTATTTTGATACTCATGATACAATTGACTATATTTCCTGTGGCTTTTAGATAAATTGAAATTTGGTAACTGAAATAAGCAGGAACCCTGATTTAGTAGCAATAAAGACAGTTTTAAAGTAAGTGACATGTGACCTAATTAAAAAGGAAGTAATCATTAATAATTAATAATCCTCACTACTCCATAATGTATCTGTCAGCTTTTCATTCTATTTGAAACTAAATTCTTATCCACTACATTTCAGCATTTAGTGCATCTTTTATTTTAGTGTTATTTATTAATTGGCTCCCTATGATAATCCTTTTTCTTACTTTATATAAATCTTATACAATTCAATTTAAGGTTTTCATAAGGAGAACTTTGGGAACACAAGGAATTTGAAAAGTTATGTTAAATGCAAAAACAATTGTTCTTAGTTTTTTGACTAATAGAAGTTGACATTAATAGTTATATTCTTTTATCATCTAAGATTCCTCAGACAAATATTGGTACTTTTCAACCAATGGATTGCATGGCTTGGGACAGGCAGAAATTATTATTCTATTGTTATGTTTGCCAAATGAAGATACTATTCCTAAGGACATCTTCAGACTATTTATCACCATATATAAGGATGCTCTAAAAGGTATGGCATTTTATTTTGAACTGTTCAGACTGGGGAATGGATAAATTAGTTAAAGGCATTTATGGTTTTGGCTGTGCTAGCTATACTAAAGATTTATTTCTGTGAAGAGATTGCTGATTTCTGAAAATAGCTTAATAATTATTTTGTCTCCTTAAAACTAGCATTTTATGTGATTAGTGTCTATGCAGATTTTTGTATTTTAAAAATGGAAATATATCCTTATATCCATTTTTTTTTTTTTTTTTTTTTTGAGACAGTGTCTCCACCCCGGCTGGAGTGCAGTGGCACAATCTTGGTTCACTGCAACCTCTGCTTCCCGGGTTCAAGCGATTCTTCTGCCTCTGCCTCTCAGGTAGTTGGGATTACAGGCACATGCCATCATGCCCAGCTAATTTTTGTATTTTTAGTAGAGGCAAGGTTTCACCATGCTGGCCAGGCTGGTCTAGAACTTCTGACCTCAAGTGATCCGCCCGCCTCAGTCTCCCAAAGTGCTGGGATTACAGGCATGAGCCACTGTGCCTGGCCTGCCTCCTTGATTTTTCAGTGTATCTATGTAATTTCCTTACTGTCTGTACAAGACTAGGAGATTTGATAATTTTTCACTTGACCATGCCGTAAGGAGAAAAATTGGAAGGTTGGAAACATTTTCAAATTTTTGTTCATAATCCCCAATATCTAGGAATAACTGGGAGCTTTGTGTACAGAAGGTATTTAATAGATGCTTTTGCAAGAACAGAAATAAGAAAAAAAATCTATAGTGTCTTAACTTCAGACAGTTTATATTGGGACAGTTTATATGTATTGGATCAGTTTTTTGGATTTTGGACAAACTAAGAACATTTCTTCAAAACAATAACAAAACAACTTAAAATCTTTTTACTAATGATTTTATTTGCAGGAAAATACATAGAAAACTTGGACAATATTACCTTTACTGAGAGTTTTCTCAGTAGCAAGGATCACGGAGGATTCCTGTTTATTACACCTACTTTTCAGAAACTTGATGATCTCTCATTACCAAGTAATCCTTTTCTTTGTGGAATTCTTATCCAGAAGCTTGAGATTCCCTGGGCAAAGGTTTTTCCTATGCGTTTAATGTTGAGATTGGGTGCAGAATATAAAGGTAAGTTTTAGAGTAATAAGTTAAATTGCATATTTTCAAATATACTGAATGTAAAGACTTTCAGGGAATCATTAAAATCAATTTTAATGGATTAATGGAACTACTTTTGTTTTGCTATGCTTTTAAAGTTCTAAGACAACCCTCTTCTACTACCAGGTTGGTCTAGATAACTGTGGTATGTCTTCAAGTTTCTAGATGTTCATAAGTTCTTTTATTACCTAAAACTTTTCTTCTTAAATTTCAGAACAAAACAGAAAACTTTCACAGTGCAGGTTGAGTATGCCATATCTGAAATGTATTGGATCAGTTTTTTGGATTTTGGACTTTTTCAGATTTTGGAATATTCACAGAGTACATACCAGTTGAGCATCCCAAATTCAAAATCTGAAATGCTCCAGTGAGCATTTCTTTTGAGCATCACGTTGGCATTTGAAAAAGTTATAGACCGGGCATGGTGGCTCACGCCTGTACTCCCAGCACTTTGGGAGGCCAAGGCGGGCAGATCACATGAGGTCAGGAGTTCGAGACCAGCCTGGCCAACATGGTGAAACCCTGTCTCTACTAAAAATACAAAAATTAGCTGGGTGAGGTGGCAGGCGCCTGTAATTGCAGCTACTCAGGAGGCTGAGGCAGGAGAATCACCTGAACCCAGGAGGCAGATTTGCAGTGAGCTAAGATCATGCCTCTGCATTCCAGCCAGGGTGACAGAGCAAGACTACGTCTCAAAAAAAAAAAAAAAAAAAAAAAAAAAGTTACAGATTTCAGAGCATTTTGGATTTCAGGTTTTTAGATTTGGGATGTTCGATATGTGTTAATTACTTTTGCTAAAATTTTCTTAAAAGCATATACTATTGGGAGTTTGTTATGTTGCCTGCATATTAAGAAGATAAATCGTTGCGTCTCTCAATTTTTCTATATCATAAAGCCAGACATAAAGGATTTTTGGGTTAGCAGTGCTATTGTTTTCAGTTACTCACTATAATTAAAAGCTAACTATTTTTAGGGAAGGAAGTACTTAAAAATTGTGGTTATTTTTCTAAGCTTGATGATTCTTATTTTTATATTCTGATGTTTGTCTCTCAAAGGTGATAGAGCCTGTATCATTCATGTGTATGTACGTGTGTGTATTTACTTATCTACCCTTGACACAACTGGTGATTCTAAAGCTGCTGTGATGTTTATATATATGCTTATTTCTGAGTTAGAATCATTTCTAGTGTTAAACTTTTTTGAATTCCCACTGTATCTTTTATCTGACTTTTTTCAAGAAATAATATATTTATTGCATTTGAAGTATATCACGTCTAATGAACTTTTTAGACATTTGATTCTAATATAATTTGGTAGGGATTTTCTTGGAGGAAAATTAAATGTTGAGAAGCTATAAAAGTGGTGATTACTATTTCAGAATAGACAAATTGAGAGAAAGAGAGAATCTATTTGGAAATTTTATTAAACTGTGATTTTGTGGATGGGGGTTCTTTACCATTTAGGATTTACATGTGTGATGCTATTAACTTGTGGGAAAAGTAACAAAATTTAATTTGCATCTCAGGTTTTGTACTGTGTGAAACAAAGAGCTTAAGAAATTTCACTTTAAGCCAAATGTTTCATCAATGCAGCCCAGTATTTTGCCTCTAATTTAATATTTGAATGCTTTTTTAAATAGAAGATTAGGGGAATAAACTAGCTAATCAAATTATTATGGAACATGTAAGTATGGCCAGTATTTTGGCCAGTAGTACTTCTAGATAGTAAGTTTTCTCACACTGAAGGTTGGAGAATCATGGAGCAATACGAAGGGCTTATCATAAATCACGGGGACTGAAACTGCAAAGCTATGATAAGCTATTTAGTGGTAATGAGGGGAAATTGTCAGTTATACATAGAAGTTAATTCACCTCAGCTGTTTTCTGAATTCTTTCTGTTCTGCTAGATTTTACATAGACTGGCACTTTGACATTGTTGGTGCCCATGTCTTTTTAGATGTGAACTGTGTGTGTGTCTGTGTGTGTATTTTGTTACAGAGGTAATGTACATTTGAAAAAGCTAATGTGAAAGTTAAAGTCCCAAGAATAAAGACTAAAAGTAACTGTCTCAAATTAGTAATTTTTAAATGCTTTTGAAAATATCTGTGGTTTTATGTTGAGATCACTGGTTTTGAATACCATTAAATGTTCAAATAGATGATTTATGAGGTCCCTTTGTAACTCAGATAGTATGTCATTCTAAGCCATAACCTGTTGAGAATAGTGTTTTAAACAAAACTACCTCTTCATATTGCAAAGGTTGCCCCCTCATTCATATAAGGCAAAAAGCTAGCAGTTAATCATTTCCTTTATCGTTTTTATGTCTTTTCACACTAATATCTTGTATTTTTTTCAAATCTAGACCCTCTGTCTTTCAAATAACTTAGTTGCCTTTTTAGAATTACAAAATATGTTTGTACTAGCAAGAAAATGACTACTTTGACTTAAGTCTTTAAAGCAGCTAATGTTGGGTATGTGGTGTTTCTTTAGAATTTTAAGGAAGTATATTTGTATAATAGACATTAGAGAGATTAGTTTGCTTAAGACCTAACTTGAGAACTGAAGGTTACAAATGTGTCTGTGTCTTATCACTATAGAAATAGTCTTGCCTTCCTTTTCTTCAGAGTGCCTGCTGCGTTACCAGTAAGGTCTCTTTTCCTTTTTGGTGTCCAGAATTTATGGTGCCCTAAAGAAAGAACATAGTTAGGTGGCCGACCTCATGTCCCTTCCCTTTTTGTGCATTGGTTTCCCTGACTCTATCTGTATATTCCTTTTTTTTTTTTTTTGAGACGGAGTCTCACTCTGTCGCCCAGGCTGGAGTGCAGTGGCGCGATCTCGGCTCACTGCAAGCTTCGCCTCCCGGGTTCACGCCATTCTCCTGCCTCAGCCTCCCAAGTAGCTGGGACTACAGGTGCCCGCCACCACGCCCGGCTAATTTTGTTTTTGTATTTTTAGTAGAGACAGGGTTTCACCATGTTAGCCAGGATGGTCTCGATCTCCTGACCTCATCATCTACCCGCCTTGGCCTCCCAAAGTGCTGGGATGACAGGCGTGAGCCACCACGGCCAGCCCCAGTATATTTCTTTTATCATGCTGAACCAAGAACTTTAAAAGTTTACTACCATTCATAAATTAGCACAATTGAATATTAGTTATAAATGCCTTAAAAGTCTTTAGTTCTTTGTATTTCTCTTTAAATTATCAGAAACCTATATCGTTCTAACCAATTATCATAATTTTCCACCCCCTATAATTTTGTGGAAACAAGATGTATAATGAAAAGATGAAATACTCTCGAATCAGACAAGCCTAATTTCAAATCTGTTTCACCAATTATTAGTCACTAGGAGCAAGTTGATTAATTTCTGTGTCTCAACTTTCTCATTTATGAAATAGTATAGACACACTCCATTAGGTTGTTGAATTTAAATAAGATAATGTATGTATAGTTCCCAGTTCAATGTAGCATCTAGTAGATACATAGATACACAGTAAGTGTTAATATTGTCTCTTGGCTGGGTGTGGTGGCTCATGCCTGTAATCCCAGCACTTTGGGAGGCCGAGGTGGGTGGATCACCTGAGGTCAGAAGTTTGAGATCAGCCTGGTCAACATGGTGAAACCCTGTCTCTACTAAAAATACAAAAATTAGCCAGGTGTTGTGGCACATGCCTATAATCCCAGCTACTTGGGAGGCTGAGGCAGGAGAATTACTTGAACCCAGGAAGTGGAGGTTGCAATGAGTCGAGATTGCACCGCTGCACTCCAGCCTGGGCAACAGAGTGAGACCTTGTCTCAAAAACAAAAAAAAAATTATCTCTCACTTTCCCCTAAGAACTGATTGAGTGATATTTATACATAATGTTTGTTTGTAAAATGAGAGTTGAAGGTAATAAATTCAATAATTTGGGGTTTTTTTTGTTGATAGTAACCAGTTTTCCTTTCTTATGTATAGCATATCCTGCTCCTCTAACAAGCATCAGAGGCCGAAAACCTCTTTTTGGAGAAATAGGACACACTATTATGAACTTACTTGTTGTGAGTAATTGAACTATTTTATTAGGTATTTTTATACTGTTACTTTAAAACTGTATTTAGCAAAGTTTATACATTTATATTTTCCTACTTTAATTTGCCATATTTGGTATAATGACCATTCATTTACAATAAATCCTAATTATTTTAACATTAGTGCTCAGTTTTTGACGAATTGCTTTTTAGAACGTACTATCTCCTCATGTACGTGTACCTGATTCTAAGTGCCTTTTGATTCATTCTCCTGCAGTTCTTGGATATTTAGGTAATGTAAGAACTCTATACAGACCTCTTAAAGTTGTTGAAACTTTTGTAAATGTATTAGTAAAGTCAGTCAGTCTTGTGATTTTGAGCAAATTATGGCCTTAGTTTTCTCATTTATAATAGGAAGTGTTGGATTAGATGATATCTAAAGTTCCCTTCCACCTATACTTTTTGTAATTTTGTGTTTCCCTGTTACCATAGAAAAATGTTTCAGTGGACTCACTTTTATTTATCCATGCCTAGTTTGAAGACCTTTTCTATTTTGGAAGTTCTGTAACTAGAAAGTTACCCTAAATACTACAAAGTTTTTCCTGAGAATGATATTCTTTATTACTGCTGTGGAGAAGGATTTCTTAAAGAAGGATTTAATGGATAGAAAAATACTCATGGTTAGTAGTTTATGGTAATGCAATTATTCTATGTAGGACCTTCGAAATTACCAGTATACCTTGCATAATATAGATCAACTGTTGATTCATATGGAAATGGGAAAAAGCTGCATAAAAATACCACGGAAAAAGTACAGTGATGTAAGTATAATTGTTTTATTCAAATGACAATTATTGAACATTAGAGTTCCCTTAGAATTGTGTCACATTAAATTTTTTGTTTTGAATTAGACTATCTAATGTATTATGGCAACAAACATTGTTTTTGAAATGATAGAATTTGTTTACTGTAAATAATCTGTTTGATCATATTTCTTTTTTTTCGTACTGTTTTATTGAGGTGATTACTGTTCAACTGAAGTGCTTTTATTTTAAAACATTTGTTTCCATCACATTCCCAGGGAGCTGTCCAGACCGAAGCTTGATAATTATGAAGCTGGCCAGAAACGTGGCTCTTAGAATAGGCATATAATATTAAAAGTGTTTCTAAATAAATGTTGTTGTTTTTGTTTTTTTCCAGGTAATGAAAGTACTAAATTCTTCCAATGAGCATGTCATTAGCATTGGAGCAAGTTTCAGTACAGAAGCAGATTCTCATCTAGTCTGTATACAGAATGATGGAATTTATGAAACACAGGCCAACAGTGCCACTGGCCATCCTAGAAAAGGTGAGCATCTTGGTTCCTAGTGCTAATTTACAAAACCACCTCAATTAATAGAATTCCTTTCAAAGGGGAAATATATGTATATTTACTTATTTGCTGAATTGTTGGTGATAAAACAATATGTTTTGAAATTTCAGCTACACAACAGATTTTAAAATTGCTTCTAATTTTTGTTTTTCTCTTGGGCTACTTTAGGCTTACAGACTTGGAAGACTGTTTTCCTTTTGACATCTTTAGGTTTAGTATATCCCGTAGGGTGAGAGTCTTTCTTTGAGTAATTTCTTTCTGAAATAAGGTATTTCTTTTCACATTTGTTCACCCTCTGCTCCAACTCCTCTTAGTTGGTGGAGCACAGGGTGATAAGGATAAGATTGATTTATAAAACGTAACAAACAGCATCTATGAATGACATTACTCTCAGCTCTGGCTGAATGGCTTCAGTGATTGCTATGATTACCAAACCCTTGCAGTAGAAGGCCTAACAAATTGAAAGTTAAATGGAAGCATTTCATAAAATTAATATATTATTATAGGATACCATACTTAAAATAGTCCAACATTCTGGCTGCCAATAAAATTTTTTCCTCTGCTTATAAAAGTAATATATACTTATTTGTAGTAAGCTTGGAAAATACATTTTGAAAAGTAGTAAAAGAGGCCAGGCACAGTGGCTCACGCCTGTAATCCCAGAACTTTGGGAGGCTGAGGTGAGCGGATCACAAGGTCAAGAATTGAGACCATACTGGCTAATATGGTGAAACCCCGTCTCTATTAAAAATACAAAAAATTAGCCGGGTGTGGTGGCGGGCGCCTGTAGTCCCAGCTACTTGGGAGGCTGAGGCGGGAGAATGGCGTGAACCCGGGAGGCGGAGCTTGCAGTGAGCCCAGATCGTGCCACTGCACTCCCGCCTGAGCGACAGAGAAACAGAGCGAGACTACGTCTAAAAAAAAAAAAAAAAAAAAAGGTGGTAAAAGGGAAAAGTGCCAAGATATGGTCACTATTGACATTTTACTGTATTTCCTTCTTATATTAATGTATATGTTAAATAGATGATTTTATACTGGATATTTACACTTTTATATTATACTTTATCACTTAACATGATATTGGCATTTTTGCCACTAAAATTTAACAATTTTTAATATTTATTTGTTGAATAGGTATATTTTTATGTGGTAAAATTAAAAAGTTATTAATATTTATAGTGAAAAATCTCCTTTCCTCCCTTGACCACCCAGCCATCCTCTTACTCTCCCTACAGGCAACCAAACCAATGTTATCAGTTCTTATATATCCTTTCAGAGACATTTTTGCTTTAATATATATTCAAGAAACACACACACATATCTACCTCTTTCTTCCACTTTTATAGACAAGTCATAATATTTGCTCCATTCTATACCTTGTTTTTTTTGTTGTTGTTAACACACTTTGGAGATTATTCTATGTTTGTGTATAAGGAGCTTTTATATTCTACAGAACTTTACATTTTATATGTTGTACATCATTTAACTGTCCCTTATTGATGGGCATAATTTGTTACCAATCCTTAGGGGCTGTTTATAAAAATGCTACAGTGAATAGTTTTGTATACATGCCGTTTTGTACACATTTGAACCTATCTGTAAGATAAATTCCCAAAAGTGGAATTGGTGTGTCATAGGATACATTTACTTGTAATTTTAATAGAAAAATGCCAAGTTAGGGCTCCATAAAAACTGTTCTGATTTGTGGTGTCACCAGTAGTGAATGTTTGATTTCCTACACCCTCACTAATATAGGCACAAACATTTAAAACAGTACAATACTCCATCAATTATTAATAAAAACATTAAATTATTTTATTATTTACTTATTTGAGACAGAATCTCGCTCTGTCGCCCAGGCTGGAGTGCAGTGGCGCGATCTTGGCTCACTGGAACCTCCACCTCCTGAGTTCCAGCAATTCTGCCTCAGCCTCCTGAGTGGCCAGGATTATAGGCGCCTGCCACCACACCTGGCTAATTTTTGTATTTTTAGTAGAGACGAGGTTTCACCATGTTGGCCAGGCTAGTCTCAAACTCTTGACCTCAGGTGATCTGCCCTTTTCGGCCTCCCAAAGTGCTGGGATTACAGGCATGAGCCACCGCGCCCAGCCGCATTAAATTATTTTAATGTAATATTTTATCTCTTTTTTTTGTCTTTTTAATTAGTTTTCTAGTTTAAGTTGTGTGGGTATAACATTTATTGAGTACTTATATGCATATCCACATTCTGCATTTAACAAATGTGTAACATAAAAATGAGCAGTTTAAAACAAATAATTGTTGTATTTCTTGATCAGTGACAGGTGCAAGTTTTGTGGTATTCAATGGAGCTCTAAAAACATCTTCAGGATTTCTTGCTAAGTCCAGCATAGTTGAAGGTATGAATTTCATTTTTAATGGTGTTTTAATGTAGAGTTATTTTTCCTAACCTTTGAAAAATATATTTGATATTTACACAAGAACATATGTAAGTTATAAAGCACAGTACCACAAACTTACATGAAATCATCAACCAGCACAAGAAGTAGAAGACTTATCTCTCTCTTCTGCGTCTCCCCAGGAATTAGTGAGTAGACTGAATATGGTGTTTATCATTCTCTTGCTTGTTTTTTACTTTGTATATACATCTGCCTAAACAACATATTGTTTATGCTTATTTAGGAGATAAATAAAAGTGAAATCATTCTTCACATAGTTATATGGAACTCCCTATTTTCATACAACATGAGTTTCTAAACTTTATGCATGTTGTTTCTTACAACTATAGCTTATTCATTTTAAACGCTATTAAATATTTTGTGAATGTATGACAATGTATTCATCTCCTGATCATGAACTTCTGGGTTGTATCTATTCTAAGAATATATTCTAGAGTTTCTGTAAAATATATATGCAAGAGTGGAATTTATGGGCTGATAGATTAGTAAATGTTCACTTTACAAAGTATTGCTAAGTTGCTTTCCAAATTGGTTGTACCGATTTACTTTACCATGAATATATAAAATTTATGATTGGTCTACATTTTCTCCAAACATGATATTATCAGACTGCTTAATTTGTGTCAATCCTGTAGGTATCTCTGAATATAGTCATAATTAGCATATCCCTAATTAATAAGCAGAGCATCCTATTACATATTTATTGGACATGCATGTTGCCTCTTCTGTGAAATGTCTGCCCATATCTTTTGCGCTTTTTTCTATTGGATTGTGCGTCTTTTTCTGACTGACTTGTAGTTACATAATTTTATGTATTTTATATTCCTCCTCTCCCGTTTTTAGTGTCTTTTAAATAGAAGTTCTCATTTTAATACAGTATAATTTATGACTCTTATGGCTAATGTTTTTTATTTAAGAAATCTATCATACAGTTTCGAAAGATATTCTCCTATGTTGTCTTCGAGATTTAAAGTTTTGCCTTTCACACTTAAGTCCCTAATTTATCTGGAATTTAATTTTATGTGCTGTGTGAGGTAGAGAAATCCAGTGACTTTTTTTGTCATTTGAATAGGAGTTGATCCAGCATCAGATATTGAATTTTCCCTTTGCCCTGGTAATTGTTAATGCTATCTCTGTCACATAGCATGTTTTATTTGCACAAGAATCCATTTCTGAGCTATGTTCTTAGCTTTTGTTTTGTTTTAGTCAGTTTGCTTAACTCTGTACCGATTCCATACTATTTTATTATCATTGTAAACATTTTCACTTTTACTGTGAAAAAGTCAAGCATGTATAAAAGCAAAAAAGGATAATATGATAAACATTAATGAAATCATCACCCACCTTTGACTATTATCAATTTATAGCCAATCCTACTTTATCCATACTCCTTCTACTCTCCTCTCATTGTATTATTTTTACTATATCATTTCATTCACAAATACTATATTTTTAAAAGAAAAAGTATTTTTTTAGAAACATAACCACAAAACTACAGATTAGGCATTCCAAATCCAAAAATCTGAAATCTGAAATGCTTCAAAATCCTAAACTCTTTGAGCGCCGACATGACACTCTATAGAAGTGCTCATTAGAGCATTTCAGATTTCACCTTTCAATTTCAGATGCTCAGCTGCTAAGTATATAATGCAAATATTCCAAAATCCAAAAAAAGTCTGAAATCTGAAACACTTCTGGCCCTATGCGCTTCAGATAAGGGACACCTGTATTATCACACATAAATATTTTATCAATAATTCCTGTATATCCAATCAGTAGTCAGTCACATTACCCCCATTGTCTCACTTCTTAAAATATTTGTTCAAATCAGTATCCAAATAAGATCCAGTCACTGCAAATAATTATGTCTACTCTTTTAATTATGAATATTTTCAGTTCTTTTTGTGATTACTTCATCTTAATCAGTTTGGGCTGCCATAACAAAATACAACAGATTGAGTAGCGTAAAAAGCATAAATGTATTTTCTCACAATTCTAGAGGCTAGAAGTCCAAGATCAAGGTGCCAACAGGGTTGGTTTCTGGTAAGGCTTGTCTCCTTGGCTTGTGGCCTTTTCTCTGTGTGACTCTCAGAGAGAGCTCCAGTATCTCTTCTTCTTCTTCTAAGAACACCAGTCCTAGGCTGGGTGTGGTGGGTCACACCTGTAATCCCAGCTCTTAGGGAGGCTGAGGCAGGTGGATCATTTGAGGTCAGGAGTTTGAGCCTGGCCAACATGGTGAAACCTCATCTCTACTAAAAATACAAAAAGTTGGTCAGGCGTGGTGGCGGGCGCCTGTAATCCCAGCTACTCGGGAGGCTGAGTCAAGAGAATGGTGTGAACCCAGGAGGTGGAGGTTGCAGTGAGCTGAGATTGCACCATTGCACTCCAGCCTGGGTGAGAGAGACTGTCTCAAAAAACAAAACAAAACAAAAAAAAAACACCAGTCCTTTCAGATTAAGGCCTCACCTTTATGACTTCATTTAGCTTTAATTAACTCCTTAAAGGCCCAACTCCAAATACAGTTACATTTCAGGGTTAGGGCTTCAACATACGAATTCTGGGGAAACACAATTCTGTCCATACATTTGGATTTTCTAATTATTTTTAAATCAATTATGGTAATATGTGGCTTTCTAAGTGTATGAGTCCATTTTCACACTGCTATAAAGAACTGCCTGAGACTGGGTAATTTATAAAAGACAGAGGTTTAATTGACTCACAGTTCAGCGTGGCTGGGGAGGCTTCAGGAAACTTATACAGTCATGGTGGAAGGTGAAGGGGAAGCAAGGCACCTTCTTCACAAGGCAGCAGGAAGGAGAAGTGCTGAGTTAAGGGGGAAGAGCCCCTTATAAAACCATCAGATCTTGTGAGAACTCACTTGCTATCATTAGAACAGCATGGGGGAAACTGCCCCCATGATCCATTTACCTCCACCTGGTCTCTCCCTTGACATGCAGGGATTATAGGGATTATGGGGATTACAATTCAAAATGAGATTTGGGTGGGGACACAAAGCCTAACTATATCATTCCTCCCCTGGCCCCTCCCAAATCTCACGTCCTCACATTTCAAGACACAAACATGCCTTTGCAACAGTCTCCCAAAGTCTTAACACATTCCAGCATTAACCCAAAAGTCCAAGTCCAAAGTCTCATCTGAGACAAGGCAAGTCCCTTCTGCCTATGAGCTTGTAAAATCAAGAGCAAGTTAGTTACTTCCTAGATACATTTGGGGTACAGGCGTTGGGTAAATACACCCGTTCCAAATGTGAGAAATTGGCCAAACTGAAGGGGCTACAGGCCCCATGCAAGTCTGAAATCCAGCAGGGCAGTCAAATCTTATACCTCTGAAATGATCTCCTTTGACTCCATGTCTCACATCCAGGTCATGCTGATGTAAAAGGTGGGCTTCTACAGCCATGGGCAGCTCCAGCCCTGTAGCTTTGCAGGGTACAGCCTCTCCCAGCTGCTTTCATGTGCTGGCATTGTCTGGCACTTTTCCAAGCACACAGTGCAAGCTGTTGGTGGATCTACCATTCTGGGGTCTGGAGGATGGTGACCCTCTTCTCACAGCTCCACTAGGCAGTGCCCCAGTGGGGACTCTTTGTGGGGACATTTCCCTTCTGCACTGCCCTAGCAGAGGTTCTCCATGAGGGTTCCACCCCTGCAGCAAACTTCTGCCTGGACATCCAGGCATTTCCGTACATCCTCTGAAATCTAGGTGGAGGTTCCCAAACCACAATTCTTGACTTCTGTACACCTGTAGGCGCAACACCACCTGTAAGCCACCAAAGCTTGGGGCATGCACCCTTTGAAGCAATGGCCTGAGCTATATTTTGGCCCCTTTAGCCACGAGTGGGACACTGGGCACCAAGTCCTGAGACTACACAAGGCAGCAAGACCCTGTACCTGGCCCACAAAACCATTTTTACCTCCCAGGCCTCCAGGCCTGTAATGGGAGGGACTGTTGTGAAGGTCTCTGGTATGCCCTAGAGACATTTTCCCCATTGTCTTGGGGATTAATGTTTGGCTTCTCATTACTTAATGCAAATTTCTGCAGCCAGCTTGAATTTCTCCTCAGAAAATGGGTTTTTCTTTATCGCGTTATCAGGCTGCAAATTTTCCAAACTTTTATGCTCTGCTTCCCTTTTAAACATAAGTTCCAGTTCCAAAGTATCTCTTTGTGAATGCATAAAACTGAATGCTTTTTAGAGCCCCCAAATCACCTCTTGAATGCTTTGCTGCTTAGAAATTTCTTCCGCCAGATACCCTAAATTATCTCTCTCAACTTCAAAGTTCCTCAGATCTCTAGGGCAGGGGCAAAATTCTGCCAGTCTCTTTGCCAAAGCATAGCAACAGTCACCTTTATTCTAGTTCCCAACAAGTTCCTCATCTCCATCTGAGATCACCTCAGCCTGGACTTCATTGTCCATATCACTATCAGCATTTTGGTCAAAGCCATTCAACAAGTCTCTAGGAAGTTTCAAACTTTCCCACATCTTCCTCTCTTCTTCTGAGCCCTCCAAACTGTTCCACCCTCTGCCTGTTACCAAGTTCCAAAGTCACTTCCACATTTTAAGTATCTTTATAGCAACACCCCACTCTCTGGGGTGTCAATTTACTGTATTAGTCTGTTCTCATGCTGCTATAAGGACATACCCGAGACTGGGTAATTTATAAAGGAAAGAGGTTTAATTGACTCACAGTTCAGCACAGCCTCAGGAAACTTATGATCATGGCAGAAGGTGAAGGGCAAGCAAAGCACCTTCTTCACAAGGCGGCAGGAAGAAGTGCTGAGCTAAGGGGGAAGAGCCCCTTATAAAACCATCAGATCTTGCAAGAACTGTCTCATTATCAGAAGAACAGCATGGAGGGAAACTGCCCCCATGATTCAGTTACTTCCACCTGGTCTCTCCCTTGACACGTGAGGATTATGGGGATTACAATTCATGATGAGATTTGGGTGGGGACACAAAGCCTAACCATATCACTAAGAATTTATCAATTTCATTTATGTTATCTAATTTGTTGGCATAACATTGTTCATAGTATTCCCTTATAATCCTTTATTTCTGTGAGGTTGGTAGTAATGTCCCCTCATGAATTGCTGATTTTAGTAATTTGAATCTTCTTTTTTCTTGGTTACTCTTGTAAAGTTTTGTCAATTATATTTTGTTTCTCTGTTCCTTCCCTACTGTGTTTTTTTGTGTTAGATATTTTCTAGTGTACCATTTTAATTCACTTGTCACTTCTTTTAATATGTATTTTTTTAGTTATTTCTTAGTTGTTGCCATAGACATTACAGTTAATACCAAAATGTTTAACAATATAATTCAGATAAATACCAATCTAATTTCCATAGTATATAAAAACTTTACTCCTGTTTATCGTTTCCTCTCTACTCCTTTGTGTCATTATTGCCATACAAATTACATGTTTATACATTATGTGCCCATCAACACTGATTTATAATTATTGATTTATGCAGATGTTTTTTAAATGAGAAGAGGAAAGAGTTACAACCCAAAATACATTTATGTTCTTATATATTAACCTATGTAGTTACCTTACCTATTCTCTTATTCATGTGCATTCAAGTTACAGTCTAGCATCCTTTTATTTAAGTGTGAGGGACTTCCTTTAGTATTTCTTGTACTTGAAGTGTGCCAGCAACATATTTTCTCTGTTTTTGTTTATCTGGGAATGTGCTAATTTCTCCTTCATTTTTGAAGGAGAGTTTTGCTGGACATAAACTTTCTGGTTAACAATATTTTTCATTTAGCACTTTGAATATGTCATTCCACTGTCTTCTGGCCTCCATGGTTTCTTTTTTTTTCCTTTTCTTTGTTTTTTTTTTTTTTTTTTTTTTTTGAGACAGGATTTAGCTTTGTCACCCTGGCTGGAGTGCAGTGGCATAATCACAGCTCACTACAGCCTTGACTCTTGGGTTCAAACGACCCTCCCATCTCAGCCTCCTGAGTAGCTGGAACTACAGACATGTACCACCAGGTTTGGCTAATTTTTTTTCTATTTTTTGTAGAGACAGGGTCTCACTGTGTTGCCCAGGCTGGTCTGAAACTCCTGGGCTCAAGCATTCCTCCTGCCTCGCCCTCCCAAAGTGTTTTAATTATAGGCATGAGCCACTGTGCCTGGCCTCTACATAGTTTCTGATTAAGAAGTCAGCAGTTAATTTTATTTGAAATCCTTTGTATGTGATGATTTGCTTTATTGCTGCTTTCATGACACTCTTTGTCATTCACAGTTTGACTATGATGTGTTTAGGGGTGGATCCCTTTGAGTTTATAGTATACTTGGAATTCTCTGTGATTCTTAGATGTTCAGATTAGTGTTTTTCATTATGCATATATTGGTATTCTTTTTTTTTTTTTGAGATGGAGTTTCCCAGTTATTGCCCAAGCTTGAGTGCAATGGCGTGATCCTGACTTACTGCAACCTCCACCTCCTGGGTTCAAGAGATTCTCTTGCCTCAGCTTCCTGTTAGCTGGGATTACAGGCACCCACCACCACGCCCAGCTAATTTTTTGTACTTTTAGTAGAGACAGGGTTTCACCATGTTGGCCAGGCTGGTCTCGAACTCCTGAACTCATGGGATCCACCTGCCTCAACCTCCCAAAGTGCTGGGGTTACAGGCATGAGCCACTCTGCCCATCCACATATGTTGGTATTCTTGATGATATACCCACACGTCTCTGAGGGTCTGTTCATTTTTCTTCTTTTTTCTTTCTGTTCATCAGACTGGGTAGTCTTAGTTGGTCTGTTTTCAAATTCACAAATTCTTCTGCCTAGTCAAATCTGTTGTTGAGCTCCACTAGTGAAGTTTTCATTTTAATTGTAATTTTGAACTCCAGAATTTGTATTTTTTTCTTACAATTTTGTAATTTCTATCATTTCATTGATATTCTCTGTTTGGTTAGACATCATTCTCATACTTTGATTCTTTAGACATAGTTCCTTTAGTTCTGTGAACATATTTAAAATAATTGATTTATACCCTTTGTCTAGTAAGTGTAATGTCTTTGTTTCCTTAGGGACAGTCCCTGTTACTTGCTTTTCCCTTCATATACAGGCCATATTTTCCTATTTCTTTGGATAAAAGGGTTTCCTATAAAGCTGTGTAACTGAGATACTGTGGAGGATGACATTAGTGAAAGTTGCGACACTGAAAACCTCAAAAAATACTCTGCCCCATATAAGGAATGAGGAAACTGGCAAAGAATCAGAAGCAACTCTTTCAGAACTCTGGAAATTAGCCAAAAGTTTATAGCAATTGGGTATGGTTTATTAAAGAAAAATGACTGAATCTTGATAAGAATAGCAAGCTGTTATTTTAACTTGCCCTATACCTATCCTCTCATCTCCAGCACAGCAGAAGCCTTGAAAACCAGCAGGCTTATAGCCAGTGGTGGGGGCAGTAAGGGGTTGGAGCTCCTTCAAAAACTTACTATCAGACAGTTGTCATTATTTGACTTCTCAGGTGGTTCCCTGGAAGACCCTACTTACAAGGCTGTTTTACTTTTCCTGACTCTAAGCTTACCCAGTGGGAAAAATCTTTTCTCAGGGAGTGTTTGTCGAAATGGAATGATTATGCATACAGCAAGTATTTAACCAGCCTCTAGCTATGGAATACAATTGAGGCAAACAACAGGCAAATCTAAAGGTTAAAAGGAAAAGCTGGGGAATGCTTTGTCGGTAAGGGGTCACATGCAAGTTGCAAATACAAGGATGTACAAATGCCCAGGAAAGACCTGGGAAGGTCCTATGTGTCCACCTCAGATTGACCTTGAGCCTCTGCACAAGCAGGAAGTGATAGCCAAGATAGAGGTGTCCACTGCCTGACTTGAATGTTGAAGGCATGCCCGAACAAGCACATAAAGCTTCCAGCAAAGACTAGGATAGTTATTAGTTTCAGGCATTTAAGGATATCTCAGTTCAATAATTAGACAGCTAATAAGCTAACTCAGCAGAGACTTTAGTGACTACATATGTATGACAAAGAATGCAGATTTTACAGAATTAGTTCAAAAAAGCCACATAACAACAAACAGCAACAAAAACAAACTCTGTGAAGAAGACAAAATCTGATTTCCAGAGTTGCCTCATTAATTATTTAAAATGTCTCATTTTCAACATAAAATTGCCAGACATGCAAAGAAACAGGAAAATGTGGTCTATACCTGAAGGGAAAAGCAAGTAACAGGAACTGTCCCTAAGGAAACAAAGACATTACACTTACAAGACAAAGG
This sequence comes from Homo sapiens, assembly GCF_000001405.40. Classification (NCBI taxonomy): domain Eukaryota; kingdom Metazoa; phylum Chordata; class Mammalia; order Primates; family Hominidae; genus Homo; species Homo sapiens. The sequence continues at coordinate 80,467,818 of NC_000005.10, forward strand.
GTATAAATCAATTATTTAAAATATGTTCAGAGAACTAAAGGAAACTATGTCTAAAGAACCAAAGGAAAGCATGAGAATGATGTCCAACCAAACAGAATATCAGTGAAGCAATAGAAATGATCAAATTATAAGAAAAAAATATATATAAATTCTGGAGTTCAAAATTACAACAATTAAAATGAAAACTTCATGGTGGCATGCACCTGTACCCCAAGCTACTCAGGAGGTTGATGGCACCCATATGCTTTATTCTTCTTTTCAGTAGTGCCATGGCCAGTGTAAGTCCTTTGATTTTTTCATGTTCGTTTTAGGATCAACTTGTCAGGTTTACAAAAGGTCCATGGGAATTTTTATCTGGGGTTGCATTAAATCATTAGCTTAATTTTGAGAAAATTGGCACATTTTCCATTTTCAGTGTTCCTATTCATATAGTACACCCTCACTTATTTTAAATCTACAGTTATGTGTTGCTTAGTGATGGGGATACATTCTGAGAAATGTTTCATTAGGCAATCTTGTCATTGTGCAAACTTCATAGAGTGCACTTACACAAACCTAAATAGTATAGCCTAGTGCATACCTAGGCTATATGGTATAGCCAATTGCTCCTAGTCTGTAAACCTGTACAGCATGTTACCATTCTGAATATGGTAGACAGTTATAATATGATGGCATTTGTGTATCTAAGTATATCTAAACACAGAAAACGCACAGTAAAAAATACTGTACTATAATCTTATGGGACTGCTGTTGTATATGTGATCCCTCATTGACTGAAATGTTGTTTTGTGGTACATGACTTTATGATTTTTGGTTTAGGCCTTGTATATATTTTCTTGATTTATTCCTTTACCTTATAGATTTTATTGCCGATGTAAATGGTATCTTATTAAATTAAAATTGTAATCTGTTTCTGGTATATAGAAATACATTTATCTCTGCATTTTAAAACTTACATCCAGCCACATTATATACTCTTATTTATAATAATTTATCTGTCGATTCTTTTAGACTTTTCTGTGTAGCTGAAATAGTGTAATTTTGCTTTTTTCTTTGCAATTCTTATGCTTTTTATTTATTTATTTTGGTTACTGGCTGGGACTCCTAATATAATAGAAGCAATAATCATAAGCACACCCATCTGGATCCATGTTTATCAATTAATACCTTTTAAGAAGTGAACTTTTATGATTTATTTTTATGTGCCATATCTGTCATTCTGATAATGGAATTTGAGATATCCATATATTTTTCTTCTTATTTCTTTTCTTTCTCTCTTTTTTTTTTTTTTTTGAGACTCATTCTCACCCAGGGTCTCATTCTCACCCAGGCGGGAGTGCAGTGGCATGATCATGGCTCACTGCAGCCTCAACCTCCAAGGCTCAGGCAGTCCTCCCATCTCAGCCTCCTGAGTAGCTAGGACTACAGGCACACACCACCACACCTGGCTATTTTTTTGTTGTTTTCTTGTAGAGACAAGGTCTCACTATGTTGCCCAGGCTGGGGCTTGAACTTCTGGGCTCAAGTGATCCTCCTTCCTCAGCCTCTGAGTAGTTGGGACTACAAGCACATGCCACCATGCTTGGCTAATTAAAAAAAAAAAATTGTAAAGATGAGGTCTTCCTATATTGCCCAGGCTGGTCTCAATCTTCTGGACTCAAGTGATCCTCCCTCCTCAGCCTCCCCAAAGTACTGGGATTACATGTGTGAGCCACTGCTCCTGGCATCAGTCTGTTTTTGAGATACCATCTTCATCTTCAGTTTTTGTCAGCTTAATTATGTGTGCCTAGATTCCAGTCTCTTCTTCTAGGACTCTGTCACTGTATGTGTGTGTGTGAGTGTGTGTACACAAATATATGTGCATGTGTGTGTTAGATTGTTTTGTGTCACCCCATAGATTCTTGATGCTCTGCTCATTTTTTCTTCAATGTTTTTTCTTTGTGTTCTTCAGATTGGATACTTTTCACTGATTTTTCTTTATGTTCTCCAATTATTTTTTTTTTGCCATCTTTAGTCTACTATTAAGTCTCTCCTTTGGGCTTTCAGTTTTAGTTAGATTGTACTTTTCTGTTCCAGAATTTCCTTTTGTTTCTTTTTCCAGTTTGTATTTCTCTCAAGATTTATTATATGTTTATTTAGCCCATATTTGCTTTTTATTCTTTGAATGCGTTTCCTTTATGTCTTTGAATATACATACATATATACATATATATGTGTGTATATATATGTGTGTGTGTGTATATATACGTGTGTGTGTGTGTGTGTGTGTGTGTGTGTGTGTGTATTTTTTTTTTTTTTTTTTGAGACAGAGTCTCACCCTTTCACCCAGGCTGGAGTGCAGTGGCGCAATCTCGGCTCACTGGAAGCTCCACCTCCTGGGTTCACGCCATTCTCCTGCCTCAGCCTCCCGAGTAGCTGGGACTACAGGCACCTACCACCACACCTGGCTAATTTTTCGTATTTTTAGTAGAGACAGGGTTTCACCATGTTAGCCAGGATGGTCTCGATCTCCTGACCTCGTTATCCTCCCGCCTAGGCCTCCCAAAGTGCTGGGATTACAGGCATGAGCCACCGCACCCAGACTCTTTGAATATATTTATTATAGCTGTTTTAAAATTTTTATATGCTTAATTGGCCATCTTGAAGTTGGCTTCATTTGCCGAAGGGGTCACATTTTCTCATTTCTGTCTAGTAATTTCTATTATTTTTTTTGAGACAGGATCTCGCTCTGTTGCCCAGGCTGGAGTGCAGTGGTACAGTCATAGCTCACTGCAGCCTTGAACTCCTGGGCTAAGTGATCCTCCTGCATCAGCCTCTTGAGTAGGTGGGACTGCAGGTGCACACCACCACACCTGGCTAATTTTTAAACTTTTTGTAGAGATGAGGTTTCACTGTGTTGTCCAGGCTGGTCTTGAACTCCTGGCCTTAAGATATCCTCCCTCCTTGTCTTCCCTAAGCACTGGGATTACAGTTGTGAGCCACCACACCTGGCCTGTCTAGTAATTTTTGGTTGTATATTTGTCATTGTTATATGTAGGGAGACCCCCTGAAACTATTGCTACAGAATAAAAGATGAAATGCTCCTGATTATTGTAAATACAAAATTGCATGCAGGACTGTGTAAAGACAATGCCAAGTTGGACTACCAGAATGAGCCAACAGCACGTGATGTGCTTCCCCCTGCAGAGAGCCTATGAATGGACGTGCAGTCAGGGAGGTTTCACATCACCAAGATTCCTATCCCAGAAAAGCAGATGTTCATAGCTCTGGGAATGGAATGTGACCCTTGTGGAGAGCCTATAAACGGATGCATGGGGGGTGCCTGTCCATATGGATAAGATAGGGCTATAAACGTCCTAATCTTGCCACGGCTCTTTTAGGCCTCTTTAGGGTTAAGGCATACTCCCTTCTGAGAATTTCTGGTCTAACCGGTTGTCTAGCTTCACGTCCTGTTTCTATGGATTGTTTGTAACCAGCTTTTGCTGCAACTGTTACTGCTGATTAATATCTTGCTAATCACAGGTTATGGAAAGACTGTGCTTCTGTTTTAAGGCTCTGTTAGAAATTACTGATGCACACACTATATTGTAAATTCTTATCTCTGTATACTGTACTTCTGCATACAGATGTTATGTTAAAGAATTACTTCATCCCCATGTGACCATCTCACCTCATAATCAAATGACCCTAAATCCCTCACTAAGCTACCCCTGCCCTCACTAAACTTAATAATAAATGCTGGTATATCCAGTGCATCGTTGGCACCACGGGACCAGAAGGCGGTGACCCCCCGGACCCAGCATTCACTATCTTTTGTGTGTCTATTATTTCTCAACCTGCTGATCTGCCTAGGAACAAAGAGAGCGCCCCGTTGCATTGTGGGCTGCTGGCCAGATCCCGCAATAGTTATATGCTTTAGAAACTTTAGATTCTAAGTACATTTTGCTGAAGAAGGTTTGTTTATGTTTTAGTAGGCAGTTTCATGGTTGATCACCTTGACATTGTGTAGACTTGATTTTTCACTTTCTTAAGATGGATTTGTAGAAATCCTAAGGTGTTTACCGGTCCACACTAATTTGACAGTACTCAGTCTTCAAATCTATTTTGCCTATAGATTTTGTAAGGGCTTCGTTTTGGCTTTTCTACAATGCTTGTTAATGAGGTGTTAATAAAGTCTCTTCACTTTGGTTGGTCCACATGACCAAATTCCCCAACATTATTTGACTTCTATTACCTCTGTTCTGTTCCCCATGCTGTAACACTGTGCTATGTTTAAGCCTCATCTAGTCTCACTCTGTTATTGTGTCCCCAGTTCTAGTCCAAAGACTTCAAAGTCTTCCATGCAGTTTTCTAGTGCCCCCCTCTTAAGTGTCCTGACTGCAGATTCTAGGCTTCACCAAACTCTTTATCTCTTGAGTTCTCAGCCAATAGGGCCATTGTAGACTTAGTGGGTCACCTTGAAGAAATTATCCCCAGGCAGAGAGCTCAGGGCAGAGAGTAAGGGCTCTCTGCCTGGGAATAATTTCCTCATGGTGACCCACTAAGCTTACCTGAGTTCTCTGCCTGGAGATAACCATGGGCTTAACCTCTTCAGTTTCCCTCTAGGGATCTCAGTATTGCACTGCCTATTGTCCAGAACCTGAAAACAGTTATCTCATACATTTTGTCTAGTCTTAGGGTGGTTGTCATGACAGGGCTATCTGGTACCAGTTATTTCATCATAGCCAGAAGCAGAAATTCTCTTTGTTTTAACCTTAAAAAAAAAATTCTTAACTTTGCAAAATACTTGTCTTATTTCCTAGTGGAAAACAACCATTAAGATGATTAGCAAATGATTTAAAACTTGTATCTTACACAGAACATATTTTGATAGCAAATTTTATGGCTTAGATATACACATTGGTATTTGGCAAAAGAAATGTGAAACTTAGTCTCATTTCTAGATGGCTTAATGGTACAAATAACTCCAGAGACCATGAATGGCTTGCGGCTAGCTTTACGAGAACAGAAAGACTTTAAAATTACATGTGGGAAAGTTGATGCAGTAGACCTGAGAGAATACGTGGATATCTGCTGGGTAGATGCTGAAGAAAAAGGAAACAAAGGGTAGGAATTTTTTTATTCTAAAATATAATTGATTTGAAGGAAAGTGCAGGATTAAAATATCCTATTAATAAAATTAAATATTTTATGAACGAATATATACTTATACCATCAATTTAAATGCCTTTACTCAAATTAATGAATGCAATCTTTTTCAAACATGTGCCTAACTAGCCTCATAAGTGGTGGTGTGGTTTTTGGGCCAGGATGGTCCATTTGAGAGGGGCTTGATGATGACACATCTGTTGTGTAGCAGTGTGGGCTTGATGCCAGGGCTGAAAAGGCAAGACACTTTTTCTTTCAGATGGTACCTATTTTTGTCACATAAGTAAAAGATTCCCTTTGGATGATATATACTGTATTATTTTGATTCACTATAAATACAAACAACTGGATTTAATAATATTTACATTAGAGGCCTTACAGATTATTACTGCCACTCCTTCCTCTCTTCAGTTACCCATTTTCTTTCTTTTTTTGAGATTGGCTAAGGGGTCTGGAGCAAAGAAGGAAAAAGAGGGCTGAAGGATTCCAAAATAGAGTTTTTGAATTCATGAGGCAGCTTTTCTATTAGACTATCTAAGGTATTTTAAACTTGAGGTCTGAATTTGGCATATGAAAAAGGAGATACAATTTATTGATGAACAAAAAAGATTACTACACAATCAAGAAATCTTGGTAAATGAATGTGAACTACAGATTTAGTTATTTTGTATATAATTGACATATCTTCTTTTATATTTTTTCCCTCATTCCATTTGTTCAAATCTAATAATTCATTTCAAAAACACATTGGTGCTAATAATTCTATTGTATTATGTTTTATTTCATAGAGTTATCAGTTCAGTGGATGGAATATCATTACAAGGATTTCCAAGTGAAAAAATAAAACTGGAAGCAGATTTTGAAACCGATGAGAAGATTGTAAAATGTACCGAGGTAACTAAGAAAGAAGGTCCCTTTACATGCTGTGTTTCAATATGATTTTTGTTCTTTGGAGATTGTGCATACTCAACCTCTAAATATTTATGCATAGCTTATTATACTTTTTATGCTACACTTTGAGACATACGCATTTCCACCCCAGAATTTTATACACCAGAATTGGATTTCCATAGGGTTAGTTCAGGCTATCAAATGGTGGTACTGCCTGCCAGCTGTGTTGGCAGCATTGCCATCTTTGTACTGTAATATGTTACTTGACCATATTTTCATTTTCCTCAGATTTTATGAAAAATAAGATATTGTCATTAATTTATAATCAGCATTCACATATGAAAGTTACTTTTTCATGTTTTAGTTTTTTTTTAAATTAGAGGATATGAAACTACAGACTCCCAAGTCCTTAGTCTACCTCCTTATTCCCCCTCATATTTATTTCTTATGCATTCTTTGTGATTTTATTACATGTACAAAATAGAACCTGTAGAGAATGTAGACACAATGTTTTATCTTAACTTCATATAGATGTTCTTTACAGGATAGACTCATACTGATTTAATAAGCCTTTCCTTGCTACAAATTAACCTTAGGCAAAAATTGCTGAGACATTTCCATATTTACCATAACTTTTTGTTTTATGTTTTTACTTATAGTACAGATCAAGCTATCGATACAGAATTCTCACAACTAATGCTTTTCATGGTACTTACATTGGAATTTAATTAAACTTGAAAGCAGCAATTGTTGCATTTTAAAGTTACTTTTAATCATGACTTGTTTCCTAATTAAATACATTTCAGGTGTTCTACTTTCTAAAGGACCAGGATTTATCTATTTTATCAACTTCTTATCAGTTTGCAAAAGAAATAGCCATGGCTTGTAGTGCTGCGCTGTGCCCTCACCTGAAAACTCTAAAAAGTAATGGGATGAATAAAATTGGACTCAGAGTTTCCATTGACACTGATATGGTGAGGCATGTTTTTGTGATGTATTTTTGAAATGAATGTATTGCATATTAACAAGTTTTTCTTCAACCTTTTATTTTGGGATGAAAGGGAACGAAAATTTGTTGAGCATCAAATGTGTGCTACACACTTCACATATATTATCTGTATTAGTCTCCACAACAGGGGTCAGCAAACTGTTTTTGCAAAAGGACAGACAGTAACTATTTTGGACATTGTAGGCAGTATGGTTTCTTTCACAACTACTCAACACTACCATTATATTGGGAAAGCAGCCATTCACAGTATGTAAACAAATTAAGTGTGGCTATGTTCCAGTGAAATTTTGTTTACCCAGTGGGGCCAAGTTTGGCCTGCAGGCCATAGTTTGATGAACCCTTCTCCATGACTACTCTGCCTTATAGGTAGGTTTTTAAATTTACTTATCTGACTAAATTCTATATGTACATGATTTAAAATCTTAAAAGTCTAAAAGCGTATATATAACAGGACCACCTCGCTGAATATTTGCGGAGAGCAGCATTCACAATGTATTCTGTGTAACTGGTGGACTCTGGAGATAATAACTCCAGACTACAATGTAAATGGTTCCCAGTAGAGTTGTATAAGGCAACAGCCTTGGAAATATCTTTCCTACTGTTGACATCCAACCCATCAGTTCACCTTCATACTTTTCTTTATCCTCCCTCTCCGGCCAAGCAATCAGTGTTACTCATTTCTTACGTATTCTTTGTGATTTTATGCATCTACAAGCAAATAAGTGTGTGTCCTCCTTTTTCATCTTCCCTCTTTTACACATTTTTTACCTTGCTTCTTTAATATATCTTAAAGATATTAATACTAGCAGACATTCTTTTTTAACAGCGGCATAGTAGTTGATTATATAAATGTACCATAATTTATCTAACTAATTATTCATGCATATTTGATATATGTTGATAGACATTCAGGTTGTCCACAATATTTTGCTTTTACATAAGCGTAAGTATATCTATAAGAAAAATTCTGAGTAGAATTGCCAGGCCTGAGTATATACGCAATAGATATTACCATATTATCCCAAATAGAGGTTATGTCAATTTATATTTATTTCTTCCAGCAATTTGTGAGAGCTCTTTCCCTCACATCCTTTTTTTGAGACAGTCTCACTCTGCCACCCAGGCTGGAGTGCAGTGGCACGATTTTGGCTCACTGCAGCCTCTGCCCCCTGGGTTCAAGCAATTCTCCTTCCTCAGCCTCCCGAGTAGCTGGGACTACAGGCATGTGCCACCACACCTTGCTAATATTTGTATTTTTAGCAGACACAGGGTTTCACCATGTTGGCTGGACCGGTCTTGAACTCTTGACCTCATGTGATCTGTGGCCTCCCAAAGTGCTGGGATTATAGGTGTGAGCCACCGCACCTGGCCTCCCCCATATCCTTATCAAAGAAGTATATAATCAAACTTTTGAACTTGGACAATTTGATAGGTGAAAAATAATACCACATTATTATTAATATTATTATTACTTGTTAAATAGATGGGGTTTCACTCTGTTTCCCAGGTTGGTCTTGAACTCCTGGGCTCAAGCAGTTCTCCTGCCTTGGCCTCCCAAAGTGTTGAGATTGTAGGCATGAGCCACCACGCCTGGCCCCAGTATTATTTTAATTTGTATTTCTCTTAACAAGGAGTGATGATCATCTTGCATGTAAAAACAATTTGTTTTTCTTTGAACTGAAAGTTCTCTTTCTGACATCCAGGTAACTTTCCAACATCCAATATAGATTTTCAAATCAGAGAATTCATTAGAATGGTTAAGCTAAACGTGGGTGAGTTCATATGCTGAGGGTTTGCTTTTCTCCAGCCAGGATATATTTTACTCATAGTTCTTACTGGAAAAGGGGTTTTGTTTTTATCTCACTATTAAAAGTCCTCTTTTCAAGGAAGCACTCACTATTTGTTATTGGAGTAAGCACTGTAAATTTTTTTAGCCAATTGTATTAAAATGTAATTTGCACCAATGTTAGAGTCTAATATTAAATATTATTGCAACAACAAATTTGAAATATTTCAAGTAGATTTTTTTAATACCATGGGGTTTTTAATTTAAGTAATGTCGGCAGTTATTCAAAGCCTCATCCCTCTAATTTGTTTATGTGTTCATTTAGAGGAAACGTAAAGTATGACATAGTGGCAATTTTATCTTTATGATATATGAGGAGGAACAATTATAATTTATGTAGTAGACAGATAAAAGATACAGGAGAATGTAGAATTTTTTTATAAATATATCAAATATTTTATTTAACATGCTTGAACTGTATTTTAAAATATTTCACTTATTTTATATTCACATTCCGAGTTAAACAAGATTGCTCATTTTCTTATCAAGAATTTTTTTTTTTTCTAGGTTGAATTTCAGGCAGGATCTGAAGGCCAACTTCTGCCTCAGCATTATCTAAATGATCTTGATAGTGCTCTGATACCTGTGATCCATGGTGGGACCTCCAACTCTAGTTTACCATTAGAAATAGAATTAGTGTTTTTCATTATAGAACATCTTTTTTAGTGAAAGAATGTGCCATATTACATATTGCAACCTAATTTGTTAAAACTAACTCCAGCACTAAAGCTGAAATGCCACAAACACTAAAAGTATAAATATGTCTGATTTTTGAAACACATAAGCTTTGCTCTTTAGGCAGGAATGATCTTTTCAAATCATTAGCACAATATTTAAATATCTAAAAATTTAAGAGATCCATACTTTCTGTAGCTTTACAATTAATTTAAGTACTAAAAAGACAAGGATTTCTTTTAAGAAATTTATAGCATTTACTGTGTTATTTAAATGCTAAGCCAAAGTATCTGCACTTAGGTATACCTCTTTATGCCAATAATGATTTTAATGAAGGCTCTTTTCAGATGTAACCTTATGAAGGAAATATCTGCTTTGTGTATATGCCAGTTAGAATACTGGTTTCTAAAGTCTGTCAAATTGTATTTCAGTGGCACAAAAACCAGTTTTGAGGTCTTAGACTTATAATTCTTTGAATAAAACTGATAACTTATTTGTATAATTGGAGTGGAGACCTACCTCCATAATTAGATAAACTCTTTTTGGATTATAATCAGAATTTTGCCTTTTTTCTTCTCAAATTATTACATATGTATGTATTATATATCCACATATATAGTTTTCCCTGATTAAATGGATATTAAAATAATTGCGGGTGCTTCAGGACTTTTTGCTTCTATATTTAAGTATATTGTTTTTATAGCAAGAACATATTCTGAATGTTTTATAAATCTTTAATAATTTATATGTAGGTAATATTTTTGTATCACAATGCATTATTTTTTTCCTCCTTTCCTTCCAAACTATACCACTGTATTTACCACTTCTAAGAGTGACTGACGACGGGCCAGATGACCCTTGAAGTAGTCATTATGTAGCAATAAATGAAGCCTGAAACAGGTTTTTTTACTTCCACTTTAATCCTTAGAAATTTCTTGGCAACTTCGCATATTTTCATTGACACCAGTGTATAAGTATAAATTTAAATGAACTAATTACTTTTGCATATTTTAAATTCTTTATATGGTAGTTATTTTTTATAACAGGATATTAACATAAGTTAAATCCTATGTATTTGAAATTGTTACAGAGCTTTCCTCTTTACTTCAAACAGCAAAAAAGTGGGGGGCATATTGTAGTCCTGTCATTTAAGTTATGTAAAAAATTTAATCATTATTTTGATGCTTTAAACATTCTCATGTGTAATATATGTTTTTGTATCAAAAACACTCATATATTTCAAGAAAAAGAAATTATGTTAAATAGCCCTGTTTTAAGAAAAATATTTATGAAGCATCTCAACTTGAAGATCAAGTCAAAGTTATAACTCAGGATCTGAGGTCTCAAGCTAGGAGAGACTGAGAATTTTAATCAGTTTGGGCATATAGTTTGGACTGAATCACATCTGTAGTACTTAGCCAAAGACAATTTGGAGGAGAATATCAGCCTTCTGGAAGTAGCTACTTCCTGAACAATGTAAAGTGTCGCAGATATTCAATAAAATGGCAACCTGTTATAATTTGTGAAATTTATTGAAATGGTGTAAGATGAAAACAATTGCATATCAAACCCAATTTATGTTTTCTAAATATAGTGTATGTATTCTGCCATGTAAGTAATTGAACAGTCTTAAAATAACCAAATGGTAGAGGGCTGTTCCATGATGGGACAGCTTTGGATTTGTTTTCATAAAATCTCTATATTCAATAAAAATTGGAATTATGTGCCTGAAGTTTGGAGGCACATTTTGAAGTATTCTTTGTAGACATATAGTATGTTTCTGAATGTGTTTGTTACTTATTTGGTCATTGGTACTTAATTTGAAATTTTAATTTTTTAAGAGAAGAAATAGAATGGTTCTTTGTACTCAGTCTGCAATGATCTATTTTTGGCTTATGTCTTTTAATACTACTCTCTTTCTCTGAATTTTGAAATATGAAGTAAAATCTAGCCCATTTGTTTTATGCAGCTATTCAACAAACTTTGTGTGTTCGTATACTTGCTACATGCAGAGCACTTTACCAGGTTTCTAAGCAAAAATTTCTAAAAATGATTAATTGTTCTGACAGAATTAGGCGTAGTTCTTTATCAACATTTATGGATTCCATGCCACAAGTAGTATGCGCTTAAGTGCAGAGCATGCCAAGAGAAAGAGTAGGATTTGGCCCTGTAGGAGCAAAGATTCAATTGTGGGAAACTACTTGTTTCTGAAAATTGCATGCTAGGATATTTACATCATGTTCCTGTTGAAAACAATTCCTGATTAAAATACAAGAATAATCTTAAAACATCAAAGAGATTTTCCAGACAATAAGGAATGCCAAGTCCAAAAGTAAAGAGAATAAGAGAAGCAAGCATGTACCCTTACTCTGACAACCTTATGAGTGAGGGGGACAGAAATTAAAGTTCAGGGCCCATATAAGGTGATGAACCTAACAGGAGACCCTCCACACAATAGGCTGAGACTCCCAAATACTTTCACCTTTAGGATGATAATGAATCAGAGGTGGAAGAACCAATGTAAAAGAACAGGCAAGTTTAGAATTGCCCCAGTGATCTAAAGAATCTTAAGCACTGAGCTTCCTTTAAGGTGTTCCCACACTAGTAATGCCTCCAGGTGACAGAGAAAATAAAATGTAAATACTTTTCATGGAAAAGTAATTTCATTGTAGGCCTCAAATTACTTTTCAAATATGTCTAGTAACACATAGTAAAAAGTAGTCATATAAGGAAACTAGATTCCAGAGGCAAGAATTACTTGAAGCAATGAAAACAAACTCACAGATATAGGTATTAGATTTGTTTTCTTTGTTTAAGGAAATAAGGTGTGTGAATGTACTTGCAGGAAATGGGAAACTATACGATAAAAAGTTGTGGAGCTAATCTGGAAAAGAACTGAATATAAACATTACAAGAATATACATAAAAACTGCACTTTAAAACTCAGTAAATAGATGTAATAGAATGTAGCCAATTGGGGTAGTTTATAAACTGGAAGATAACTCAGGAGAAACTATTCACAGTGCACCATGGGAGAAACAGCTGGAAAAAAAAACAGAAGACCTGTAGAGAATACAGTGAAAAATCCTAAGTGCTTCATTAGCTGTGAGAGGAGAGGCAAGAATAGGACAGAGCAAATACTTAGATAGAATGCAGAATTTTAAAAACTGATGAAAGACATGACCCCACACATTCTAGAAGCCAGACAAATCCCAAACAGAATAAACTAGAAAATCCACACATAGACACATAATAAGGCCAGGTGCAGTGGCTCACACCTGTAATCGAGCACTTTGGGAGGCCAAGGCAGGAGGATCACTCGAGCTCAGGTTGAGACCAGAGTGAGCAACACAGGGAGACACTGTCTCTGCAAAATTAAAAAAATTTTGCCAGGTGTGGTGGCTCATACTTGTGGTCCCAGCTTCACGGGGGCTGAGGTGGGAGGATCACTTGAGCCCAGGAGGTTAAGGCTCCAGTGAGCTGTGATCGTGCAACAGAGCAAAACCTTGTCTCAAAAAAAAGGAAAAAGAAAAAAGACATTTAACAGGAAAACTGGAAATGCTAGCTGACAGAGAGAAAAATAGTCCAAGGAACAATTTGCTGTTTCTAGTCAGAGGACCAGAAAGGAGGTTGGAGGCTATGGGACAAAACCCTTTTTAATTTAATTGCAGTATTCTAAGAGAGCCTCAGGAAAGATGCAGTAAGACCCACCGCCCCACCAGGAGAACCATGGGTAATGACTTGGAACCTTCTGGACTTTCCTTGCTCTACATCAATCCCGCAGCAGTAAAGAGGTATCACTCTTCTCTTCCCCCTGGTGCACTAGTGGCAGACATTGCAGGGCAGAACACTGGCAATGGGGAGGCTAACGCCCTGACTTTCTAGCCAAAAACCAAGAATGGGGTTCTAGAAACCAGAGTATAGGTAAGATCACAAATAGGAGGGAACTGAAGAAAAGGAACCCTTAAATCTGTCAATAAAATCCTGGGATCATCTCACAAGCTGTGTATGTGTGAAACTAACCAGAAGCAGCTGAGCAAAGGTTCTGAACACTGAATTACAGTGTAGGCCACTGTCCAAGTTTCAGATTGGCCACTAGATGGTGCACAACTGGGGCAAAGAACAGCTTAACAAAGGCAGTGAAAACTAACATTGGAACCACAGCCACCAAAAAAAGTGGCCAGGATGTGTGCTCTGAAACTTAACTGAATTGATGGTCTGCTAAAACAAAACAAAACAAAAACATTCTTATGAAGATTTAAACAGGATAGAGAATATCATAATATTCCAAATATATCCCAGAAACAACCCAAAATGATTGGACAAAGAACTTGTGAAACCTAAGCAACTCTCTAGGGAAAAGACAATGAACAAGAGCCAACTCTAAGGTTACCCAAATGTCAGAATTATCAGAAAAAGACTTAAAACTAGTTATTTTATTTTTTTTATTTATTTTTGAGACAGTCTCTATCACCCAGGCTAGAGTGCAGTGATACAATCTTGGCTCACTGCAACCTCCACCCCCAGGGTGCAAGTGATTCTCCTGTCTCAGCCTCCTGAGTAGCTGTGACTACAGGTGTGTACCACCACGCCTAGATAATTTTTTGTATTTTTAATAGAGACAGAGTTTCACCACGTTGGCCAGGCTGGTCTCAAACTCCTGACCTCAAGTGATCTGCCTGCCTGGGCCTCCCAAAGTGCTGGGATTACAGGCATAAGCCAGCACACCTGGCCGTTAAACTAGTTATTTTAATCATGCTACACAAAGAAGACATTTCTCCAAAGGAAATATATAAAGGGAAACACTGTTGAAATAAATGGAAAGCTAAAAGTCTCAGCATAGAAGCTATAAAAAGAAACAAGTGGAAATTGTAGAACTGAAAATACAATAACAAAATTTACTGGAAGGTCTCAACACAATGAAGATGACTGAGGGAAGAGTCAGTAAATTTGAAGATACATGAGCAGAAATTATCTAGTCTGAATGACAGAGAAAAAAGTGAAAAAAATGAGAAGACCTTTGGGGATCTGTGGGACAATATGAAACAGTCTAATATTCATGTCTTAGGAGCCCAGAAAGAACAATTGGAAGAAAAAAATATCTGAAGAAATAATAGCTAAAAACTTCCAAACATCTGGCAAAAAACAAATATTCACATACATTTACATAGCATTCTATTTAAAGCCGGTCTGCTGGCACAGCAAATCCCAAAAAGGAAAACCACACCCAGGCACGTCATAATCAAAGTGATGAAACCAACTGTAAAGAAAATACTTTGAAAACAACTGGAAGAAAACAACACTTTGTATATAGGAGAACCAAAGATTTCAGTGATGGCAGATTTCTCATCAGAAACCATGGAGCAACATTTATAAAGTGCTTTTAAAAAGCAACAAAACTGTCAACACAGAATCCTTTATCCAGCAAATATATTCTTTAGGAAAGAAAATGAAATAAAGACATTTTCTTTTTTTTCTTTACTTTTTTTTTTTTTATGAGATGGAGTCTCACTCTGTTGCCCAGGCTGGAATGGATTGGTGCGATCTCAGCTCACTGCAACCTCCGCCTCCCGGTTCAAGCAGTTCTCCTGTCTGAGCCTCCAGAGGAGTAGCTGGGATTACAGGTGCGTGGTACCACGCCCAGCTAATTTTTTTATGTTTGTAGTAGAGACGAGTTTCACCATGTTGGTCAGGATGGTCTCAAACTCCTGACCTCAGGTGATCTGCCTGCTTCGGCCTCCCAAAGTGCTGAGATTAGAGGCATGAGCCACCATACCTGGCTGAAATAAAGACATTGTCAGAAGAAGGAAAGCTAAAATAATTCATTGCTAGTAGTCCTCCTTTAACAGAAATGGTAAAGGAAGTTCATGGGGAAGGAAAATGATTGCAAAGAAGGAAGAGCAACCAAAATGGCAAATCTCTGGATAAACCAAATAGACTTACATGTTTGTTAAAATATATGTAACTGCTGAAATAAAAAAATTGTAACATCATCTTTTGGGATTTTCAATGCATATAGATGTAATACAGATGAAAACTGCATACTAACCAAGGGGACAGTGACAGAACCTATATGGTAAGTTTTCTAAATTTCACTTAAAGTGGTAAAACATTATAGTAGGTTACAAAAAGTTTGGTATGTAATGATCATCTCTAGAGCAACCATTTTAAAAAACTATGCAAGGAGATATGTTTAAAAAGCCGACATATAAAGTGGAATTTTAAATAATTCAAAATAAAGCCAGCAAGGAAAACAAGTGTAAAAGAAATAAGGGATCAACAAGAAAAATTAATGCTAAAATGGTAGACCTAAATCCAGCTGTATCAAAAATTACACTAGGCCAGGTGTGGTGGCTAATGCCCATAATCCCAACACTTTAGGAGGCTGAAGCAGGAAGATCACTTGAGGCCAGGAGTTCAAGATCAGACTGGGCAATGTAGTGAGGCCCCGTATCTACATAAAACTTAAAAGAATTAGCCAACCATGGTAGTGCATGCCTATAGTCCTGGCTACTCAGGAGGCTGAGGTGGGAGATCATTTGAGCCCAGTAGTTTGAGGCTGCAGTGAGCTGTGATCATACCGCTGTACTCCAGCCTGGGCCACTGAGCAAGACCCTGTCCCTAAAAATAAAAATAAATAACAATTACATTAAATGTAAATGGTCTAAATATGGCAATTGATTTTTTTTTTTTTTTTTGGATCAAGTCTCATTTATTCTGTCACCCAGGCTGGAGTGCAGTGGCACAATCCCGGCTCACTGTAACCTCCACCTCCCAGGTTCAAGTGATTCTCCTGCTTCAGCCTCCTGAGTAGCTGGGATTACAGGCATGTCCACATCTGGCTAATTTTTTCTTTGTTTTTATTAGAGATGGAGTTTCACCATTTTGTCCAGGATAGTCTTGAACTCCTGTCCTCAACTGATCTGCCTGTCTTGGCCTCCCAAAGGACTGGAATTACAGGCATGAGCCACCATGCCTGGCCAGATGGATTTTTTTAAAACCTAATTTATATGCTATCTATACAAGCCACTTATGATACAATGGTACATGCAGGTTAAAAAGTAAAAGGATGGAAAAAGATATTCCATGCAAACACTAAAAAGAAGAAGAAAAGGACAAAGCTGGAGTGGTTATTTTGCTATCAGACAAAGCAAACTTCAGAACAAGGAATATTACCCTGTAATTTATTTTTAAATTTATTTATTTATTTATTTATTTATGAGACAGGGTCTCATTGTATTGCCCAGGCCTAGGGTGCAGTGGCTATTCACAGGCACAGTCATGGCACACTACAGCCTTGAACTTAGGCTCTTAACCCATCCTCCTGCCTCAGCCTCCTGGGTAGCTGAGCCTACAAGTGCGTGCCACTGCACCCAGTTCCCCTGTGATTTATTATTGCATTTCATAGACTAGATACCAAGTTCAGAGAGAGAGTAATCTGTCCAAAGTCACACAGCTAGAAACTAAATTGGAATTTGAGGGAAAACTTTCTAGCTATTAGGACTCTGAAAATGAGGTAAGCTGTATTCATGCAGTGCTTTGTTTTGATTTTGAGACAGAGTCTCACTCTGCGGCCCAGGTGGAATGCAGTGGTGTGATCATGGCTCACTGCAGCCTTGAGTTCCTGGGCTCAAGCAATCCTCCCACCTTAGCCTCCTGATTAGCTGATACTACAGGCACATGCCGACACACCTGGCTTGTTTTTTATTTTTTCGTAGAGATGGGTCTCACTATGTTGTCCAGGCTGGTCTCAAAGTCCTGGTCTCCTCCTGCCTCAGCCTCCCAAAGTACTGGGATTACATGTGTGAGCCACCATGCCTGGCCTTTATTCATGTTTAGATGTCACCAAAAGCAGCCCCAGACTCAAGTTGGGGCCTGTGTCTCACATTCTAATCGTTATATTCTTTCCCCAGTGCAGCATGTACCCTTAACTTACAAAACCTTTTTTGTGCCAAAAAAGTAATTAGACTTATTTTTACCATAAAATTTCCAAACACTCAGAAGTAAAGGAAATAGTAGGATGAAAATCTATATACCCAGCCTACAACAATCCTCTGAGTCAACACTATCAAGACTTACCTCTTTTGCTTCATCCATCCCTTAATTTCTTTGCTGGAGCATTTTAAAGCAAATATCAGACATACCCTTTCACGCCTCACACTTCAACATGCGGCTCTAAAAATAAGGACAGTGAAGAGGAATTTTGAGTCAGTTATTGTAAAATATATGAAAATATTGTAATATTGTGACCAATATGTCATAAAAACTTAGCAAACTGATGCAGGAACAGAAACCAAATACTGCATGCTGTTACTTATAAGTGGGAGCTAAATGATGAGACACATGGACACAGAGTGGGGAACAACACACTGGGACTTTTGGAGGGTGGAGGGTGGGAGGAGGGAGAGCAGGAGAAACAATGAATGGGTACTAGGATTAATACCTGGGTGATGAAACAACCTGTACAACAAACCCCTATGATACAGTTTACCTGTGTAACAAACCTGCACTTGGACCCCTGAAGTTAAAAATTTTAAAAATGAAAAAAAAAAAAAGCCGGGCACAGTGGCTCACGCCTGTAATCCCAGCACTTTGGGAGGCTGAGGCGGGTGGATCACTTGAGGTCAGAAGTTCGAGACCAGCCTGGCCAACATGGTGAAATCCTGTCTCTACTAAAAATACAAAAATTAGCCAGGCGTGGTGGTGCGTGCTTGTAATCCCAGCTACTCAGGAGGCTGAGGCAGGAGAATCGCTTGAACCCGGGAGGTGGAGGTTGCAGTGAGCCGAGATCGTGCCACTGCACTCCAGCCTGGGGGAACAGAGTGAGACTTCATCTAAAAAAAAAGAAAAACAAGTTTTTTAAAAAAGACCTGTACTGCAATCAATGCCATCAAGAAAGTGAAAAGACAATCTGCACAACGGGAGAAAATATTGCAAATATTTGCAAATTACCTGTTAAGGGACTTGTATTGAGACTATATAAAGAATTCTCACAATTGAAATGAGCACAGGATTTGAGAAGACATTTCTCCAAAGGAAATATATAAATGACCGATAGCACCTGAAAATATGCTCAATATTATTAGTAGGGAACTACAAATCAAGATAATGAGGTAGTACTTCATATCTACTAGGATGGCTATAATTTAAAAAACATAACAACAAGTACTGACTGGTAAGGATGTGGGGAAATTGGAATCTTCATACATTGCTGGTGGGAATGAAAGATGGTACAGCTGATTTGCAAAACTGGCAGTTCCTCACACAGTTAAACAGTTACTATATGAACAAGTAGTTCCACTCCTAGGTATGTACACAGATATGCACACAGGAATGTATTCATATACGTCCACACAAAACTTGTCCATGAATGTTCACAGCAGCAGCATTCATAAAAGACAAAATGTAGAAACAACCCGAATGTCCTTCAGCTGTTGAATGGACACACATAAAATGTGGTATTTACAAACTGGAATTTATTCCAGCATAAGAAGGAAGGAAGTACTGATACATGCTAAAACATGGGTGAATTTTGAAAACATGCTAAGTGAAAGAAGCCAGTTACAAAGATCATACATACAGTCTGTGATTCTATTTACATGAAATTCCAGAATAGGCAAATTCATGAGACAGAAAGTAGATGAGTTGTTGCCTGGGGGTAGGAAGGGGGTAAATGGAGAGTGATTGCTTTGGAGTGATGAAAAATATTTTATCTGAAAGGCTGGGCAAGAATAACTCCCCTTTGTATTACGTGTCAGGTGATGTTAGTTATCCTAACTCTACCACTGGCAGATTGAGTTTTTTGGTCACAGAAGCTGAAAATGGCAGAGCTTTGTTGTTAATTCTGATCACTAGTTTGGCTTCAAAAAGTAATGAGTTAAGGAGGGCTAGAAAGACAGTGGATGGGAGGACCCAGTTGCTGAGAGCGTTTTCTGAGTGAACACTGGTAGAGAGACAGAAGGGGAGAGAAAACTTCAAGTTATCAGCTCGGTAACTTTGTACAAAAACTTATTTATTTATTTATTTATTTATTTGACAGTCTAGCTCTATCGCACAGACCGGAGCGCAGTGGAGCGATCTCGGCTCTCTGCAACCTCCACCTCTCCGGTTCAAGCCATTCTTGTGCCTCAGCCTCCCGAGTAGCTGGGATTACAGGCGCGCGCCACCACGCCAGGATAATTTTTTAAATTTTCAGTAAGGACGGGTTTTAACCATGTTGGCCAGGATGGTCTCGAATTCCTGACCTCAAGTGATCCGCCCACCTCGACCTCCCAAAGTGCTGGGAGTACAGGCCTGAGCCACCGTGCCCGGCCAGAAACACTGATTTTTATCAGTAATGATTCCACACCCTTTTAGGATATTACTAACATTTAAAAGAAAATATACCCAACTGTTGAAATTCGTGCTCCACTCCAGCAACTGCTTTCAATCGGAGTTCCATCCTCCGCCGCAGTATGCCCTAACGCAGCGTTATCTTCAGAGCTACCACCAGCTTCCGAAACCTTTCGGAGGAGCGCTTCGCCACCACCTGCACGGCGAAGCGGCGCGTAAACGAACCTCGAACGCCAGCCTTTGCGCCTGCGTGCCGCGGCTCCGTTTGGTTCCGCTTCGCTGGCGCCCGCCGGGCTCTTCCCCCGCCGAGGCCTGTGGTTTGTGGAGTCGAATTTCCCTGCCACCAGTGCCCGGTTAGCAGGGGCGCCAGCCTGGGCGCCTGCGCGGACGGCGGGCGTCGTCACCATGGCAGCATCCGCTGGAGGCCCAGGTAAGCGCCGAGCGCGCGGCCTCTGCCTGGAGGTGGGGCGCTTTGAGAGGCTCCGCCGGCCGTACCCTCCCTTTGCGGGCTCCCGCGGTCTTCCTTGCTAGGGACCTGGGAGCGCGCCGCGCAGAACCGGGCGGCTGGGCTTGGAGCCCGCTCTGCACTCGGGGCGCGCCCGCGATCGCCTGGCAAGGACCTTGGTTTGCCGGGTGGGCTCTAAGGGACAGGCGTTAGGGGAGGTCGAGAATGGCAGGGTCAGTGTCTTTTGAGGTCTGGGTTGGAAAGAAAGGAATGTGACGTTTCCCTAATCCTTAATTTCAGCCGACCGTATGGGGGCGGTCTGGGTCAGTAGGTTCCTCTTTGAAAGCTGGGGGAGGTTTGGGAATGCGGACTGGGCCGGGCCCGGCATAGTCCCGCTGCTGAGCGCGCTGCCTGGAAAGCTGGCAGAGTGTGCGGCTCGCTTGATTCCCCTTGGAATCAGGTGCTTCAACTCGCGGGACAGCAGTTCCGCTCTTGAAGGTTACAGTATCTTTTCTGTAAACTTAAGTAGTGGCATGAGACAACGTCAGTGACGCGTTCTTTCTTCAGTTTAGATTTTTTTCCCTAATTGTAAAAATAATACACGCTTTCACCATTCTGACTAGCAGGCTGTATAAATACAGGTTCTCTTCTGAATCGATGCACAGTTTACAGAATCTTGGAATAAAATGTGTGTGTAAGCGAAAAATGTCCAGGTCCTGATAAATGCCATTATAGAACATTTATAAAGTATATTAGTATAGGGAAATAGGAAAAAAAAATCCCCCAAATGCTGATACCCACAGGCACCACTACTAACTTTTTGGTATTTTCTAACAACCCTGACTCTTAAAAATAGAGTTAAGGTCATGGTAAACATAATTTTTAAAATCCTGCATCTTATACTATCCCATGTCACCAAGGTTTTTATAAACATAATTTTGAATGACTGAAGTGTTTTATACAATTATATTGTATACAATTATATTGTAATTAACCAGTCTCCTAATGTTGAACGTTAATCAGTCGTTTCCTGTTTTGTTTTGTTTTGTTAGAATTCATTCTGTAATGAACATTTTTGCATTGTTCTTCCTCAGTTATGTTTTTGGTTTGTTTTTATCCTGGACACGATTCTTGTAACTGAAATTACTGGATCAAAGGATGTGAACTTTTTTCTCTCTCTCTTTTTTAAGATCTGTGCTAAACCTCCGTAGAACATTTTTTCAGACCAGAGTTTTCCTTTTTTAACCCTTGTGCTCTTCTCAGTATAAATCCTTTTAATGCCTAGTTTTCCTAAGAATCCAAACAAATCTGGGACAAAGCTCACACTCAAGACTTACACCATTCTCACTCACAGGCTGTATAAATCCAGATTCTCTTCTGAATCGATGCAAGGTTTACAAAATCTTGGAATAAAATGTGTGCACAAGTGAAAAATGTCCAATTGCTGACAAATGCCATTTTTTAAAAAACAAATTTTTGGGCCGGGCGCGGTGACTCACGCCCGTAATCCCAGCACTTTGGGAGGCCGAGGTGGGCGGATCACGAGGTCAGGAGATCAAGACCATCCTGGCTAACACAGTGAAACCTCGTCTCTACTAAAAATCCAAAATAATTAGCCGGGCGTGGTGGCGGCGCCTGTAGTCTCAACTACTAAGGAGGCTGAGGCAGCAGAATGGCGTGAACCCGGGAGGCGGAGCTTGCGGTGAGCCAAGATTGCGCCACTGCACTCCAGCCTGAGCAACAGAGAGAAACTGTCTCAAAACAAAAACAAAAACAAAAATTTCTTCTCATTACCGAGTTATTGATAAAACTAATTCTTAACCAGATTCTTCCGTTATATGTCATTTTTCCCCCTTACACACACACACACACACACACACACACACACATTCTCAACATAAAAAAGTTCAAAAGGCACAATAGGATGTATAGTGAAAAGTTCCGTCCTGGCCGGGCGTGGTGGTTTACGCCTGTAATCTGAACACTTTGAAAGGCAGGAGGATCGCTTGAGCCCTGGAGTTTGGATCAGCCTGGGCAACACAGGGAGGCCTTATCTCTCCAAAAGAAAACAAATAAATTAGCCAGGTATGGTGGTGGCACATACCTGTGGACCCAGCCACTCAGGAGGAGACTGAGGCGGGAGAATCGCTTAAGCCGGAGAGGCTGCAGTGAACCAAGAACATGCCAGCCTGGGCAACAGAGCCAGAGCCTTAAAAAAATTAATAAATTCTTCAAAATCCTTACTGATGTACAATTTGCATACTATTAATATACAACTTATTTAAAGAGTATAATTCAGTGGTTTTAGCTTATTTATTTAATTTTAGCTTATTCACAGACTTGTGCAACAATTACCACAATTAATTTTAAAACATCTTCACCTTACAAAAAGAAACACTTCCCCATCCCCCACCCTTTAACATCCACAACTGCTATTCTTCTATTTTCTGTCTCTATGAATTTGCCTGTTCTGGATGTTTCATATAAATGGAATCATCCAATATAGACCCTCTTATGTCTAGCTTCTTCCACTTATCATAGTGTTTTCAAGATTCATCCATCTTGTAGCATGTTTCAATACTTCATTCCTTTTTATGGCCAAAAAAGGAATTGCATGAAACACCACATTTTGTTTATCCACTCATTAGTTGATGGACATTTGAGTTGTTTCCATCTTTTGGGTATAGTGAATAATGCTACTGTGAACATTTGTGTACAAGTTTTTGTGTGGACATATGGTACATTGTCTTTAATGGTAAGTCAATTCTGGTAGTCACTTTTGGAAACTGGAAGGAACCTTAATGATTGTCTAGTCCAGGGGTCAGCAAATAGCAAACTTTCTTTTTTAATTTTATTTTTAATTGACAAATAATAATTGCATATTTGCGAGGTACAATGTGATGTTATGATACATGTATACATGGTAGAATGATTAAGTCAGGCTAATTAATATATCCATCACCTCACATACTTATCATTTCTTTGTAATGAGAACATTTAAAATCTACTCATTTAAGAAGTTCAAAATATATAATACACTATTATTATTATTATTATTATTATTATCATTGAGACAGGGTCTCGCTCTGTCACCCAGGCTGGAGTGCAGTGGTGCAATCATGGCTCACTGCAGCCTTGACCTCCTGGGCTCAAGTGATCCTCCTGCCTCAGCCTCCTGAATAGCAGGGACTACAGGCACACACCACCATGCCTGGGTTATTATTATTGTTAGTTTTAGTGGTAGAGACAAGGTCTTGCTTCATTGCCCAGGCTGGTCTCGAACTACTGAGCTTAAGCAGTCCTTCCGCCTCAGCCTCCCAAAGTGCTGGAGTTACAGTTGTGAGCCAGCATGCCTGGAATTACTAACTATAGTCACCATTGCTGTGCAATAGATCTTGGGAACTTATTCCTCCTGTCTAACCGGAACTTTGCACCCTTTGACTGACATATCCCCCTCCCATCCAATTGCCCTGGCTGCATCCCTAGCCTCTGGTAACCACTATTCTGCTTTCTACTCCTAGAGCTCTACTTTTTGATGTCCCAAATGTGAGACTGTGCAGTATTTTTCTTTCCGTACCTGGCTTATTTCACTTAGCATACTGCCCTCCAGGTTTCTTCGTTTGTCGAAGATGACAGAATTTTCCTTTTTAAGGCTGAATAGTACCCCATTGTGTATCTATACCACATTTTCTTTATCCATTTACCCGCTGATGGTGCTTAGGTTGTTTCCATATCTTAGTGGTCAGCAAACTTTTTCTGTAAAGAACCAGAAATTAAATTTTGGGCTTTGCAAGGCATAAATTTATGTTCCAACTAATCAACTCTGCTATGGTAGCTGGAGAACAGCCACAGGTCGCACAGGGAAGGAGGTTGGGATAAATAGAGGGAGCACAGAGGTTTGGAGCAGCAACACTGTGATTCCGTATGATATTGTAGTGGTGGATACATGCCATTGTACAAGCATTCCTTGTTTTATTGTACTTCACTTTATTGTGCTTTGCAGATAATCCTTTTTTTTTTTCCCACAAATTGAAGGTTTGTAGCAACCTTGTATTGAGCAAGTCTGTTGGTGCTGTATTTTTCAATAGCATGTGTTCACTTTGTGTCTGTCACATTTTGGGAATTCTTGCAATATTTCAAATTTTAAAATTATTATATTTATTATGGTGATCTGTGATCAGTGATCTTCAAATACTACTATAATAATTGTTTTGGGGCACCACAAAGTCAAACTTAATCTGTAAATGTGGTGTGTGAGCCTTGCTGGCTTGGGCAGTGCATGCTGGCCGGCTTGGCGAGGATAAAAAATAAATAAATAAATATGGTGTGTGTTCAGACTGCTTCACCAGCCAGCCATACTCCTGTCTCTCTCCCTCTCCTAGGGTCTTACTATTTCCTGAGACACAAAAATATTGAAATTAGGCCAGTTAATAACCATAGAATGGGCTCTAAGTGTTTATGTGAAAGGAAGAGTCACCTGTTTCTCACTTAAAATCGAAAGCCAGAGGGCTGGGCACAGTGGCTTATGCCTGTAATCCCAGAACTTTGGGAGGCTGAGGTGGGAAGATCACATGAAGCCGGCAGTTCAAGACCAGCCTGGGCAACGTATCAAGACCTTGTCTCTACAAAAAATTTTAAAAATTAGCTGGCTGTGGTGGGATGCACCTGTAGTCCTAGCTACTTGGGATGCCCAGGCAGGAGGATCACTTGAGCCCATGAGTTTCAGATTATAGTGAGCTATGATTGCACCACTACACACCAGCCTGGGCAACAGAGTGAGACTTGTCTCTAAAAAAAACAAAAACAAAATCAAAAGCTAGAAATGATTAAGCTTAGTGAGAAAAGCATTTCGAAAGCTGAGAGAGGCCTCTTGTGCCAAACAGCTAAGTTGTCAATACAAAGGAAAAGCTCCTGAAGAAAATTCAAAGTGCCACTCCATGGAACACACAAATTATAAGAAAGCAAAACAGCCCTATTGCTGATATGGATGTTGTGGGAAGTCAGGGACCCCGAATGAAGGGACCAGCTGGAGCCGAGGCAGAAGAACATAAATTGTGAAGATTTCATGGACATTTATCACTTCCCTAATAATACGCTTATAATTTCTTATGCCTGGCTTTACTTTAATCTCTTAATCATGTTATCTTCATAAGCTGAGAATGTACGTCACCTCAGGACCACTGTTGTACAAACTGATTGTAAAACATGTGTGTTTGAACAGTATGAAATCAGTGTACCTTAAAAAAGAACAGAATAACAGCAATTTTCAGGGAAATAGGGAAGATAACCATAAGGTTTGACTGCCTGCGGGGTTGGGCAGAATCGAGCCATATTTTCCTTCTTGCAGAAAGCCTATAAATGGATGTGCGAGTAGGAGAGATATCGCTGAATTCTTTTCCTAGCAAGGAATAACCCTGGGGAAGGAATGCATTCCTGGGGGAAGTCTATAGACAGCTGCTCTGGGAGTGTCTGTCTTATGCGGTTGATATAAGGATTGAAATACACCCTGGCCTCCTGCAGTACCCTCAGGCTTACTAGGATTGGGAAATTCCAGCCTGGTAAATTCTAGTCAGACCGGTTCTCTGCTCTCAAACCCTGTTTCCTGTTAAGATGTTTATCAAGACAATATGTGCACAGCGGGACATAGACCCTCATCAGTAATTCTAATTTTGCCTTGCCTTGTGATCTTAATTGCCCTTTGAAGCATGTGATCCTTGTGACCTACTCCCTGTTCATACACCCCCTCCCCTTTTAAAATCCCTAATAAAAACTTGCTGGTTTTGTGGCTCGGGGTCATCATCACGGTCCTACCAATATGTGATGTCACCCCTGGAGACCCAGCTGTAAAATTTCTCTCTTTGTACTCTTTCTCTTTATTTCTCAGACCAGCTGACACTTAGGGAAAATAGAAAAGAACGTACGTTGAAATATTGGGGGCTGGTTCCCCCGATATATGGAGAAAGTTTGAGTGGTCTGGATAGATCAAACCAGCCACAACATTCCCTTAAGCCAAAGCCTAATCCAGAGTAAGGCCCTAACTCTCATCAATTTTATGAAGACTGTGAGAAGTGCAGAAGCTACAGAAGAAAAGCTGGAGATTCTCAGAGGTTGATTCATGAGGTTTAAGGGAAAAGGCTGTTTCTACAACAAAAAATTTCAAGGTGAAGCAGCAGGTGCTAATGGAGAAGCTACAGCAAGTGATCCAGAAGATCTAGTTAAGATCATTGATGAAAGTAGCTGCACTAACAGCAGATTTTCTTTCTTTCTGTCTTTCTTTCTTTTTCTTTCTTTCTTTTCTTTCTTTCTTTCTTTCTTTCTTTCTTTCTTTCTTTCTTTCTTTCTTTCTTTCTTTCTTTCTTTCTTTTTTAAGACAGGGTCTCCCTCTGTAACACAGGCTGGAGGGCAGTGGCATGATCGTGGCTAATTGCAGCCTGGACCTCCTGGGTTCAATCGATCCTCCCACCTCAGCCCCCCAAGTAGCTGGAACTATAGGCACACACCACCACGGCCTACTAATTTTTGTATTTTTTTGTAGAGACGGGATTTCGTCATGTTGCCCCAGCTGGTCTCGAACTCCTGGGCTCAAGTGATCCTCCCACCTCAGCCTCCCAAAGTGCTGGGACTACAAGCATGAGCCACTGTGCAGGGCCAACAATAGATTGTCAGTGTAAATAAAACAGCCTTCTATTGTAAGAAGATGCCATTAGAACTTTCATTGCTAGAGGGGAAAAGCCAATATTTGGCTTAAAATCTTCAAAAGACAGGCTGACTTTCTTGTTAGGGCTAATGCAGCTGGTGACTTTAAGTGGAAGCCAGTGCTCATTACTATACTGAAAATCACAGGGTCCTTAGGAATTATGCTACATCTACTTCTCTGCCTGTGCTCTAGAAACGTAACAACAAAGCCTGGATGACAGCACGTCTGTTTACAGCATGATTTACAGAATATTTTAAGCCCACTGTGGGGACCTGCTGCTCAGGAAAAAAAATATTTCTTTCAAGATATTACTGTTGATTGACAAGGCACCTGGTCACCCAAGAGCTCTGATGGAGATGTGCAAAGAGATTGATGCTGTTTTCCTGCATGCTTGCATCTATTCTGCAGCCCGTGGATCAAAGGGTAATCTTGACTTACAAGTCTTATTATTTGAGAAATGTTTTGTAAATCTATAGCTGCCATAGATAGTGATTCCTCTGATGGATGTGGGCAAAGAGTCATCATCCTAGATTCCATCAAGAAGATTTGTGATTAATGGGAGAAGGTAAAAATATCAACATTAACAGGAGTTTGGAAGAAGTTGATTCCAGCTCTCATGGGTGACTTTGAGGGATGCAATACTTCAATAGAGGATGTAACTGCAAATGTGATAGAAATAGCAAAAGAGGGCAGGGCGCAGCGGCTCATGCCTATAATCCCAGCACTTTGGGAGGCTGAGGCAGGCGGATCATGAGGTCAGGAGATTGAGACCATCCTGGCTAACACAGTGAAACCCCGTCTCTACTAAAAATGCAAAAAATTAGCCGGGCGTGGTGGCGGACGCCTGTAGTCCCAGCCACTCGGGTGGCTGAGGCAGGAGAATGGCATGAACCCAGGAGGCAGAGCTTGCGGTAAGCCGAGATGCGCCACACTGCACTCCAGCCTGGGCGAAAGAGCGAGACTCCGTCTCAAAAAAAAAAAAAAAAAAAAAAAAAAAAAGAACTAGTAAGAGAACTAGAATTAGAATGGAGCCTGAAGATGTGACTACATTATCGCAATTTTATGATAAGACTTTAATGAACTAGGAGTTCCTTCTTATGTATGAGCAAAGACAGTATTTTCTTGAGATGTAATCTACTTCTGGTGAAGATGCTGTGAACATTGTTGAAATGACCACAGATGATAAAGAATATTACATACACTTAGTTGTTAAAACAGCAGCAGAGTTTGAGAGAATTGACTCTCATTTTGAAAGTTCTCCTGTGGGTAAAATGCTATCAAACAGCATTGTGTGCCACAGAGAGATCTTTCATGAAAGGAAGAATCCACTGATGTCGATAACTTCATTGCCTTATTGTAAGAAATTGTCACAGCCACCACAGCCTTCAGCAACCACCACCCTGATTGGTCAATAGCCATCAACATTGAGGCAAGACCCTCTACCAGTTAAAAGATTACAGCTAGCGGAAGGCTCAGATGATTGTTAACACTTTTTAGCAATAAAGTATTTTAAAATTAAGGTATGCACATTTTTTTAGACATAATGCTATTGTACAACTAATAGGCTACAGTATAACAGTGTAAACATAACTTTTATATGTACTGGGAAACCAAAAATTGTGTGACTTGCTTTATTGTGATACTCACTTTATTCCAGTGGCCCATAACTGAACCTTCTATCTCAGATGTACACCTAGACATCTGTCAAAACCTATAAAATGTATGATACCAAGAGTGAATTCTAATGTAAACTATGGACTTTAGTTAACAAAATGTCAGTATTGGCTCATCTATTCTAACAGACATACCACACTAATGCAAGATGTTAAAAATTGGGGAGCTTTAAATAAAAGCAATTTTTAAATTACCAAAACAGCCAAAACCAGGGAAATCGAGGGAAGAGTGGGGATGATATGGGAACTTTGCTCTTTTTGCTTAATTTTTTTTTTTTTTTTTTTTTTTTTTTTTGAGACGGAGTCTTGCTCTGTCACCCAAGCCGGAGTGCAGTGGTGTGATCTTGGCTCACTGCAACCTCTACCTCCTGGGTTCGAGCTATTTCCCTGCCTCAGACTCCTGAGTAGCTGGGACTACAGACGTGAGCCACCACACCCAGCTAATTTTTGTATTTCTAGTAGAGAAGGGGTTTCAACATATTGGCCAGGCTGGTCTCGAACTCCTGACCTCAGATGATCTGCCCACCTCGACCTCCCAAAGTGCTGGGATTACAGGCGTGAGCCACCATGCCCAGCCTAATTTTTTTCTGTAAATGAAAACTGCTCAAAAGGCCAGGCACGGTGGCTCACGCCTATAATCTCAGCACTTTGGGAGGCCAAGGGCAGCAGATTGCTTGAGGCCAGGAGTTTGAGAACAACCTGGCCAACATGGTGAAACACCATTTCTACTAAAAATACAAAAAGCAGCCGATGTGATGGTAATCTCAGCTGCTCAGAAGGCTGAAGCATAAGAATTGCTTGAACACAGGAGGCGGAGATTGCAGTGAGCTGAGATCATGCCCCTGCACTCCAGCCTGAGTGACAGAGCAAGACTCCGGCTCAAAAAAAAAAAAAAACAAAAACAATAAAAAAACTACTCAAAAACTCAATCTTAAAAAAGTTACAACTATTTTTGCCTTTCTCTTGGCCCTGTTTTCAGAGTTACAGCCTGTTTAAATAATAATACTAAGACCTTAGATCATAGGTAATTGGATCCTCTGTAAGTTTTAAGATATATACAGTCGTGGCTTAAATACAAACTAACAATTTCACTTAGTAAAAGGGTAAGGAAAACTTCTTACTTTAAATTTTTTTAAATTCTAGAGTCCTGGTATTTTATTATTACTCTGTAAGTTGCCTTTATAAAAATTCTGAATGCAGTATGTTTAGTTGAAAAGTGCTGTGGAAGGAAGGGGAACATCACACACCAGGGCCTGTCGTGGGGTAGGGGGAGGGGGGAGGGATAGCATGAGGAGATATACCTAATGTAAATGACGAGTTAATGGGTGCAGCACACCAACATGGCACATGTATACATATGTAACAAACCTGCACGTTGTGCACATGTACCCTAGAACTTAAATAAAAAATAAATAAATAAATAAAAAGTGCTGTGGAAATATCCAATATGAACCATTAACCAACATTTAGGTTTTTCTGGTAATGTAATGCTTATCAGTCCTCTAAATCATTTGGTGTATCTCAAAACCTTCATTTTTAACAGCCACGTTAGTCACATATTCTATCATGCATATGTACTGTGATTTAATTATTTTCCTATTGTTGGACATTTGTTATAGCCAATCAATAATGTGCCTTCTAAAATGGCTACCTTAATATTTTAAAGAATGATGGCCATGTGTTGCCATCTCAGTATGAAAGGTCTATGACTCTATTATATATGCCAAATAGGGCCACGTGTTTTCAGTGAGAGACTGCTTTGGGGATAGTGGATCCTCCACCTAACTGTCCTTTTTTTTTTAAATTCTGCAGCCCAGCGTTAGAAGTGACTGCTAAGTCCCATGTATGTTAGTTAGAATTTGTCTTTATATGCCCCTCCATTCTCTGATATCTTATCAGCAGTTTCCGATAGCCATTTTTAGGTTTAAGGTTTTTGGTTTTTTGGGGGGCTTTTAAAAAAGATGTTAGCTCATGTCTTTTATTAACTCATAGACAATTACTTGTCTTCTGGTTTGTTGAAGCAGTAAGTCAGACAACATTTGCCACAATAATGTCTGTCAAAGTAGCTTGCCATAAACACTCCAGCACCATCTGAATGGCACTCTCGACAAAGGTGTCTAATTTTGCCATTCTCTTCCACCTTATAGTATTTCAGGACAGCCAGCTTCATCTTCTTTCTCTTGTGTTTATTATTCTTGGGAGTGGTGTAAGACTTCTTCCTTTTCTTAGCACCACCACAAAGTCTCAACCCAAGATGAAGAGTAGACTCCTTTTGAATGTTGTAGTCAGACAGAGTACCTCCATTTTCCAGTTGCTTGCCAGCAGAGATCCGTCTTTGCTGATCAGGAGGAATTCCTGGATTTTGGCCTTTACCTTTTCTATTGTGTCCGAGGGTTCAACCTTGAGGGTAGTGGTCTTCCCCGGAAGGGTTTTTACGAAATCTGCATTTTGGTGGCAGCTCCACCACAGATGGCAGATGGAAAAAAAAAAAAAAGTAGTTTTAGGTTTTTAACTGTAGTTAGGCAGAGTTAACAAACAAATAATTAACAGAGGAAAGAATCTCATGCGTGGGGAATTTGCAGGCACTTGCTAGGCTCTTAATAAATGTTTGAAGCATGAACAAGGATTAGGGAGGTAAAATTATGGACAACTTTTTTTCAGCATTTTCTTCTTTTATGTTATGATATAGTATGGAATAGATCTGGGTTCAGATATTTTTGCTACCACTTACCTTAGTCTTGGTTAACTCACAAGTTTTAATGCTTAATCAAGAGAAAATATGTTATACCAAAAAGTAGTTGAAAGATATGAGAATTATGTATATTGCACACGCTAGATAAACTTATGAATGCTAATTCAAGAGATTACTTGCTCACTCATATAGATGTTGCTGAGAATAATCTGAAGGTAGATATGCAGTAAGATATGCAATTTAAATATTAAATTGTTAATATAAATATAGAATGGGGTTTCAGGTAGAGAAAACAATTAAGTGTGTAAAACTTAGAATTTTAAATATAGCTTTGGCTTTACATCAGTTTTCCTTATATTTCTGGACCAGCATTGTAGAGAACATCATATGAAATTTCCAGCTTTTAAATATCTGCTTTAGTTTTGTTTTCTTCCTGCATTCTTATGCTTCTGATGTTCAGACTATCCTATATGTCTACTAATTATTACATTATATAATATATAACATGTTTATATATATTATATACTTGCCACATCATAATACTTGTTCTCTGTTTTTAAAATCTTATATTTTTCCCAGCCTAACTATTTTGTTATTATCCCTCAATATCTTGTCTGTTCTTTGTTAATTTTTTTTTTTTTTTTTACTCTATAACTCAGCAATCCCTTTTCCGGGCACATACCCAAAGGAAATGAAATCACCACTTTGTAAAGATATCTGCACTCCCATGTTCATTGCAGCATTATTTACAGTGGCCAAGGTATGGAAGCAACAAGTGTTTGTTGATAGATGAATGAATAAACAAACTGTGGTACATAGATAAAATGGAATATTATTCAGCCCTAAAGAAGAATGAGAACTTACCATTTTCCACATCATGGATGAGCCCGGAGGACATTATGCTAAGTGAAATAAGCCAGACACAGAAAGAAAAATAGTGTATGATCTCACTTATATGTGGAATAAAAAAAAATCAAATATAACAGAAATAGATGACAAAACAATGGCTATGGGGAGGGGGAAGCAAAGGAAATGGGGAGATGTAGGTTAGAGCATACAGAACAGATATATAAGATGAGCAAGTTGCCTCTTTTTCCGGCTGGAACCATGGAGGGTGTAGAAGAGAAAGAGAAGGTTCCTGCTGTGCCAGAAACCCTTAAGAAAAAGCAAGGGAATTTCGCAGAGCTGAAGATCAAGTGCCTGAGAAAGAAGTTTACCCAAAAGATGCTTTGAAAGGCAAGGAGGAAGCTTATCTGTGAAAAAGCAAAACACTGTCACAAGGAATATAGGCAGATATACAGAACTGAATTTTGAATGGCAAGGATGGCGAGAAAAGCTGGCAACTTCTGTGTACCTGCAGAACCCAAAATGGCATTTGTCCTCAGGATCAGAGGTGTCAGTGGTGTGAGCCCAAAGGTCCGAAAGGTGTTGCAGCTTCTTCGCCTTCATCAAATCTTCAGTGGAACCTTTGTGAAGCTCAACAGGCTTCAGTTAACATGCTGAGGATTGTAGAGCCATATATAGCATGGGGGTACCCAAATCTGAAGTCAGTAAATGAACTAATCTACAAGCGTGGTTATGGCAAAATCAATAAGAAGCGAATTGCTTTAACAGATAACACTTTGATTGTTCCATCTCTTGGTAAATATGGCATCCTCTGCATGGAGGATCTGATTCATGAGATCTATACTGTTGGAAAACACTTCAAAGAAGCAAATAACTTGCTGTGGCCCTTCAAATTATCTTCGCCATGAGGCGGAATGAAGAAAAAGACCATCCATTTTTATTTTATTTTATTTTATTTTTGAGACAGAGTCTCACTCTGTCACCCAGGCTGGAGTGCAGTGGCATGATCTCAGCTCACTGCAACCTCTGCCTCCCATGTTCAAGCGATTCTCCTGTCTCAGCCTCTGGAGTAACTGGGATTACAGGCGTGTGCCACCACACCTGGCTAATTTTTTTTTTTTTATTTTTGTTAGAGACAGGGTTCCACCATGTTGGCCAGGCTGCTCTCCAACTCCTGACCTCAGGTAATCCGCCCACCTCAGCCTCCCAAAGTGCTGGGATTACAGGCGTGAGCCACCGCGCCCGGCCGAGAGACCACCCATTTTGTAGAAGGTGGAGATGCTGGCAACAGGGAGGACCAGATCAACAGGCTTACTAGAAGAATGAAATAAGATGTCTACCATGATTATTTTTCTAAGCTGGTCAGTTAGTAAACAGTACCTGCTCTCAAATTGAAAAAAAAAAAAAAAAAAAAAGATGAACAAGTCAAGATCTAATGTGCAACATGAGGACTCCAGGTAATAAAATTGTACTGTATATAAGGGATTCGTGTTAAATGAGATTTTAGCTGTTCTTGCCACACAGAGAAAACAGATATGTGAGATGATGGATATGTTAATTTGCTTCATTATAGTAACCTTTTTACTATCTATCTATCTATCTATATATATATATCACATAACAGCATATGTGTATCTTAAATATACACAATGAAAGTGATTTTAAAAATTTTACCCTATAAAAAACAATATCACTTTTCATGTAAACACTGTTATTTTAGGATCTTGGAGTGAAAATATACTGGAATATTTTCTGAGAAATAGCCAGATTACAGCAGAAGACGGTGCTGAGATCACCTGGTATCATGCAGCTAACCACAAGGCACAAACAAATGAGGCACTGAAAAGTAAGTCAGTACAGTTACTTGTAATTTACTTTGGATAATAGATTAATTCAACTCCTTTTTTGATATCTAGGTATATTTGCAGATACTAGAGACAGGTGATCCAAGTGTAAGTTCCAGGCTGACATGAGTATTTTATTTATTTTTATTTATTATTTAATTATTATTTATTCATTTTTAGAGACATAGTCTCTCTCTGTTGCCCAGGCTGGAAAACAAAGGTGTAATCACAGCTCATTGCAGGCTCAAACTCCTGGGCTCAGGTAATCTGTGAGCCATCACACCAGGCTGAACATTTTTATAAAGTGTTTCATTTTGTTTACAAAATGGACAAATTGCATAATGAAAGAATTTTCTTATTTTCTAGAAGCAATTTGCCTGTTATGTCTGATTCGAAACTCTCATATATTATTATATTTTCTTATGTATGTAGTGATTTGAGTAAAACTTTTAAGATCAGGACCATGTATCTTACATATTTTTATGTCTTTCATCATGTACTAATGAGAAACCCACTCAATATTTGTTCAATGGATGGATGAAGGCATTGTATACCAATTTATAATTAATAAATAATTGGGCAATATTTATGCCTAAGCTAGAAATCAAGTCTTTGGTTTACTGATTCAACCTGTAATCATTGTATGTATATCCCTTCATTATACAGATGAACATTATAGCAGTGTTTCTCAGCCTTTTCCTATAAAGTGCTCATGTTGGCTGCAGCAGGAAAGGAGAAAGAAAGCATATCACTACAGGGCCGGGGCAGAGCTTGCAGTATCTGGTCCAACAAGAAATTACCTTGAAATTCCATATTTTATTATAAAAGTGTATGCATTTTTGCATCCTAATTCATTATATATCTCAGCTTCTTTTATTGTCAAAACACTGTTTTAAATTGTATTTTTCTCCTCAAAAGGAAGAATTTTGTCTTGTTTCATGTTGAATCCTTAATGCCTGAAACAGTGCGTAGCATATAATAACTACACAGTGATTATTTAGTAAATGAATTTTAGCAAAATTGATGCCTCAGGAAATGGTTGCTTAATGATTGTCAGGAACTGTAAGGAGTCAATGCTAATGAGTACAGGGTTTCTTTTTTGGATGATGAAATTTTTCTAGAATTAGAGAGTGGTTATAGTTACATAACCTTCTGAATACGCTAAATAAAAACCACTAAAGGGTTCACTTTAAAAGGGTGAATTTTATAGTATGTAAATTATGTCTCAGTTTTTAAAAATGAAAAAAATGATAGGAAAGGAAGAAATAAAACCTTTATTCACAGACAGTATGATTGTGTTTATAGAAAACAAAAAAGATTCTATAGATAAATGATCATAATAAATAGGTGAACTTAGAAAATCTCAGGATGTGGTCAGGGCGGTGGCTCATGCCTGTAATCCCAGCACTTTGGGAAGCCAAGTTGGGTGGATCATTTGACCCCAGGAGTTGAAGATCAGCTTAGGCAACATAGTGAGACCCTGTCTCTACAAAAAATAGAAAAATTAGCCGGGCATGGTGGCATGTACCTGTAGTCACAGCTACTCAGGAAGCTGAGTCAGGAGGATCGATTGAGCCCAAGAGCTGGAGGCTGCAGTGAGCTGTGATTGCACCATTGCACTCCAACCTAGGTGACAGAGTGAGGACCTTGTCTCAAAAAAAAAGAAAGAAAGCAAAGAAAAGAAAATCTCAGGATTCAAGGTCAAAATAGAAAATAAATTCTGTTTTTTTCTAATAACTGAAAATCTAGAAATACAACTTAAAAAATTTTACAATTTGTATAATAATAGTATATACAAAGCCCTTTTGCCATCATAGCCTGGGGATGGTGAAAAGTTACTTTTGCTATGCTGAACAGGAGTTGATGAAGCAAGGCAAAGTCTGGCCATGGTCACAAGCTGGAGCTCCTGTGGGTGAGGCAACGTATGCCTTGATATACAGACTTCCTCCTCTTGCTGTCCCTGTTATATGAGACTATTAGAACCATGCAGTCTCCCAAGCAGAAGTGTGCCCTGACTTTTAAAAGTCTTCTACCCACAGGCTATGGATGGAAGACTAGGGAGAGGGGCTGGGCAGCTTCTGTATCTTCTGTGTCTCCAGGCCAGGTCTCCCTCTCTTGTTAGGACTGTTAATATTAGTCCATCCAACTGCTTATTGATGTTTCCACTTAGAGATCTCTCATGCGTCTCAAATTTACGTTATCCGAAATGAGATTCTTGACTATATTTACTAACCTGCACTTCCTGTGATCTTTCTTGTCTCAGGAAATGGCACCACAATCTACTTAGATGTTTCAACCAGAAATCTAGGAGTCATTTTTTCGCTCCTTTCTTTATTCTTGTATCTAATATCCAATCATTATGATTCTATTCCAAAATACATTTTGAATTAGTCCACATCTTTCTTTCCATCTTTCTTATCATTATCCTAGAAGCCACCAGGATTTCTTGCTCATACTGCTGTAGTTCCCCCTTTTTTTTCATGTAGGAGACCTTAGGAACATACTTTACATGGGCCCAGAGACTCCTCAACTTGCCCATTTACTGATTTTTTTTCTATCTATTGGAAATAATGGAATTAGCAGACTGCGACTATTACTCTTTTTTTTTTTTTTTTTTTTTTTTTGAGATGGAGTCTTGATCTGTCGCCAGGCTGGAGTGCAGTGGCACGATCTATGCTCACTGCAACCTCTGCCTCCCGGGTTCAAGCCATCCTCCTGCCTCAGCCTCTGAGTAGCTGGGACTATGGGCATGTGCCACCATGCCCAGCTAATTTTTGTATTTTTAGTAGAGATGGGGTTTCACCATGTTGGCTAGGATGGTCTCCATCTCCTGATCTCCTGATCTGCCCTCCTTGGCCTCCCAAAGTGCTGGGATTAGACTATCACTCTTAAATGAAAGATTCCAAGCTTTTGTGCCCCTTTATAACCACACTGATAAAGGAGACCTACAACCCCCTTCCCCAACTTCATCCTGGGAAAATAATAAAAGACTAGATCATCTATCTTTCTGCAAATTCACTTGCCCTGTTGTCCTTGCAGAAGTTTGGCCATAGGGTGAAAGAACAACTTCTCTGTATCTGCCCTCCCCCTGGCGAGATAAGCCACACAAACATCAGGACTCAGCACTATTCACATGGTTGAAGAATTCCACCTTTGGCAGAGGGCTGGAAGCTGTTTGGATAGTACCTGGACATTGCTTAGAATTGCATTTGATAGAGAATAAAAGGAGTATAAAACTCTTTGATTGGTCTTGGTGTTTTGGTGTTTATTTCTTTATTTTTATTTTTTGTAGAGAGTCTGGTCCCAAACTCCTGGCTGCAAGCAGTCCTCCTGCCTCAGCCTCCCAAAGTGCTGGGATTACAGGTGTGAGCACCACACCCAGCCATTTTGTTATTTTATGCTTTGCCTCACTGTAATTAAAAGATCCTAAATATGGTATAGCTTAGAGAAGAGAGACATAGCAAACATCCATTGAGTTCTTTTTTTTTTTCTTTTTTGAGACAGAGTCTCACTCTGTCACCCAGGCTGGAGTGCAGTGGCACGATCTCGGCTCACTGCAAGCTCCGCCTCCTGGGTTCACACCATTCTCCTGCCTCAGCCTCCCAAGTAGCTGGGACTGCAGGCACCCGCCATCACGCCTGGCTAATTTTTTGTATTTTTAGTAGAGACGGGGTTTCACTGTGTTAGCCAGGATGGTCTCGATCTCCTGACCTCGTGATCTGCCCGCCTCGGCCTCCTAACTTGCTGGGATTACAGGCGTGAGCCACCGCACCCAGCCACATCCATTGAGTTCTTACTACATCACCAGTCCCCTTTTCTTTCTTCCTATAAGAATTTTTTTTTTTTTTTTTTTTTTTTTGAGACAGAGTCTCGCACTGTCATCTGGGCTGGAGGGAAATGGCACAATCTCGGCTCACTGCAACCTCTGCCTCCTGTATTCACGTGATTCTCCTGCTTCAGCCTCCCGAGTAGCTGGGATTACAGGCTCACACCACCACACCCGGCTAATTTTTTGTATTTTTTGTAGAGACGAGATTTCACCGTGTTGGCCAGACTGGTCTCGAACTCCTGACCTCATGATCCGCCTGCCTTGGCCTCGCGAAGTGCTGGGATTACAGGTGTGAGCCACCACGCCCGGCCAAGAACTTTACTTTTATTAAGGTATCCATTTCTGCTCCATACAAGCATATGGAAACTGGTTCCATTTGTAGCTCCAGGGGTGCATTACAATAAGTTAATCAGCACTTGAAGTTTTCCTGATGATTCATATTGCTCCCATGGTGGGCAAGTGATCAAACTGGGCTCAATTAGACTCAAGTAAAGTAATTATAATTACCAAAGAAGTTTTATATCTTAAAATTGAAGTATGTGAACATGAAAATATGTAGCCCTAGTGATTATTGGTAGCTGTCTTAAAATCATGAGATGAAATTAGCCTTACGATGAAGACGACACCAAGGACAGTGAAGAAAAGAGACATAAAGATCACAATAACATCACTGAGCTGCTGATTGTACCACACTTAAAGCTCACCTGACCCCTGGACTTTTAGTTATTTGAGATGATAAATCTACTAGCTTGAATCTGAATTTCTATTTATTTGCCGCCAGAAGCATCCAGTAGATCTATGAGTCCATCCTAATTGGATAGATTATTTTCCCTGCTTCCACACTTGCCCCTGTCTATTTTATTTTCCACCCAGCATCCAAAGTGGTATATTTAAACATAAATCAAGCCTCTTTATTGGTCTCAAATGGTGTTCCATTTAAAATCTTTAATATAATTGCTAGATAGAAACATGTTTGGTTCTACTGCTCTGGTTTCCAAGAGGAGAGATTTTTTTCCCTAAAGGCTTTGACCTCTTGCCTCACTGTTTATTTCTCTCATAGAGGTTGAGAGATTGTTTTGATTTGTAGTTCTTGACTGGGTGGAGCTAATCTATCAAATGCACTAGGCCAAGCAAGGTGGCTCACGCCTGTACTCCCAGCACTTTGGGAGGTCGAGACCAGCCTGGCCAACATGGTGAACCTCCGTCTCTACTAAAAATACAAAAATTAGCTGTGCATGGTGGTGCATGCCTGTAGTCCCA
Organism: Homo sapiens; assembly: GCF_000001405.40. Taxonomy (NCBI): domain Eukaryota; kingdom Metazoa; phylum Chordata; class Mammalia; order Primates; family Hominidae; genus Homo; species Homo sapiens. The sequence goes on from NC_000005.10 coordinate 80,507,005, forward strand.
GCTATTTGGGAGGCTGAGGCAGGAGAATTGCTTGAACCCAGGAAGCAGAGGTTGCAGTGAGCCAAGATCATGCCACTGCACTCCAGCCTGGGTAACAGGGTGAGACTCCATCTCAAAAAAAAAAAAAAAAAAATGTGCTGGACAAGGGAGTGAGCTCTTCTCTTCCACTGGGAAGCAGCCATCTGGATATTTGTATTTGTTAGAACTTTGCTTCAAAGGGGCTGTTCCAAGATTTGGACTAGAGGGTGACTGTGGCAGTTAGCAGGTAGCAGGCACAGGCTTATTTAGTTCTCAACTAAGCTGTGTCCTCTGACCTAGCTTTAGAGGTAATACAAGTATACTTTGATCCCTGTCTACTTAACTTGGCTATTTTATTTCTCAAGATCCACTTGGAGGCCAGGTGTGGTGGTTCACGCCTATAATCCCAGCACTTTGGGAGGCCAAGGCAGGTGGATTGCTTGAGACCAGGAGTTTGAGACCAGCCTGGGCAACATGGAGAAACCCCGTCTCTACTAAAAATACAAAAATTAGCTGGGCATGGTGGTGCATGCCTGTAATCCCAGCTACTTGGGAGGCTCAGGCAGGAGAATTGCTTGAACCCAGGAGACAGAGGCTGCAGTGAGCTGAGATCATGCCACTGCATTCCAGCCTGGGCGACAGAACGAGACTCTGTCTCAAAACAAACAAACAAAAAACAGATCCATTTGGAGAAAGGGGTGCTATTTATTGGCATCTTCAAACTACTTCAATAACCTGAAGGGCCTGCACAGACTGGCCTGTGTCTCCAAGTCCACCTTCACAGTGTTTTCACATTCCTAGAAATTCCCACACTGGCCTCACAGCAGTGCCTTGCATGGCTACGCTCCCTCCTCCTTGGGCTGTCACACACATTCTTTCCTGGAAAGCTCTTTTCCCCACACTCTGCCTTGCTAACCCCTTAAGCTGATCCTTTGGTATCGGCTGAATTGTCACTTCCTCAAAAAGACTTTTCCTGACTCCAGAATCAAAATTCAGGGAAGCACCTTCCTATGTGGCCTTTTGTGACTGGCTTCTTCAATTAGTATGTTTTCAAAGTTCAGCTGTTTTCTAGTGTGTATCAGTTCTTTATTCCTTTTTATGACTGAATCATTTTTGTATGTAGATATACCACATTTTGTTTATCCATTCATCAACTGGTAGACATTGGTTGTTTCCCTTTTTTGCTACTATGATTACTGCTGCTATGAGCATTCACATACAGGTGTTTTTGTAGACATGTGTTTTCAGTTCTCTTGCTTATATGTCTAGGAGTAGAATTCCTGGGTCACATGGTAACTATATGTTTAACTTTTTAAAGAACTGCCAAACTTTTCCAAAGTGCCTGCTCCTTTTTACATTCCTCCTAGCAGTGTGGATAAGGGTTCTAGTTTCTCCACATCTTTGCCAACACTTGTTATTGTACTTTTTTTTTTTAATTATAGCCAGCTAAGTGTATATGAATTGGTATCTCATTGTGGTGTAGATTTGCATCCCCTAAAGACTAATGCTGGTGAGCATCTCTTTGTGTGCTTTTTGGAAATTGGCTTATATTTGCAGCTGAGTAGCTTTCTTAGCCTGTTCCCTGCCTGTAGAAATTTGGGAGCCCACAGACCTCTTTTCGTTTTGAACTATCTCTGTCCTTTTGTGTCCAAGTAGTTATATCTCCCTTAAAAATATAGTGGGCTTTTAATATATTAAATTTAATCAGAAGCCACACCCCCGTCTCTTTGAGGTAGACCTCTCTCTACTTTGGTATGCAAGTTAAGGTGCAGTGGACAACACCCTTAAGATTCCAGAAGATTCCATATCTAGCTATGTGGCTACATGAGGCACCTTCTTTCTGAGGGCTTAATAAAGGGTCATATGGTTGTACCCTTGGCTTGATATTGACACTGAGGCCATGTTTTACTGGTGCTATGGTTTGAATGTTTGTTCCATCCAAAACTCATGTTGAAATTTTTTTTTTTAAGAGACAACGTCTCACTCTGTCACCCAGGCCGTAGTGCAGTGACGCAATCACAGCTCACTACAGCCTTGACCTCTTAGGCTTAAGCGATTCTCCCTCCTCAGCCTTCTAAGTAGCTGGGACTACAGGCGTGTGCCACCAGCATGCCTGGCTAATTTTTTTTTTTTTCCAGTAGAGATGAGGTCTCGCTATGTTGCCCAGGCTGGTCTTGAACTCCTATGCTCAAGTGATCCTCCTGCCTCTGGCTCCCAAAGTGCTGGGATTACAGGAGTAAGCCACCACTCTGGCTTCATGTTGAAATTTAATTGCCAGTGTAACACTGCTGCGAGGTGATTAGGCCATGAGGGGTCCACCTTCATGGGTGGGTTTAATGCCATATTTAAAGGACTTTGGAAAGTGGGTGTTCTCTCGCTCCGCCTTCCACCAGATGAAAATGCAGTGAGAAGGCCCTCTTTAAGTATCAGCACTTTGATATTGGATTTCCCAGCCTCCAGAATGGTGAGCCAATAAATGTCTGTTTATTATAAATTACCCAGTCTGTGTTATTCTGTCATCACAGTATAACACAGACTAAGACAGGCAACACCCTAGATTTAAATTTTGGCCCGAGACTGTCTCTTACTTTGAGAATCTCTTGCCAGCTGGAGAGGACAGGAATAAGAAACAGTTTTATTTTCAAATTCAGAAAGTCCTGATTTGGAAATATTTTCTCTATATGCTGCTGAAAATCTGAAACGTTAATTATTTAGCTTAGCTCTTTCTTCTCATTCTTTATTATAAGCAGTTAAAAGAAGCCAGTTGCCACTTTCACCATTTCCCCTGGAAACCTCTTTAGCCAAATACACAGGTTCACTGGGTATCCTGTCTATCTTCCACCAGTTGCTACAGTGACAGTGTTGCCAGAAGTTTTACCACTATGGAAAACAATAAAATGAGCTTATTGTTCTCAAGCTTCCAGTAAGAATTTCTGCACTGCTCTTCCAGCTTCCATGAACAGTTCCCTCCTTGCCTTTCTTAGCCTCCACCAGGTCACAAAGCCAATGCCACATGTTTCAGGTTTTTGATATGGCAACACTCCACTTCCAGCTACCTATTGCTTTTTATCTATTGCTGTGTAATAGAATACCCAAAAATGAGTGACTTAAAATAGCAGTGCTGTATTTTTTTCTGATGATTTTATGGGTCAGCTGGTGGTTCTGTTGCATGTAGTACGGGCTTAGGACGTTCATGTAGCTGCATTCAGCTGGGTGCCCAGCTGGGCCTGGAAATTCTAAAATGACCTCACTCATATGTCAGTGGCCTTAATGCTCTCTGTCAGATAGGAAGTCTTAGTTCTCCTCCACGTGGCTTCTCTCTCTCTATGTGGTCTCTCAGTCTTCGGTAATCTTGCATGAATGTCTTTACATGGTGGCTGGATTTCAAGAGTAAGAAAACTGAAGGTGCCAGCAGTTTTAAAGGCTAGGCCTAGAACTGACAGTTTTATTTCCACTACCTTCTGTTGGTCAAAGCAGATCACAAGTGGTGCCAATCATAATCCCAAAAGACACAATCCCAAATGCCATATCCCAAGTGTTGAAATGCTGAAAGATCAAAATCCATAGCCTAAAATCCTTAATATCTAATTGAATCCCCAAACTATAATGATAGATTTAGAATTAGGTGCAATCAAGGCTTATAAGAGTGAATTTCAAGTTGTTACCAGTAAAGTTTGTCTTTTTCATTCAGCCTGATGCCTTTAACAGAAAACTCAGATGAGTGGATTGGTCACGTGAGATGGCAGTGACAAAAACTTCAGTTTAAAATGCCTTATGGATCTGTATTGGCATTCCTTCCCGCTGATGAAATTCTAGGAGCTTTTAGTAAATTAAAGCTGCATTTGCATGAAGAAGCCAGAGAAATTACTGACTGGTTTGAAGATAATGACGTGCATGGTCGGATAAGAAGACATGCCCTGGAGTTGCTGTTTGACCATCAGTATTGTTTCCACCAAATTTGTGATCTGCATATAAGTGCATGTGAAATGGATTTCCACATACCCAAAACAGCATAGAAACATGGCACAGAAGATCGGAAAGTTTAATAGGGAATACTCATGCAGGTGCATATCAAATCATAGAAGAAGTTGAGAAAAAACAGCGCCACATAGAAAATGAATCTGAATGTATCCTCCAAGGAGACTCATGCCCTAAAAGAAAAAATGTGGCCGGGTGTGGTGGCTCTCACCTGGAATCTTAGCACTTTGAGAGGCAGAGGTGAGAGAATCATTTGAGTCCAGGAGTTTGAGACCAACCTGGGCAACACAGTGAGACCTCATCTCTACTAAAAATTTAGAAAAATTAGCAGGGTGTGGTGGTGCATGCTTGTAGTCCTGGCTACTCAGGAGGCTGAGGCAGGAGGATCCCTGGAGCCCAAGAGTTTCAGGTTGCAATAGAGTGAGACTCTGTCTCAAAAAAAAAAAAAAAAAAAAAAAAAGGAAAGAAGAAAGCAACTATTTATTGCAGTGCAGGTTGGCCACCTCTTATGGAGTACACTTGTGCGATTACCTGTCATCTATCCCACTTTTTTCATGTGTCAAAGCTTCTTTTTCGTTTTTGCCCACTATTTTATTATTTATCTTTAAAAAAAATTTTTTTTTGAGACAGGAGTCTTGCTCTGTTGGCCAGGCTGGAGTGCAGTGGCACAATCTCAGCTCACTGCAACTTCCGCCTCCTGGGTTCAAGTGATTCTCCTGCCTCAGCCTCCTGAGTAGCTGGGATTACAGGCGCCTGCCACCACACTTGGCTAAATTTTGAGTTTTTAGTGGATACGGGGTTTCTCCATGTTGGCCAGGTTGGTCTCAAACTCCTGACCTCAGGTGATCTGCCTGCCTCAGCCTCCCAAAGTGCTAGGATTATAAGCGTGAGCCACCATGCTTGGCCATTTCCACTATTTTAAATGGTCAGCATTGTTTTTTATAATTCACTATGCTACATAATTCATCTTTGCATTGTTTCTGGTATTGGAGGTATAGATTGTATAAAGACTCTTAGAGTGTTCTAATTTGTTTTATGCATTTTTTTCAAATTTGACTCCACAGAGCTGCATTTTCACAACATTGACTTTGTGTGTAACCATTGCGCTTATTGATAAAAACGTTGAAACTTTCACAGGAAATGAAGAGATATCCATTTGTACATCTGCATTTGTGAAAGATAAAATTTCTCAAGATCACAGTTCTTTGGGTGACTATGTGTATGATGGCAACCCATCACAGTTTTTGACTGATCTTGTCAAAAGACTTAGGTTGTTCATCAAGTTATTTCAGATGACTGCAGTTATTTAAGCTATTTCTTTATGATTACAGTTCATTTGCTCATGTTATATCTCTGAACTGATTAATATACCTGGGTGTTTATGCTTGCAAAAATGTGTGTTATTATTGCCTATTTTATTGTGTAAAGTGGCCTCTGAAGTGTTCTGCCATGTTTTCATAGGTTTCTCAAATAAATGCCCTTTTAAAAATGAACAGGATTGGCACAGTGGCTCATGCCTGTAATCCCAGCACTTGAGGAGGCCAAAGCAAGATTACTTGAGCCCAAGAGTTCACGACCAGCCTGGGCAACATAGTGAGACCCTGTCTCTACAACAGATATTTTTTAAAAAAATCAGCTGGGCATGGTGGCACACACCTGTAGTCCTAGCTACTCAGGAAGCTGAGGCGGGAGGATTGCTTGAGCTCAGGAGGTCAAAGCTTCGGTGAAGTATAATGCTGCTACTGCATCAGCCTGGATGACAGGGTAAGACCCTGTTTCTAAAAAAAAAAAAAAAGAAATTTAAAAAAATGTAAGTAAATGCATTTTAAAGAATTTTTAAAATTATTTTTTCCAATATTTTCAGGATTTTGATCTTTTGGGATTGTGATTTTGGGGATTTTAGACTTTAGGGATTTTGATTTTCTGGGATTTCAAAATTCGAGATTATGGCATTTGGGGAATTACGGCCCCAACCCATCACAAGACCTGCCCAGCTGAAGAGGCAGGGAAGAGGATGTTGATGGGAAGAGCGGTATGCATGTCCTGGAGGAGTTGTTGGCAGCCATCTTGGAGTCAGTCTGTCACAGCCTGCTGAACATACTTACACCATGTCTGCTGAAGCTCCTTACCTGTTCAAAGGATGTATGCTTTTAAGCAGTAACTAAACCGTAAGTCAAAGAAGTGAATTTTTAATGTAGATTTTCAAACATGAGCAATGAATATCCATAATTTCTAATTTGAGGAGTGAGAAGATAAAAGTACGATTTTTATTCCCAGAAAGCTTCAGCAAATACTTATTAAGCCTTTCATTATGTATGTACTTTGCTGGTATTAGAAAGAAATTCAGAATTTGTATGTCAACAGCTTAAGATCTGTGTAACTTAGGGAAAGTCATTTAACTTCTTGACATCTGTTTGCTAATCTAAAAAATAGGGAGAATGTGTACGGACCTTGTATACTGCCTGGCATGGGATAATCGCTCACTGAGTGTTACTTTTCTTTCCTTTTTTTTTATCTTCCTCAAAAGGATACTGAACATGGTGCCTCCTGTAGTTCTGTGCCCTGTTTTCTTAGCATTAACTGAAGTTCTTTTATTTGGACAGGTACTGCTCACATGATAGAGGCTGATGTCCTTCTTCCAAGTGATGGATCAGAACACAGCCAGCCAATTATGGCCCATCCCCCTGAAACAAACAGTGATAATACTCTACAGGAGTGGCTGACTGAAGTTATGAAAAGCAATAAAGGCATCAAGCTGGATTTCAAAAGGTATTTGTATAAACACGTTCAATTTTCTGGGAAAAAAGTAATAGCTGTGCCTGACTACCTATTTTTTTTAATGTTATCCAAACTGAAAATGGAATTGTAGACTCTAATATATTTCAGGACTGAACCTAAATGAACCTAAGACCCACTGAGTTATTTACTAAAATTGTTTTTTGGAGACCCTTAAAGGCAAAAGTTAGATTAATTTTTATAAAGGAATTTATCATAAGTGACCATCGTGACAACAGAAAGGTAAATTAAAAATGCTACATATGTTAAAAAGTAACCCAGGAGAGAGAGAGCTGGGAGAAATTCATTGAGCTAGTTAATGCATACCCTATTTGATTTATGTTATTATATTTGTAAAGGGAATTATTTAGAATTCTCCAATAACCAAAGTGTTTCTTAAAAATAATGCTTGGAGGCAGCCGGGCACAGTGGCTTCAGCCTGTAATTCCAGCACTTTGGGAGGCTGAGGTGGGCGAATCAACCGAGGTCAGGAGTTTGAGACCAGCCTGACCAAAATGGCGAAACGCCACCTCTACTAAAAATACAAAAATTAGCCAAGCATGGTGGTGGGCGCCTGTAATCACAGCTACTGGGGAGGCTGAGGCAGGAGAATTGCTTGAACCTGGGAGGCGGAGGTTGCAGTGAGCCGAGATCACGCCATTGAATTCCAGCCTGGGCTACAAGAGTGAAACTCCCTCTCAAATAATAATAATAATAATAATAATAATAATAATAATAATAATAATATTTGGAGGCATTAATACTGAAGAGCAAGAGTAAGCTGTCATTTCCTTCACTGTGGCCATCACAGGAAATTTTACTTTTGTAGTATTTTAGCAGTGTAAAAATGATAAAGAAAGCCAGAAATATACAGCAACACTTCAGAAGCACACTGTAAAGCTTATGAAGGCAGCTGCTATTGAAATCTAGGATTGGCAGTAAGCCTACTTCATCTCTGAGTAATATTTTTAAATAGAATTATCTCAAGAAATTAATAAGGACTTGGAATCTTGTAGGATTCTTAAGATGACTCTAACCATTTGTTATGGGGCAAAATATACCAGTAAACCTTATTATACCGTTAGTGAATGAATAGATGTATAAAATCTTGATATACAGGAGTTTGGATTGACAGGGTCTTGTGAATTAAAGAACTATCTTAAGATCATAAACTTTTTTTTCGACCGGGCACGGTGGCTCACGCTTGTAATCCCAGCACTTTGGGAGGCCAAGGCGGGTGGATCACCTGAGGTTAGGAGTTTGAGACCAGCCTGGCCAACATGGTGAAACCCCTTCTCTACTAAAAATACAGAAAATTAGCCAGGCATGGTGGTGCGCACCTGTAATTCAGCTACTCGGGAGGCTGAGGCAGGAGAACCTCTTGAACCCAGGAGGTGGAGGTTGCAGTGAGTTGAGATTGCGCCACGGCACTCCAGCCTCGGCAACAAGAGCAAAACTCTGTCTCAAAAAAATAAATAAATAAATAAATAATAAAAAATCATAAACTTTTTGAGTTATCAATGGTTCAATTTCATTTTATTGACAAAGAAACTTAGTTCCAGAGAGGTTAAGTGATGTACCTGAGGGTAACAGGTAAGCTTTGACAGGTAAGCTACAACCAGATCCTAATTCTCCTGAAGCCAGTCCAGTGTTCTCTATATCATGAAATAAAGCATTTGATCTTTAGTGCTTGATGGCTTAAACTTTTAGATCTCCTTGATGTCACGTGCTCAGTTTTTCATGTTTACTATTGCCCCTTGAATTGTTTCCTGGGACATATTCTTTGGCTTCTCACCAGTCAGATCAGCTCATTCATTCTTAAGTGCTAGCAGCTAGCACAAAAGCGCTGAGCCTCTGAAACAAAGATTTTGCAAGTTTTTTTTAAAGTCATAACATATTTGAAGGGGATTCAATATAAACTAATAGGTATGTGAACACCTATTACATGTCAGACACTGTTGTAAAAGCATTGCATGTATTTTTCATTAAATTCTCGTAACAATCCTAAGAGGTAGGTTATTGCTGTTATTCTCATTTTCCGGATGAGGCAATGGAGATGGAGGGGCTGAGGAGCCCGCTTGTCACGTAGTTGTTAGTGGAACTAGAGAGCTGTCAGCCTGGCTGGAGAGTTCACACTTTTAACCAGAATGCTGCACTCACTCCCTTTGTAAGAGCAGCTGAATGACCTGTTAGTTAAGTTTTAGTAGTTCTTGTTTTGTGCTTCTAAGTTACTTTGTTTGGTACACAAATAAAAAGTATTATATTTTGGCTGGGCGCAGTGGCTCATGACTATAATCCCAGCACTTTGGTAGGCCAAGGTGGGCGAATCACCTGAGGTCAGGAGTTCTAGACCAGCCTGACCAACATGGAGAAACCCCGTTTCTACTAAAAATACAAAATTAGCTGGACGTGGTGGCACATGCCTGTAATCCCAGCTATTCGGAAGGCTGAGGCAGGAGAATCACTTGGACCCGGGAAGCGGAGGTTGCAGTGAGCCGAGATCATGCCATTGCACTCCAGCCTGGGCAACAAGAGTGAAACGCCATCTCAAAAAAAAAGTATTATATTTTTAAATTTTATCTGGAGTCTCAGCAAGCTCTTCAGCGTTTTAGCTAAGAATTATTTTCCCTTAAACAATGCAATTTTATATAGTTTGTTACAATTTTAAGTACGATATTTATTTTATCATTCCCAATTTTTAAATGAAATTAATAGGAAAACAGGGTATGATATTTAGAAGTTTGATTTACAAATAACTTTTTAGGAAAAAAATATATTCTATAATAACTAAGTTTATATTCTTTTCAGGAGACTTAAATAAATACCACCAAGGAGCAATTTTCAGTAGTAGTCTCACCAGGACTTTCCTCTTCGGATGATCATCTTGGTGAAGCTTTGGTACTTCCTTATGGAAACTTAGTACTAATATATGTAAGAATTGAGAATGTTGGCCACTGTATTTTAAATTAGAATCACATGGAATTTATAGATTAATTTAGAAGGATGTGTCATTTTATAATACATGCAATATTGAGTCTTCCAGGCTTGGTCTGTTATTTCTTGTAGTATACAGTAGTCCTCTGTTATCTGCAGTTTCAGTAACCTGCAGTACACCATGGTCTAAAAGTGTTAAATGGAAAATTTGAGAAATAAACAATAAGTTTTAAATTACACACCATTCTGAGCAGTGTGGTGAAATCTGGTACTTTCCTATTCCATCCCAGCTGGGGTGTGACTCATCCCTTCCCTTCGTCCAGCGTATCCACACCATATATGCTGCCCACCTGTTAGTCACTTAATAGCCGTCACAGTTATCAGATTGACAGATCACAAGAAGAAGGGTGAGTACGGTACAGTATGCTATTTTGAGAGAGAGAGAGAGACCACATTCACATAACTTTTATTATAGTATATTGCTATAATTGTTCTATTTTATTACTAGTTTATGTTGCTAATCTCTTACTGTGACTAATTTATAAATTACACTTTATCAGAGATAGGTATGTGTAGGGAAAAAAAACAGACTACATATAGGGTTGGGTGCTAGGTAGTTTCAGGCATCCCTTGGAGGTCTTGGAACATATTCCCTGCAGATAAGGTGGACTACTGTAGATTTTATTTTGTTGTTTAGGAAAGTTTGTTCTCAGTTCTTTTTTCTCCCACAAAATGTTACACCTTTTCTTCCAGAAGAACTTTAGAATTACTTCGTCAAGTTTTAGAAAATAAGAACTACAACAACAAAAAGTTTTTGGTTCTTTAGTGAGGTTTTAAATTTGTTTAACCGCAGATTTTAAGTTTCTGGTAAGGGAAAATATCATTATCCTTCGTCTACATTAGTGATAATTAAAATATTTACATATAAAATGGAATAAATGTACTAAATTCTTGCTTCACTGTGTTCTTTGTCATAGTTCCTTATGTTTAACTGCACAGTGCTTCGCATGTAGTAGGCACTTAGTAAACACTGGTGGAATTTCGATTTGTGGGAGAATACGCTGTTTGAAACTGGATATTGGCCAGGTGCGGTGGCTCATGCCTGTAATCCCAGCACTTTGGGAGGCCGAGGCAGGTGGATCACTTGAGGTCAGGAGTTCAAGACCAGCCTGGCCAACATGGTGAAACCCCATCTCTACTGAAAATACAAAAATTAGCTGGGTGTGGTGGCGCATGCCTATAGTCCCAGCTACTTGGGAGGCAGAGGCAGGAGAATGGCTTGAACCCGGGATGCAGAGGTTACGGTGAGCAGAGATCGCACCGTTGCACTCCAGCCTGGGTGACAGGGCGAAACTCCATCTCAAAGAAAAAAAAAAAAAAAAAAAGAAACTGGATATTATCAGATGAAGAATCAATCTTAAACCACTCACTCTATGTCAACTTACTAAATTGAGAAAGCCTAAAAGGCTCCCTCCTGAAATGTAAACTGGAAATTAGTATTTAACCCAGCTTCCATAAGACACCAGATTTCTTAAGAAATCAGAGTCCTTTTTGGAAAAAGAGGAGCTTGGCAGGAGGCATGCATGGATTAGTTCAAGGTTTTTCCTTACTCCACCCATGAAGAGCAGCACCTCATGGGGACTTGGCTGCTGCTATGGGACTGACAGACAAGCAAGCTTTGGAGTCACAGGTACAAGTTGCTTGCTACGAAAAATGGAATTTTGTAGGAAGTACAGTGTTGGATCTCAGAATTGTGGTTTTAACATGGTGTTGACACAGGGCAAGGCAGGGAGAATTTAAAAGAGACAAATGACAACATCTAAATTAATGTCTGCAGAGTCCAGCATTAAGGTTTATTAATCCACTAAAATCTAGGCCCTCCCCAATTCAGGGGCAGAAGAGTGAGAAGGAAGCGTACCACATGGCAGCAGAGGGAAAGGGGCTAGAAGCTAAGGGATAGAGCCTGGGTTCCTCTGGTTTTAGTACATAGTATCCTTGCTCACTGGTAAACATAACCCAATAAATAATGAGATTATTTAAATTTCTTCTCTTAGAGTAGGAGGCCCAAAAGGAGTGGAGACAAGAGAGGTAGAAGCATAGACAGAAGTACTGCCGTCTCTTAGGAAGAGAGAGGGAAATGTGAGGAGGGGTCGGTGAGTGTTCTCCCCTCCAGTATCCATCTCCAAAATTCATAGCCTCCCATTATGATATTCACTACAAGGTAATTTTCTTATAAATGAACATAGGCAAGTAAAAATTATGGAAGCTGATTAAAACCTTATTGTTTCAAAGTCTGTAGTTATCAGCTAGAATATCTGTAGGGAAGTAAAAAGATTGAAGTTGCTTTTTAAATTTGAACTAAAATATACGTATTTCTAATTTTCAGAAAAGGTTCTTACAATAAAAGAAGAAAAATGAAACAGAAACTTGAAGGAAATACTATAATTTTATATTTTACAGTCATTTTTAGAATTGTTTATGTATCCAAACTCACCCAAGAATACATAAGGGAAAGAAGCTACTTTTATTCTCCAGGGTCATGAGCCTGAATTAGAGATACAGGGCTTGGATCCACTTGGGTATTTCATAAATGTGAATTTACAGGTTATTAAGTGTATTTCATTTATCTTATTTATACATTCTGGAACGAGTGAATATTTGTGTCTTTTAAAAAACTGTTTTCACACCAAGTGATCCTAATATGGAGTTTTGAAACCTCTATTTTGTCCACAAGTAGTACCACTATTCATATATTTATAGACTCTTTAAGGTATATTCATGAATAATAAGCACAGTTCAACATTTAGAGATATGGCATATGTTAGCTTTTCCCTCTGGTGCTATGCGATCTTTGATTTTATTTAACCCAGACATTATTGTATTTTGATTATGAATTTGAGAACATTGAGACCACTAGTCTAAAAGAACTTCTTTTTACTTTACCTAAAGAATCTATCTCATTGACAACAAATTATGTTTTTAGTCTGGCAGTTGTAGAACCATCCATGATGCTCTTGGAAAATGTGAAGAGGCATCTGAAGCGTCCTGTATGGATTAATGCCGATATTCTTCCTGGTCCAAATGGAAATAGCAAAGTAATAGATGCAAAACCATTTTTAGACACCGTGATATCCTTCTTTCCAGACGTGACGTTTTCCCTGGGTTGGACAACAGGATGGCATCCTGAGAAAGTCAATGAAGGTAATAATTCTAATAATGTATTTCTTGGTCAAATTAAAATATCCTCCAGGTATAAAAATAACATCTTTAATACAAAGACCAAAACCCATTCTACAAAATCTAAGCCTGATGGAAAAAAAGGCCTGACCCTTCAGGTATGTGCAGACCCTTCCATCTGCTCTTTCAGATAGATGCCATGTTCACTGGTGACGCTGCAGATTTTAAGAGAGTTCACACATTTATAGTCATATAAGTAAAGCTTCTGTTAGCAATCTCTTTTTCTAATTTTTAAAAATATAATTTTCCAGATTTTAAAGGAAAGTGGAACACGTCCCTTCTTTTTATCAGGAAATTAGCTGCTAAACTAACATATTCACTTAAGATTTCTGTAAAATGTTCCTTTACTGACTGACCAATATTTTTTACAACTTGCTTTTGATAGAGTATAGAGTTATTTAAAATAGATATATTCTGGCCGGGCGTGGTGGCTCATGCCTGTAATCACCACACTTCGGGAGGCCAAGGTGGGCGGATCACCTGAAGTCAGGAGTTTGAGACCAGCCTGGCCAGCATGACGAAACCCCGTCTCTACTAAAAATACAAAAGTTAGCCAGGCATGGTAGTGTGTGCCTGTAGTCTCAGCTACTCGGGAGGCTGAGGCAGGAGAATCACTTGAACCCAGGAGGCGTAGGTTGCAGTGAGCCAAGATCGTGCCACTGTACTCCAGCCTGGGCAACAGAGTGAGACTCTGTCTCAAAAAAAAAAAAAAAGTGTGTGCATATATATATATGTGTGTGTATATATATATATATTTATTTATTATGTATATAGTTTATTTATATATAAAAATATATATTCTCTATATATACATAGATACTTTTTTTTCAAGCTATTTAGAAACAAGCAAGTGTGTTTTCCATGTGGTTTTTTTTTTTTTTAAATAGAGTCTTGCTCTGTTGCCCAGGCTGGAGTGCAGTGGTGTGATCTCAGCTTACTGCAACCTCCACCTCCCAGGTTCCCAGGTTCAAGTGATTCTCGTGCATCAACCTCTTGAATAGCTGGGATTACAGGCGCCACCACGCCCAGCTAATTTTTGTATTGTTTTTTAGTAGAGATGGGGTTTCACCATGTTGGCCAGGCTGGTCTCAAACTCCTGACCTCCAGTGATCCACCCACCTTGGCCTCCCAAAGTGCTGGGATTACAGGCATGAGCCACTGCACCTGGCCTTTTTTTTTTTTTTTTTTTTTTTTTAAAAAACAGGGTCTGGCTCTGTCACCCAGGCTGAGTGCAGTAGTACCATCATGGCTCACTGCACCTTCAACCTCCTGGGCTCAAGTGATCCTCCCACCTCAGCCTCCAGAGTAGCTGAGACCACAGGCATACACCATCACACACAGCTACTTTTTAAATTTTTTTGTAGAAGTGAAGTCTCACTAAGTTGCCCAGGCTGGTTTCAAACTCCTGGGCTCAAGCTATCCTCCCACCTTGGCCTCTCAAAGTGCTGGGATTACAGGCATAAACCACCATGCCTGGCCCACAATGTCTTAACATGATTTAAATATATGTAAAATATATACATATATAGTCAATTTTACCACTATTTCTACTTTAAGTAAAATATACAGGTAATTTGGGCAAGCCAAAAAGAAAATTGATTTGATGTTAACTATCACTTAAACAGCTAGCATATACCCCAAAGCAACCTTTCTTGGAAAAGAAAATTTAACAAAAATAGGAAATCCAAGTTTATAGAGAATAATAATGATGCAGGTGTACCTAAAAGAAGAGCCTTAAAATATTTAAAGTAAATAAAATCTAGTGGTGTAAATTTTTTTTCTTGTGCTTGAGAGATTAGTAAAACCTTTTTAGTGCCTTAATGTTTTGTTAAATTTGCTCTAGGTCACTTGTGGAATGATTTTTTATCTCCATTTTCCACTTAGTTTTTTTTCACATTAAGTAGCATTTTAATTGACTTAGAATCCAAATGGAAAGTATTATGAATTACCTATGAATTATCTATGGTTTTACCTAATTATAGGTAATTTAGTCTTTTATTTAATTGTCTTTCAAGATTTCAATCAATAAAGTTAAATTTTTTTCTTTTCTTTTAAGGGTACAGTTGGACAATGGTGAAAGAGATGGAATATATATGTAATGAACTAAGTCAGCCTGTAACGTTCCCTGTCAGAGCAGCATTAGTCAGGCAGTCTTGTTCTCAGTTACTTTGGCTGTTAAAGAAATCAAACAGGTATGTAATAGTTTAACAAATGTGTATGTGAGTGTGTATGAGAGACAGAGATAGAAAGGGCATGAAAATTGATTATTTAAAGACAGTGTGTGTGAGAGAAAGGTAGACAGAAAAGGAATGAAAACTGATGATATAAGCGCACAGACTCCCTCACCGGATTGGAGCTCCTTGATGAACCTTAACTTACTTAACATCGTATATTTTACCCCTATTCCTCACAAAAGTTTTTGTACATAGTAGGTGCTCAGTAAGTGTTAGCTGTCTTTTTCATTATATATTCACAAAAAATTATGAGTGGATAAATTAGCTTCTTTTTAAATTTCATCATAATTTCAGAAATCAGCCAGGTGTGATGGCTCACACCCGTAATCCCAGCACTTTGGGAGGCTGAGGCAGGAGGATCCCCTGAACCCAGGAGTTTGAGATCAGCCTGGGCAATTTAGTGAGAACTTGTCTTTACAAAACATTAAAAAATTAGCCGAGCGTGGTGGCAAGCACCTGTAGTCTCAGCTACTCGGGAAGCTAAGGTGGGAGCATCGCTTGAAACTGGGAGGCCGAGGCTTCAGTGAGCCAAGATCATACAACTGTACTACAGCCTAGGTGACAGAGCGAGGCCCTGTCTCAAAAATAATACTTTCAGAAATCTTTTTTATATAAAAGTTTTATTTTGGTATGTAATAAAAATTAGTTGGACCACCTATTGAATATTTAAATAGATTATAAAAGTACAGATGTTAAAAATTTTATTTTTTTTTCTTTTAAGAGATCAATCAGTAGAACAAAAGGAAAAGTCCAGAATCTATCATGGAACTTAGTGTAGAAACAAGCTGACTTTTCAGATCTTTGGAGCAAGAAGTTCAGCAACTGGTTTTAGGACAACAGGCTATGTAGGAAAAACAATGCTGACACCTTTGCTTATTCCTTGCTCCAAAATACATTCCCAATGAATTAAAGATTTGAACATCAAACAGTAAATGCATAAAGAATAAACAAGGGATGATTCCTTAAATATAGTTTCAGAATGGAGAAGACCTTTCTTAGTAGTAAGGCACAAAACCCAGAAGCCTGTAAAAGGAATTTTGATACATTTGAATACATAAAAATGGAAAGCAACTAGTAAAAAGACCCCCAATGTGTATGTCAGAGAAATGTTAAGAATTCTGACAAATAAAGGATTTTTACAAATTACCCAGAAAAAGTCCCAGTTTAATAATTCACTATGTTGCAGAGAATAGTGGAAGCAAGACACTCATACATTTTTGGCTGGAGTATAAACTGATCAATAATTTCCTTGGAGAGAAATTTGGCATATACTCATGAATTTCACTAATGAGACCGTGTCTTACTAATAGACGTTCACATAAGCACAGAGACATAGGTACAAGGATATTCTGGAAGCATCGTTTGTATTAATAAAAGACTTGAAACATTCTAAATATCTATCAGTCAGACACTGTTGAATAAATTATGGTACACCCATATGATGGAATATTATATGTTATAGATAATGCAGGAGACCCTATGTTTTAATATGGAATGATCTCTAAGATATATTATTAACTGAATAAATTAAGATGCAGAATGATAGGTATAGTATGATTCCATTTGCATGTGGGAAAATTGATGTGTAAAAATATTTGTAGATGAATTGAGCTTAGAGTAGTTTGAATCAGTGGCTGCTAGCATTATGCTTAAAGAGAAATATTAGGTGATACCAGACACTATTCCAGTCAGATTCTTAGTTACAAACAATTATGGGGCAACCCTCGTTGTTAAAGTATCCCGTGATGCTATTTGACATTCTCTTTTTGCAAACACATCATTTATTTATTAACTCTGCCTCTAGGTTTGTTTGTTTTCATTAGTGTCAGGGAAGTGCACTGAAATCAAATAGCATACTGTATTAATTTTTTAAAGATTATTATTGAAATTAAAGCATTACATTTAATTAAAATTTTCAGTTCTCATGGAAAACTCTAGAGTTTTTGAGAATATATTTTCTTACCCTCATTTGAGAAACATTTACAATATAGATGGACTCTATTTTCTTGGAGACATAATACTCAGATAATCATGTGCACAAGTACCATATGACTATGGCCACATTTATGAGAGAATTCAGCCCAGCCTATATTCCATTTGGGTATATTTTTTTCATTTTTGATGATGTCACATTGATTTTCACATAGTCATATGTGTGATAAGAGCACCTAAAATCTATTATGTTAGCAAATTTTTCAAATACAACAATATTAACTATAGTCCTCCTACTGTCCATTAGATCTCTAGACTTATTATCTTGTGTAACTGCAAGTTCATCTACTCGTTATTTTTTAAAGATACCTACTTACTCTCATTTTACTGGTTTTGAGAATCATATTCATCCTCCAAAGTTCTGGAGTTTGCTTGTTTTTCTAATTATTCCATAGAAAAAAACTACAGAACATTATCATTAGTTCTACAGACTTAGAGGTTCTTATATTGTTTGAGATAGGAAGGAAAAGTCCATTTATTTTTTAAAAACTTAGCACTGAAATATTTATGTAGACTATACTTTTTATGGTAAAAGCAATGTAGGCTGATAACAGTGTTTCAGATAACAAAATCTGGATAATATGCTTCTACTTTAAAAGACTGAAGGTTAGAATTGTCTTTATGGTGGACCCAGGTGTTTTAATTTTGTTCCTAATAATTTTTTTATTATCTAATGTTTGTGAGATTGCATGAAGACAGCAACCTTGCTTATCTTGATCATCCACAGATCTTTAGCATTTAAAATAATGCCCAGCACATCATAGGAATTTAATAAATAGTTGTTAAATGGAAAAACCAAATGCATACAGGCACTGTTTCATCATAGAGAGCATTAGAAGCCTGTACTTTCTGGAGAAGTAGTTTTGGTGTTTAAATACAAAAATAGCTATAAAAGACAGCATTAAGCAAAGAGCCTTAGAGATTATTTTAGTTACTCTGGTGTCAAGTACCACCTCAATCACCTTGTGATGTGCTCTAATGTAATTAGTAATATGAATAATATGTTACAAAGGGAGTAGCTTCTAGAGAAAGAATGCTTCTAAGAAGATAGCAATATCCCATCTTTATACGAGAACCTCATTTTGAGTCAAGCAATTGTGCATGAATGAATCCTGCAATGTCAAGAGAGCTATTTGAAATAAGACACTATCACAATATTTCTGTGTCAGGGAACTCAACAAGTGATGAACTGCTGATCCCTTTTTGCTTCTCATCTAAGTAGTTGGTGAATCCACTCTGCAGTAACACCCTTGAACCATGGCGAAGTTTCAGTTCTTGACAGCATACCTGTTCAAAGAACAGGCTAAGTGTTTTTATTATAGAAATTTCAAAATACAGTAACTCAAACAGGAGAGAAGTTTGTATATCTGTCTCCAAACAGTCCAGACTCAGGAAGGTCTCAGGAGGGTGGAGGATCTTCTCCAACGGTCATCTAGAGCCTAGGTTCATTCTGTCCAGTTCCTCTGCTAACCCTGGGAATGTCAGCATGCACATAAGTAGAAGCTGACGTACACTATCACATTCCCGTTCCAGCCCACAAATGTTGACAGAAAAAAAACATACACCAGAGTAACTAAAATAACCTCTAAGGCTCTTTGCTTAATGCTGCCTTTTATAACTATTTTTGTATTTAAACACCAAAACTACTTCTCCAGAAAGTACAGGCTTCTAATGCTCTCTATAATGAAACAGTGCCTGTATGCATATATATATATATATATATGAAGGCATATACTAGGTGTATTTAGATGACCTGTATATACTAGGAGTATTTATATTTTTATACTAGGTGTGTATATATATATAAAATGCATATACATATATATGAAGGCTATAGATTTCTGTATACAGTCATCCCTCAGTATACGTGGAGGATGGGTTCAAGGATGCTCAGCATATACCAAAATCGGCTCATTCTGAAGTTCCCAAGCTGTTCCTTTGGGACTTGAGTACACAGAAAGTCAGCCTCCTTATACCCACATTTCAAATCCTGTGAATGCTCTATGTCCATTCTCATTTGGTTGAAAAAAATCAGTGTATCAATGGACTCACTCAGTTCTAACCTGTGTTGTTCAAGAGTCAACTATATTGATTTGGATATTGTGTCCAAATCTATATCCTAAATTCTCTTAGCATTTTTAATAGTCTTTCAGGGCCAGGCACAGTGTCTCATGTGTGTAATCCTAGCACTTTGGGAGGCCAAGGCGGGCGGATCACCTGAGGTCAGGAGTTCAAGACCAAGCTTGGCCAACATGGTGAAACACCATCTCTACTAAAGTCCAAAAAAAAAAAAAAAAATTAGCCATGCATGATGGCAGGTGCCTGTAATTCCAGCTACTCGGGAGGCTGAGATGGGGGAATCGCTTGAATTTGGGAGATGGTGGTTGCAGTGAGCCAAGGTCGCACCACTGCACTCCAGCCTGTGCGGCTGAACAAGATTCCGTCTAAAAAAAAATAGTCTTTCAATTGATTTTCTTGAGTTTTCTAAGCAAAAAAAATTTATTCTCTTCAAATAATGTTAATTTTACCTCTTTTCAACTTTTATATCTCTAATTTCTTTTTTATGATGGTTAATACCTCTAGAATAGTGATTCTCAAGGTATTATCAGTAGGGGTGATTTGGCTCTCCAGCAGACAATGCCTGAGGACATTTTTGGTTGCCACACCAAAAGATGAGGGGTGGGGGCAGGGATTCTATTGAACAGCTAGTGGTAAAGGCCAGGGATGCTGCTTTAGACATCCTACATTGCATAGAACTGCTCCCACAGTAAAGAATTATCTAGCTGAAATTTCAATAGTCAACATTGAGAACTCTAGAACAGTGTTAGATAGTATTGCTAGTAGTGCCCAAACATATCTTATTCTTACCTTTAACACAACAACTTAGTATTCTGCAAAGATCCTGCAGAAGTACAGTCATGTATCGCTTTAAGATGGGGATACCTTCTGAGAAATTTTTCATTAGGTCATCCAGGCACAGTGGCTCAGGCCTGTAATCTCAGCACTTTGAGAGGCCAAGGTGGGTGGATCACTTGAGTTCAGGAGTTCGAGACCAGCCTAGTTAACATAGTGAAACCCCATCTCTACTAAAAATACAAAAATTAGCTGGGTGTGGTGGCACACGTCTGTAATCTCAGCTACTCAGGACGCTGAGGCAGGAGAATTGCTTGAACCTGGAAGGCAGAAGTTGTAGTGAGCCGAGGTCATGCCACTGCACTTCAGCCTGGGTGGCAGAGCAAGACTCTGTCTCAATTAAAAAAAAAAAAAAATTTCATTAGGTAATTTTGTCATTGTGTGAACATCATAGGATGTACTTACACAAACCTAAATTGCCTACACCTAGGCTATACAATGTAACCATTTGTTTCTAGGCTACAAACTTGTACACCGTATTATCATACTGAATAATGTAGGTAATTATAACACAGTGGTAAGTATCTGTGTATATAAACATATCTAAACATAGACAAAAGTACAGTGAAAATATGATATAAAAGATAAAAAATGGCACACCTGTGTAGGGCACTTACCATTTCCGGAGCTTGCAGGACTGGAAGTGTCAGTGAGTGGGTGGTAAATGAATGTGAAGGCCTACAGCATTACTGTACACTACTGTAGACTTTATAAACTGTGTACTTAGACCATATTAAATTTATTTAAAATTTCTTTTTCTTCAAGAATACATTAACCTTAGCTTACTCTAACATTTTTACTTTATAAGCTTTTTCTAAACAAATCTTTTTGACTCTTTAGCAATAACACTTGGCTTAAAACACAACCACCTTGTATAGCTGTACAAAAATATTTCCTTTCTTTATATCCTATTCTATAAGCTTTTTTCAATTTTTTAACTTTTTACTTTTTTTAAACTTTTAAAATATTTTTGTTAAAAACTAAGACACAAAAACTATACTTCCAGGGATCATATCTATAGCTCATTTCTAGGAAAATTTCCCGAATGAGTAGAGTGCTGAAATAATGGTTTATAAGATAGTATTTGCAAGCCTCATGGTAGCCTCAAACCAAAAACCATACAGTGGATACACAAAAAGTAACAAGCAAGAAGCTAAATCATATCACTAGAGAAAATCACCTTCACTAAAAGGAAGAAAGGAAGGGGGAAAAAAAGAAGGAAGGCAAGACCACAAAATAACCAGAAAACAACAAACTGGCAGGGGTAAGTCCTTACTTATCAATAATAACATTGAATGTAAGTGACCTAAACTCTCTAATAAAAGTCAGAGTGACTGAATGGATGAAAAAAAAAAAGAGCGAGACTCATCAATCTGTTGCTTACAAGGATCACACTTCACCTATGAAGACACACATAGACTGAAAAGGATGGAAAAAGATATTCCATGCCAATGGAAACCAAAAAAGAGCAGGAGTAGATATACTTATATGAGACAAAATAGATTTCAACACACAAAAAAAATTAGCTGGGTGTGGTGGCATGTGCCTGTAATCCCAGCTGCTTGGGAGGCTGAGGTGGAGGCTGCAGTGAGCTATAATCACACCACTGCACTCCAGCCTGGGTGACAGAGTAAGACCCAGTCTCAGAAAAAAAAAAAAGGATTCCCTACAAAGAGACTTAGATTCCCACACAATAATAATGGGAGACGTTAACATCCCACTGTCAACATTAGACAGATCAACGAGACAGAAAGTTAACAAGGATATCCAGGAATTGAACTCAGCTCTGCACCAAGTGGACCTAATAGACATCTACAGAACTCTCCACCCCAGATCAACAAAATATACATTCTTCTCAGCACCACATCGCATTTATTCCAAAATTGACCACATAGTTGGAAGTGAAGTACTCCTCACCAAATGTAAAAGAACAGAAATTATAACAAACTGTCTCTGAGACCACAGTGCAATCAAACTACAACTCAGGATTAAGAAACTCACTCAAAACCGCTCAACTACATGGAAACTGAACAACCTGCTCCTGAGTGACTACTGGGTACATAACGAAATGAAGGCAGAAATAAAGATGTTCTTTGAAACCAACAAGAACAAAGACACAACATACCAGAATCTCTGGGACACATTTAAAGCAGTGTGTAGAGGGAAATTTATAGCACTAAATGCCCACAAGAGAAAGCAGGAAAGATCTAAAATTGGCACCCTAACATCACAATTAAAAGAACTAGAGAAGCAAGAGCAAACCCATTCAAAAGCTAGCAGAAGGCAAGAAATAACTAAGATCAGAGCAGAACTGAAGGAGATAGAGACACAAAAAACCCTTCAAAAAAGCAATGAATCCAGGAGCTGGTTTTTTGAAAAGATCAACAAAATTGATAGACCGCTAGCAAGACTAATAAAGAAGAAAAGAGAGAAGAATCAAATAGACGCAATAAAAAATGATAAAGCGGATATCACCACTGATCCCACAGAAATACAAATTACCATCAGAGAATACTATAAACACCTCTACGCAAATAAACGAGAAAATCTAGAAGAAATGGATAAATTCCTGGACACATATACCCTCCCAAGACTAAACCAGGAAGAAGTTGAATCTCCGAATAGACCAATAACAGGCTCTGAAATTGAGGGAATAATTAATAGCCCACCAACCAAAAAAAGTCCAGGACGAGACGGATTCACAGCTGAATCTACCAGAGGTACAAAGAGGAGCTGGTAGCATTCCTTTTGAAACTATTCCAATCAATAGAAAAAGAGGGAATCCTCCCTAACTCATTTTATGAGGCCGGCATCATCCTGATACCAAAGCCTGGCAAAGACACAACAAAAAAAGAATTTCAGACCAATATCCGTGATGAACATCGCTGCAAAAATCCTCAATAAAATACTGGCAAACCAAATCCAACAGCACATCAAAAAGCTTATCCAGCACGATCAAGTGGGCTTCATCCCTAGGATGCAAGGCTGGTTCAACATATACAAATCAATAAACATAATCCAGCATATAAACAGAACCAAAGACAAAAACCACATAATTATCTCAATAGATTCAGAAAAGGCCTTTGACAAAATTCAACAGCCCTTCATGCTAAAAACTCTCAATAAACTAGGTATTGATGGGACGTATCTCAAAATAATAAGAGCTATTTATGACAAACCCACAGCCAATATCATACTGAATGGGCAAAAACTGGAAGCATTCCCTTTGAAAACTGGCACAAGACAGGGATGCCCTCTCTCACCACTCCTATTCAACATAGTGTTGGAAGTTCTGGCCAGGGCAATCAGGCAGGAGAAGGAAATAAAGGGTATTCAATTAGGAAAAGAGGAAGTCAAATTGTCCCTGTTTGCAGATGACATGATTGTATATTTAGAAAACCCTATTGTCTCAGCCCAAAATCTCCTTAAGCTGATAAGCAACTTCAGCAAAGTCTCAAGATACAAAATCAATGTGCCAAAATCACAAGCGTTCCTATACACCAATAACAGGCAAACAGAGAGCCAAATCATGAGTGAACTTCCATTCACAATTGCTTCAAAGAGAATAAAATACCTAGGAATCCAGCTTACAAAGGATGTGAAGGACCTCTTCAAGGAGAACTACAAACCACTGCTCAACGAAATAAAAGAGGACACAAACAAATGGAAGAACATTCCATGCTCATGGATAGGAAGAATCAATACCGTGAAAATGGCCATACTGCCCAAGGTAATTTATATGTTCAATGCCATCACCATCAAGCTACCAATGACTTTCTTCACAGAATTGGAAAAAACTACTTTAAAATTCATATGGAACCAAAAAAGAGCCCGCATTGCCAAGACAATCTTAAGCCAAAAGAGCAAAGCTGGAGGCATCATGCTACCTGACTTCAAACTATACGACAAGGCTGCAGTAACCAAAACAGCATAGTACTGGTACCAAAACAGAGATATAGACCAATGGAACAGAATAGAGCCCTTGGAAATGAGACCGCACGTCTGCAACCATCTGATCTTTGACAAACCTGACAAAAACAAGAAATGGGGAAAGGATTCCCTATTTAATAAATGGTGCTGGGAAAACTGGCTAGCCATATGTAGAAAGCTGAAACTGGATCCCTTCCTTACACCTTATACAAAAATTAATTCAAAATGGATTAAAGACTTAAATATTAGACCTAAAGCCATAAAAACCCTAGAAGAAAACCTAGGCAATACCATTAAGGCCATAAGCATGGGCAAGGACTTCATGACTAAACACCAAAAGCAATGGCAACAAAAGCCAAAGTTGACAAATGAGATCTAATTAAACTAAAGAGCTTCTGCACAGCAAAAGAAACTACCATCAGAGTGAACAGGCAACCTACAGAATGGGAGAAAATTTTTACAATCTACCCATCTGACAAAGGGCTAATACCCAGAATCTACAAAGAACTCAAACAAATTTACAAGAAAAAAATCAAACAACCCCATCAAAAAGTGGGCGAAGGATATGAACAGACACCTCTCAGAAGCAGACATTTATGCAGCCAACAGACACATGAAAAAATGCTCATCATCACTGGCCATCAGAGAATGCACATCAAAACCACAATGAGAAACCGTCTCACATCAGTTAGAATGGCAATCATTAGAAAGTCAGGAAATAACAGGTGCTGGAGAGGATGTGGAGAAATAGAAACACTTTTACACTGTTGGTGGGACTATAAACTAGTTCAACCATTGTGGAAGACAGTGTGGTGATTCCTCAAGGATCTAGAACTAGAAATACCATTTGATCCAGCCATCTCATTACTGGGTATATACCCAAAGGATTATAAGTCATGCAGCTATAAAGACATATGGACACATATGTTTATTGTGGCACTATTCACAATAGCAAAGACTTGGAACCAACCCAAATGTCCATCAATGATAGACTGGATTAAGAAAATGTGGCACATATACACCATGGAATACTATGCACCCATAAAAAAGGATGAGTTCATGTCCTTTGTAGGGACCATCATTCTCAGCAAACTATCACAGGGACAAAAAACCAAACACTGTGTGTTCTCACTCATAGGTGGGAATCGAACAATGAGAACACATGGACACAGGGTGGGGAACATCCCACACCGGGGCCTGTTGTGGGGTGGGGGGAGGGGGGAGGGATAGCATGAGGAGATATACCTAATGTAAATGATGAGTTAATGGGTGCAGCACACCAACATGGCACATGTATACATATGTAACTAACCTGCATGTTGTGCACATGCACCCTAGAACTTAAAAGTATAATAAAAAAAAATGTCAACACAAAAACTATAAGAGACTAAGAAGATCACTATATAATGATAAGGGAGTCAGTTCAGCAAGAGGATATAACAATTGTAAATATATATAAACCCAACACTGGAGCACCCAGATATATAAAGCAAATATTATTAGAGCTAAGCTGTTAGATTCCAATACAATAATAGCTGGAGACTTCAACACCCCACTTTCAACATTGGACAGATCTTCCAGATAGAAAATCAGTAAAGAAACATGTCACTTAATCTGCACTATAGAGCAAATGCATCTAACAGATATTTACAGAACATTTCATCCAACAGCTGCAAAATACACATTCTTTTTCTCAACACATGGATCATTCTCCAGGGTAGACCATATATTAGATCACAAAACAAGTCTAACAACATTCAATAAATTGAAATAATATCAAGCATCTTCTCTGACCACAATGGAATAAAACTAGAAATCAATAATGAGGAATTTTGGAAACTATACAAATACATGGAAATTAAACTATATGCTCCTGAATGGCCAGTGGGTCAATGAAGAAATTAAGAAAGAAATTGAAAATTTTATTGAAACAAATGATAATGGAAACACAACATATCAAAACCTAGCAGATGCAGCAAAAGCCATACTAAGATGGAAGCTTATAGCTATAAGTGCCTACATCGAAAATTTTTAAAACTTCAAATAACCTAACAGTGCATCTTAAAAACTAGAAAAGCAAGGCCGAGCACTGTGGCTCACACCTGTAATCCCAGCACTTTGGGAGGCTGACGCGGGTGGATCACGAGGTCAGGAGATCAAGATCATCCTGGCTAACATAGTGAAACCCCGTCTCTACTAAAAATACAAAAAAATAGCCGGGCGTGGTGGCGGGTGCCTGTAGTCCCAGCTACTCGGGAGGCTGAGGCAGGAGAATGGTGTGAACCTGGGAGGCGGAGCTTGCAGTGAACCGAGATCACACCACTGCACTCCAGCCTAGGTGACAAAGCGAGACTCCATCTCAAAAAACAAAACAAAACAAAACAAAAAAACTAGAAAAGCAAGAGCAAACCAAACCCAAAATTAGTAGAAGAAAATAAATAATAAAGATCAGGCCGAGCGAGCACAGTGTCTCACGCCTGTAATCCCAGCACTTTGGGAGGCCAAGGCAGTGAATCACCTGAGGTCAGGAGTTTGAGACCAGCCTGACCAACAAGGCGAAACCCTCTCTACTAAAAATACAACAATTAACCAGGTGTGGTGGCACGCACCTGTAATCCCAGCTACTCAGGAGGCTGATGCAGGAGAATCAGTTGAACCTGGGCAGCAGAGATTGCAGTGAGCCGAGATCACACCACTGCACTCCAGTCTGGGCAACAGAGCGAGACTCCATCTCAAAAAAAAAAAAAAAAAAAGAGCAGAAATAAATGAAATTGAAATGAAAACAGTATAAAAGATCAATGAAACAAAAAGTTGGCTTTTTGAAAAGTTAAAGAAAATGGACAAATCTTTAGCCAGATTAAGAAAAAACAGAGAATCCAAATAAATAAAATCAGATATGAAAAAGGAGACATTACAATTGATACTGTGGAAATCCAGAGAATTATTAGTGGCTACTGTGAGCAACTATATGCCAATAAACTGGAAAATCTAGAAGAAATGGACAAATCCCTAGAGTCATACAACCAACCAATATTGAACCATGAAGAGATCTAAAATCTGAACAGACCAATAACAAGTAATGAGATTGAAGCTATAATAAAAAGTCTTTCAGTAAAGAAAACCCTGGGACCCGATGGCTTCACTGCTGAATTCTACCAAACATTTAAAGAAGAACTAACACCAGTCCTATTCAAACTATCCAAAAAATAGAGGAGGAGGGAATACTTCTAAACTCATTCTACAAGGCCAGCATTACCCTGATACCAAAAACAGACAAAGACACATTAAAAAAAAAACCTACAAATCAATATTACTGATGAACATTGATGCAAAAATCCTTGGCAAAATACTAGCAAACTGAATTCACCAATACATTAAAAAGATCATTCATCATGACCAAGTGGGATTTATCCGAGGGATGAAAGGATGGTTCAACACATGTAAATCAATCACTGTGATACATCGTATTAACAGCGTGAAGGACAAAAACCATATGATCATTTCAATTGATGCTGAAAAAACATTGGGTAAAATTCAACATCCCTTCGTGATAAAAACCCACAAAAAAACTGGGTATGGAAGGAGCATGCCTCAACGTAATAAAAGCTATATACAACAGACCCACAGCTAGTATTATGCTGAGTGGGATAAAACTGAAAGCGTTTTCTCTAAGACGAGGAACAAGACAAGGATGCCCACTTTCACCACTGTTATTTAACATAGTACTAGAAGTCCTAGGGAGAACAATCAGACAAGAAAGATATATAAAGGACATCCAAATTGGAAAGGAAGAAGTCAAATTATCCTTGTTTGCAGATGATATGATCTTATATTTGGAAAAACCTAAAGACTCCACATAAAAAAACTATTAGAACTAATAAATTCAGTAAAGTTGCAGGATACAAAATCAGCATACAAAAATTGCTAACATTTCTATATGCCAACAGTGAACAATTAAAAAAGAAATCAGAAAAGTGATCCCACTTAGAATAGCCACAATTAAAATTAACTACCTAGGAATTAACCAAAGAAGTGAAAGATCTCTATAATTAAAACTATAAAACACTGGTGCAAGAAACTGAAGAGGACACCCCAAAATGGAGAGATATTCCATGTTTGTGGATTGGAAGAATTAATATTGTTAAAATATCCATACTACCTAAAGCAATCTGTAGATTCAATGCAGTCCCTATCAAAATTCCAATGACATTCTTCACAGAAATATTTTAAAAATCCTAAACTGTATATGGAACCACAAAGGCCCAGAATAGCCGAAGTTGTCCTAAGCAAAATGAACAAAACTGGAAGAATCACATTTACCTGACTTCAAATTATACTACAGAGCTATAGTAACCAAAACTGCATTGTACTGGCATAAAAACAGACACAGAGGCCAATGGGACAGAATTGAGAACCCAGAAACAAATGCACACACCTACAGTGTTTTCACAAAGCTGCCAGGAACATACACTGGGGAAATTAGTCTCTTCAGTAAATGGTGCAGAGAAAACTAGATAGCCATATGCAGAAGAATGAAATTAGACCCGTCTCTTACTGTATACCAAAATGAAATCAAAATGGATTAAATACTTAAATCTAAGACCTCAAACTATGAAACTACTGCAAGAAAACATTGGGGAAACCCTTGAAGACATTGGTCTTGGCAAAGATTTCTTTAGTAATACCCCACAAGCAAGGCAGCCAAAGCAAAAATGGACAAATGGGATCACATCAAGTCATAAAGCTTCTGTACAGCAAAGGAAATGGTCAACAAAGTGAAGAAACAATGTACAGAATGGGAGAAAACATTTGCAAACTACCCATCTAACAAGGGATTAATAACTAGAATATATAAGTAGCTCAAACAACTCTACTGGAAAAAATCTAATCTGATCTTAAAATGGGCAAAAGATTTGAATAGACATTTCTTAAAAAAAGACATACAAATGGCAAACAGGCATATGAAAAGTTGCTCAACATCATTGATTATCAGGGAAATGCAAATCAAAGCTACGATGAGATATCATCACACCCCAATTAAAATGGCTTTTATCCAAAAGACAGGCAGTAAATGCTAGCAAGGATGTGGAGAAAAGGGAACCCTAGTATGCTGTTGGTACGAGGGTTTTAGTTTAGTTTAGTTTAGTTTTGTTTTGTTTTGTTTTGTTTTTTTGAGATGGAGTCTCACTGGGTTGCCCAGGCTGGAGTGCAATGGCGTGATCTCGGCTCACTGCAACCTCCGCCTCCCAGGTTCAAGCGATTCTCCTGCCTCAGCTTCCCAAGTAGCTGGGATCACAGGCGCCCGCCACCAAGTCCAGCTCATTTTTTTTTTGTATTTTTAGTAGAGACGGAGTTTCACCATCCTGGCCAGGCTGGTCTCAAACTCCTGACCTCAGGCTGTCTGCCCACCTTGGCCTCCCAAAGTGCTGGGATTACAGGTGTGAGCCACCGTGCCCAGACAGGTCTTAGTTTTTTGAGGAAAAAACTATACATAGAGCTATCATATGATCCAGCAATCCCACTGCTCGGTATGTAAACAAAAGAAAGGAAATCAGTGTATCGGAGAGATAGCTGTACTTCGATGTTTGTTGCAGCACTATTCACAATAGCCAAGATTTGAAAGCAACCAAAGTGTTCATCAACAGATGAATAGATTAAAGTATATATATTGTACTTACACACAATGGAATATATTCAGCCATAAAAAAGAATGAGATCCTGTCATTTGCAACGACATGGGTGGAACTGGAGATCATTATGTTAAGTGAAATAAGCCAGGCACAGAAAGATAAACATCTCATGTTCTTATTTATTTGTGGGTTCTAAAAATTGGAGCAATTGAACCCATAGAGATAGAGAGGAGGGTGGTTTACCAGAGGCGGGGATAGGTAGTGGTGGTGGGTGTTGGGGGGAGGTGTGAATGGCTAATAAGTATGAAAAAATAGTTTGAATGAATAAGGCCTAATATGTGATAGCACAATGGGGTTCATTTAATTGTACATTTAAAAATAACTAAAAGGGTATAATTGAATTGTTTGTAACACAAAGGATAAATACCCGAGGGGTGGGAACCCTATTTTTCAAGTGATCATTACATAGTACATGCCTACATCAAAACATCTCATGTACCCCATAAATATAAATACCTACTATGTACCCACTAAAATTAAAAGTAAGTGAGCCTCTGCCATTTTCCAATTCCTGTCGCTCCTGGACTAATCAACCTTGCTGATCCCTTCAGCGTTCTGGGTGGGGTGAGAGGAAGAGCAGCATCCCACATGGGGAGTGAAGCTAGGTGCTTACTACACTTTTACTTTTCCTCGTAGGAGAGTACACAGGCCAAGGAGGTCTTTGTTGGCACTGAACTGTGCTGCCTTAGAGGAGGGGTAATGTGGGTAAAGTGAAATGTTTTACCTTCTTCAATGCGTCTATTCTCAGATTTTGTGTGTGTGTACGCTCCAATGTCGTAGCGGAGTCTTTCCACTGGACTCCTGGGTTCCCACAAAGGTACTTTTATCCATGAGTAGTTGTCAAAATCGGTGTTTCAGTGGGGTAGACAAGGGATAAAAACTCCTATTCTGCAGTTTTACTCATGTTACAGGTCTTCCTGTTATAACACATTGGCTATAACTCAGTTATGTACCTGTACTTAGTTACAGGTAAAGCTGGGAAATGTAGATCTTATTTTGTACAACCTTGTGTCTAGTTAGAATTCAGGAGTTTGTTAGAAAGAAAAAGGAGAATGGATATTGGAGTAAAACTACCAGCTTCTGTCATACATTAATAAAACATTATTAATGTTATTTTATTTAAGTTTTTTGTGTGTTACTTTTTGTTTTCTTTTAAAAGTATTTTAAATTTAATTTTTCAAACAAAAAAATTAATTCAAAAACTTAATAGAATAAAGACTTACACTGTGAAAAGGCTTTCTCTCATCTACCCAGTCTTCCTGCCCAATGTCACTAACTACAATTGTTAGTTTCTTTATACATATAAGAGTAAATGTAAATATAGCATCTAATTTCCCTTCCTTTTTACTTTTATTTTTATTTTATTAATTTTTTTTTTTTTGAGGCAGAGTCTCACTCTGTCACCAGGCTGGAGTTCAGTGGCGCGATTTCGGGTCACTGCAACCTCCACCTCCCGGGTTCAAGTGATTCTCCTGCCTCAGCCTCCCAAGTAGCTGGGACTACAGGTGGGCACCACCACATCCAGCTAATTTGTTGTATTTTTAGTGGAGATGGGGTTTCACCATGTTGGCCAGGATGATCTCTATCTCTTGACCTCATGATCCACCTGCTTCGGCCTCCCAAAGTCCTGGGATTACAGGCATGAGCCACCGCACCCAGCCTTTCTTTTTCTTTCTTTCTTTCTTTCTTTCTTTCTTTCTTTCTTTCTTTCTTTCTTTCTTTCTTTCTTTCTTTCTTTCTTTCTCTTTCTTTCTTTCTTTCTTTCTTTCTTTCTTTCTTTCCTTCCTTCCTTCCTTTCTTTTCTTTCTTTCCTTCCTTCCTTCCTTCCTTCCTTCCTTCCTTCCTTCCTTCCTTCCTTCCTTCCTTCCCTCCCTTCCTTTCCTCCTTTCTTTCTTTTCTTTCTTTCTTTCAGATGGAGTCTTGCTCTGTTGCCCAGACTGGAGTGCAGTGGCAGGATCTTGGCTCACTGCAACCTCTGCTTCCTAGGTTCAAGTGATTCTCGTGTCTCAACCTCCCCAGTAGCTGGGATTACAGGCACCCGCCACCATACCCAGCTAATTTTTTTTTATCTTTAGTGGAGACGGGGTTTTGCTACATTGGCCAGGCTGGTCTTGAACGCCTGACCTCAAGTGATCCACCGCCTCGGCCTCCCAAACTGCTGGGATTACAGGCGTGGGCCACCGTGTCTGGTCCCCCTTCTTTTTAAAACAAAAGATGTTATGGTATGTCATACACCTTGCTTCTTGGT
Organism: Homo sapiens; assembly: GCF_000001405.40. Taxonomy (NCBI): domain Eukaryota; kingdom Metazoa; phylum Chordata; class Mammalia; order Primates; family Hominidae; genus Homo; species Homo sapiens. Next base: position 80,538,954 of record NC_000005.10, read on the forward strand.
TCTGTTCTTTTCTTTGCTTTTTTTTTCTTTTCCTTCCTCTTTTTTTTTTTTTTTTTGACTTAATACATGGTGGAGCTCTTTCTGAAGTAAACTTTCTTGTTTTTCTTTCCTAGGTGTATGATATTTATGTATGTACTATAATTGACTTGCCTCCTTTTGATGGGCATTTGGCATATTTCTAATATTTTATATTACATTGTTTTCGTGAATAACCTTATTGTAAATGTGTTATTTTTCATATGTACAAATATGTCATTTCCAACTCTTAAGATATTTTTGTCTATTTCCTCATCCACCTTCATAGTTTTTCCTTTTTAAATGTTCATGATATGCTATCTGTTGTGTACACATTCATACCTATTTTCTCTTCATTAAGAATTACACCTTTACCATGGTGTTCTTGGTCTTATTTAATGATTTTTTTTAACCTCAATTCCCGTTGTCTTTTTGTTCGCTTTGAATAACTTTGCCTCTTCCTTTATTTGAAAATTAATGGAGTTTTGTTTTTTTACTTTTTGTTTTGTTTTGTTTTGTTCTTGTTTTTGTTTCCTTTTTTGAGATGGAGTCTTACTCTGTAGCCCAAGCTGGAGTGCAGTGGCACTGTCTCAGCTCACTGCAACCTCCACCTCCAAGTCTCAAGCTATTCCTGTACCTCAGCCTCCCGAGTTAATGGGACTACAGGCGTGCGCCACCACACCCAGATAATTTTTTGTATGTTAGTAGAGACTTGGTTTCACCGTGTTACCCAGGGTGGTCTTGAACTCCTGAGCTCAGGCAATCGGCCTGCCTCGGCCTCCCCAAGTGCTGGGATTACAGGCATGAGCCACCGTGCCCTGCCTTTTTTTTTTTTTTAAACTGTCTTTTATAGGAGTGATTTACGATTATTTTTCAAAAGTTTTAAATTTACAGAAAAGTTGCAAAAACTACCACATCTCCTTCACCCAGATTCCCCAATTGTTTCCTGCATTTGTCCATTATTTCTCTATACATATATAATTTTCTATTTATGTTTTTCTGCATGAGCCTCATTATCCCTAAGTACTCCAGAGGATACCGCCCCAAAGAAGGACAGCTTCTGTATCACTGCCATGCAGCCTCCCAGTCAGGAAGTCAGCGTTGATACAACACTACCATACAGTCCACAGACCCCATTCAGATTCTACCAACCATTACAACAATACCCTTTTTCCTCTTCTGATCCAGAAAACTCTCCAAGAACATGCATTGAATTTAGTTATCGTATCTCCTCAGCCTCCTTCACTCTGTGATAGTTCCTGTTTCCTTCTCTGTCATATACTTAACAATCTTAAAGATCATGGAGACTTGAGAGGAGATCGTGGTAGAGCAGTGACACCAAGCTGCTTCCTCAGCTGCTGGCCATGTTTTATTTATTTGTTTTATTACACTGGAGTTTACTTTGTAATAATCTGATAAAATTTATATTTATGTTTTATGTACTTTTTTCTATGTGTTATTTCACAATAAAGAAGGTTAAAAAATGAAGTTTGAGAATTTATATCAATGAATGTTTTTCCATTCATTGATATAAATGTTTTTCCATCCATTTCCTCAGGCCGTTTTTTCCATTTCAGTCTGAATACAATGAAGTGAATATTAAAAAAGGCAAAATAATACTGGGAAGCTCTTCTTTTTACCTAAATGCTCATAACCATGTCTTTTTATAAGGTTTTTCACCATGGTGCCCAGATAAAGTAATAGAGATTCCATTTTAGCAAAAAATATAGGTTTCAGAACTAATTTTCACTTTTCTTTTTCTGTGTCCCTTAGCTGTAGTTTAAAATTCTTTTTGGTTTCTAATATGATACTGCTGTGGGGCAATATCCAAATTACTTTCCTCTGTTGTATTTCCAGAATGGTGTCGCCATCCTTAAGGGCAGGAATGTGTCAATATGACAAGAAAATATGCCTTGGTTAGGCAGTTATTTCTTATCATTAGTAGAAAAAATGCTTTGGAAATTTTCCCTGGATTCTGACAAGCTTATGGGGAATATAAATATGAAACTGCTTAACAGCTTTGCATTTCCCTAGACTTGAATGCAACAGTAGTAGTGTCACCAGAAGAAATAGAAGTGTACAGTTTAAGTAACATTAACATTCTGAGCATATTCTTACATCTATAATGAATTTACATAGGTTATTGGTTTTCAGCTCATCAGAAAAAGATCTAAATGTATTCTATTTGTCATTCTTAGTGAAATCTCTTGGCATTCTTGTATCTCATACAAAAACCTCCAAAAGAAACAGCAGGGCCTCCGTATATGATTCTAAGTATTGTGGATGTCAGTGACATTTGTGTCTCTTCACAATCCCTTCCCATTGTGCTTTTCACCCTGACCAGGCTCCTGAACAAACCCAGGTTACAGATTCCTCCATCAGCAACATAGTCTCTTCGATTCCTTTTTCCAAAATTAGAACCATTTCCCATGCCACTCATCTGGTTTCTTAGTCCATTTAACAGTCCTGCAATTCAGATAGAGCAGTTATGTCGTTTAGACAACAGCAGTATGAATGTTTTTTTGTCTCTAGTCCCTCTTGATGAAAGAATGAAATATGAAAGTACAGTTACACCATTGCTGATTAATTTTTTCATCTGAGTGCATTTGAGTTAGAGATAAATGAAAGCATTTTTAGGCTTATTGGAATGACTCATCGCTTTCTTCCACTTTTAACTGTATAATTCTGTTTTATTTCAATGCAGGTACAGCCTGACTATTTGGACTGGAAAAAATGATAACTATTCCGTTGAAGATTTACTTTACATTAGAGACCATTTTGACAAAAAACAAGTTTTCTATGACATCTTGGAACCACAAAACCATGAATTTAAACAAGCCATTGGAATCAAAGTTAATCTCTAAGAAGAAGATTCTCAATTATTTCCTGTGTTTTGGTTTCATAATCCTTCTCTCCATTGGTCTGAATTAATTACCATATAAATTATGGTTATTGATTGACGTTCCAAGTCATCTAATCAAGAAACGTTTATTGTATGCTTACTCTGTGGGCATATGTCCTTATAATAGTGCACTTACATAAAAGATTTGGAAAGAAGAGATTTATTTACACACGTGGCCTAGTCTAATAATAATTCAGGAAAATGATACTCTGCACCCCTTCATAAAAATAGTTTTGATAAACTAAAGATGATTGGCAGAATCCATATGTCATAAAACAGGTATAAATCACATGTGCTTGGCACTTGCATTACAGAGATTATGAAAAATATGGTACTCTTTTCCTTTTTCCTAGAAAACTGGTTATTTTAGAGATAACAAAAAAGGAAGAGGGCTTTTAAAATGTTTTTAATTTTCACAGGGGTCAGCAGCTGTCTCATATCAAGATCTATTAATCCATTTCCTGAAACTGTAGATTAAATTAGATAGATCTAGAATTTCCATGTGATTGAGAAGCATGCTAGTGGCTAAGTGTTTTTTTTATATTTCTTATTTCTATAGTATCTGATTTATAGTGGACAATATACTGTTGGAGAGCAGTTTTAGTCTTTGTTATGTATCATTTGTTTTCCAAGTTTCTTACTGCCACCACCTTCATTCAGGTCCTTGTTCTACTAGTAAAACTTTATGAACTACTTTTTTCACGGCTCATTCCTCACATTCTACTCAGAGATCTGAGTTTTTCTGCTAAACAAAACTTTCTTTTCTTTTCTTTTTTTATTTATAATAATAATAATTATTATTATTATTTTGAGATGGAGTCTGTCTCTCTCACCCAGGCTGGAGTGCAGTGGCGTGATCTTGGCTCACTGCAGGCTCTGCCTCCCAGGTTCATGCCATTCTCCTGCCTGAGCTTCCTGAGTAGCCGGGACTACAGGCGCCCCCCCACCACGCCCGGCTAATTTTTTATTTTTTTAGTAGAGACGGGGTTTCACTGTGTTAGCCAGGATGGTCTCTATCTCCTGACCACATAATCTGCCCTTCTCAGCCCCCAAAGTGCTGGGATTACAGGCGTGAGCCACCACGCCTGGCTTTTTTTTTTTTTTTTTTTTTTTTTTTTTGAGACAGAGTCTTGCTCTGTTGCCCAGGCTGGAGTGCAGTGGTGTAATCTTGGCTCACTGCAATCTCTGTCTCCCCAGTTCAAGTGATTCTCCTGTCTCAGCCTCCCAAGTAGCTGGGACTACAGGTGTGCGCCACCACACCCAGCTAATGTTTGTATTTTTAATAGAGATGGGGTTTCACCATGTTGGCCAGGCTTGTCTCAAACTCCTGACTTCAGGTGATCCACCCACTTCGGCCTCCCAAAGTGCTGGGATTGCAGGTGTGAGCCACCACACCCAGCCAAAACTTTCTTAAATACCTCTTTCTTTATGCCAAATCAAAAACCTTCAAGGGCTTAAACTCAATTTTACTCAGTTTTCCTCTTTCAAGACCCTTCATAATGCAGTCCCACCTAAAAGTCAGTTTGTTGTGCTCCAGCACGGTTCTTCATTTAAAAAATTTATTCAACATCAATGGTTTCTAGATCCTACTTTAACCATTAATCTTAACTATTTAGTTATTTCACTAATTGACACGTGCATGTTAGCTATGTCTCCTCAGCTAGACTGTAAATTCCTTTATGGCAAAGGTTCATGCTTAAGTATCTTTTACAGTGCCTGGCATAGTCCTGAGAAAAACATCCAGAAAAATATGTTGCTGCTTTGATTTATTAACAAGTAATTTACTAGTGAATGTCCTAAAAGATGTAATTTGCCTTTTGTCAATCAACCATTTTTCTCCCAGAGAATAACATAGTTCTATATAGAGAAAAGATCTTGGGTTTTGAATTCAGACAGATTTTCTTTACAGCCCCACCTCTATCCCTTACTAGCCATAGACTTTGGGAAATCTTTAATGCCATTGACTCCAGGCTCACTTGTCTATAAAGTGGAGGTGGGGGAATAAAATTTCTCTTGTAGGGTTGTTGTGAGGATTATGTGAGATTCATGTAGTAGAGATATCTAGCTCAATGACATAGTGAATGCTCAGCAAAGTTACTCTTCTTTTAGACTTATCCTGTGATCATGTCCATTATAGCTAGATAGCACTAAGAGATACAACATCAAACATTGTAGACATATAAATACTTAAAGACAATTATAGTATTTCCACTTGAAAATTCAGCTCTAGTCAAATGGAATGCTTCTTGTCAAATCATACCTAAAACTTTACTATCCATGGTTGTTTGCCAAAGACAAAAGGTGCAATTTCATTATAAAATTTCAACTGCTATAGAAAATAACTTTTTAAATTATAGTAAATTAATTTATAAATTTTCTACAAAGACCATGCATTACTAAAGACAGGTGAATTTATAAATAAACTGCCTTTTGTTGAAGTTCAAAGTAAAACTCACTTGTCCAGAATATTATTTTTACTACTTAATTGTCCTACCTTTGATAATTTTTTTAAAATATTAATATTATGGTAAAATTATATATTGAGAAATCTATAAGCCTAATATCACTTAGTTTTTTTTTTTTTTTTGAGACAGAGTCTAACTCCGTCACCCAGGCTGGAGTGCAGTGGTACAATCTTGGCTTACTGCAACCTCCACCTCCCAGGTTCAAGTGATTTTCATCCCTCAGCCTCCCAAGTAGCTGGGATTACAGGACTGTGCCATCACACCTGGCTAATTTTTGTATTTTTAGTAGACAGGGTTTTGCCATGTTGGCCAGGCTGGTCTGGATGGAACTCCTGGCCTCATGTGATCTGTCCGCTTTGGCCTCCCAAAGTGCGGGTATTACAGGCGTGAGCCACTGCATGCAGCCTCACTTAGATTAATATTTAAAGGTGTATTTTAAACTGTTCTCAGGAACAAAAACGCATAAGAGAATTATAAAATGTATTCTGTTGGAAAGTAAAATTTTAATAGCTATCCATATGGAAAAAAATAACCTTGATCCCTACCTCATGCCATATACGAATAATTTGAGATGGATCTTAGGCCAAAATGTGAAAGCTAAAACCTTAATGCATTTAGAAGAGAATAAGGGAGAATGTTTTCAGGACTTTGGGGTAGGCATAGGTTTCTTGTAACCCAGAAAACACTAGCCATAAAAGGAAACATTGATAAATAGACTTTATCAAAACTTAAAACTTCTCAGAAAAGACACCATTGACACATATCTGACAGAGGGTATATTACTCCTTTAAACTATAAGAAAAAAACCCAAAAAACTGACTAAAAATGGGCAAAAGACTTGAATAGATACTTCACACAAAAAAAATAATTCAGATGGCCAAAAGAATATGAAAAGGAACTCAACAGTATTCCTTATTCAGGAAAGACAAGTTTAAGCCACAATAAATGCCAGTACATACCCACCAGAGAGGTTAATATTATAAGGACTAAAAACACCTTTTAGGAAAAAAAGGAAAACAGTTTGGCAGTTTCTAATAAAGATAAGTATATCTCTACCTTAAGACCCAGCCACTCTATCTGTAGCCATATACTCAAGAGAAAAGAGCTCATGTATTTACATTAAAAGACTTGTAAAAGAATGTTCATAAAAACTTAATAGCCAAAAACTAGAAACAACCCCAATTTTCATCAGTAAGAGAATTTATAAATAATGGTAGACTCATACAATGAAATTACTACACAGCACTAAAACAGTTTGAACTGATGTAACAATAAAGGTTATTAACAACATCATGCAAAAAAAAAGGCACAAATGAATACATATTCTCTGGATCCATTTATATGAAGTTAAATAATAGTCAAAACTAATACATGGTGCTAGAAGTCAGAATAGTAGTAACCTATACGGTTCTGTCGGGTTTTGTCTGGGATGGAGCATGTTGGAACTTTTTTGGGTGTTGAAAATGTTCTCTATCTTGTTCCGGGAAATGGTTATTTTGATGTGTACATAGGCAAGGCAAAAAACTTATTGAGTTGTCACATTTAATATTTGTGCATTTTACTGTATGTAAATTATATATCCATTTTCAATATATTTTAAAGGCCTTGATGTACAGAAATGCAATAGAATACTATGCAGAAACTTTTTAAAATTTTTTATTTTTTTGATACAGCATCTCGCTCTGTTGCCCAGGCTGGAGTGCAGTGGAATGATCTCGGCTCACTGCAACTTCTACCTCCCAAGTTCAAGCAATTCTTCTGCCTCAGCCTCCCAAGTAGCTGGGATTACAGGCATGTGCCACCATGGCCAGCTAATTTTTTTGACTTTTGATAGAGATGGGATTTCACCATGTTGGCCAGGCTGATCTCACACTCCCGACCTCAGGTGATCTGCCCACCTTGGCCTCCCAAAGTGCTGGGATTACAGGCATGAGCCACTGTACCTGGCCCAACCTTTATTAATGTGGGAAGATGTTACAGCATACTGCAGGTTGTAAAAGAGCATATATATGGCCAGGCATGGTGGCTCACACCTGTAATCCCAGCACTTTGGGAGGCTGAAGTGGGCAGATCACAAGGTCAGGGAGTTCAAGGCCAGCCTGGTCATCATAGTGAAACCCCGTCTCTACTAAAAATACAAAAAATTAGCCAGGCATGGTGGCGGGTGCCTGTAATCCCAGCTGCCCAGGAGGCTGAGGCAGGAGAACCGCTTGAACCCAGGAGGCAGAGGTTGCAGTGAGTGGAGATCACGCCACTGCACTGCAGCCTGGGCGACAGTGTGAGACTCGGTCTCAAAAAAATATATATATATAGATAGATTTAAAGATATATATCTTTGTATGTGTAGAAAATTTTTGCAAAGAAGTTCAAATGCACAACATAATAGTTAAGTGCCACCTATTTTTTCCCTCTAAGTTGATGTCTAATATAGTGGTGTTGAGATCACATATCATCCAAAGGCTATTTCTCAAGAGTGGTAGAGTAATCCTAATTCCAGAAGAGACTTTAATAAGAAAATCAATTGTTCAAAAATTCAAAGGCTTCTAATAAAGGGTAGCTTATTGTCCTGTAAGAGTGGTATAATTTGTTAATTAGCCAGGTATGTACTTATCCAGTGGGAAATGATTAAAAGTAATTTGGAACAGTTTGTAATTTGCTTGTTTGTTGGAGTTGGGGTCATGGGTTGTTGTTGTTTTTCTGTAATTACAAAGAAAATTAAGTACCTAGTCAATATATAGACAAATGCTGTATCTCCGACCTTGTTATTTAGGGCAAGATCCAAGGGAGCTCCCAGACCTCAGCAGCAAGAGCTCGGGCTCCAGTGTCCTAGTGTTTCACATCAGTGCCACTGTTACTTTTCATAGTAATTACCTCTTTATACCCATCAGCTTTTGGTCTGGGGAACCAGCTTGTCCAGCCACCTGTATCTTTCATGAGGGAATCTCATGTCAAGACGTCACAGCTCAGTAGGAACTTGGGGGGCAGATGGGGAGAGAAGGGGCAGGCATCTAAGCAATGTCTGATGTGCTCAGGCTGCGTGAATAATTCCAAAATTGTCCCTATATGATTCAGAAATGGAGCTTACAGTAATCTAGTCATGGGAGAGAGACCCGTAAGTGATAAGTTGAATATTTGCTAAAACTCCTATGATGGAATAACACATGGCTTGCGGTATAGTCCCCAAAGAGACAGCAGTCTATTTTAACTGGGAGGGAACACGAGCTGTGTCTTAAAAGATGAGTAAGATTCACTGGGTAGACTGACAGGGGAAGGACCTTTCAGACCCAGGCACCTGAGCCAAGTGGGAAAGAGCCTGATCGACCTGCTCAGAAATGTTTTTTGGGGCATCATACTGTGAGACAGAACCAGATTTATTTTCTGTAGTGAAGAGTTGGCTTCTTTTCTCTGAGGGAGTGGGAGTTATTGTACTACTTTAAGTAGGGAAGCATTATTATCAGTTTTGAATGTTAGAAAAGTGATTATGATGGTGAGAAGGAGGAAATCAATTGGGAGATTTGGAGTCCTCAAAGTGAAAGAAGATGAAGGCCTGAATTAAGGTGACACCAAAAGGGGATGGAGAGGCTCAAGAAATAAAGGTTATGGCTGGGCGCGGTGGCTCACGCCTGAAATCCCAGCACTTTGGGAGGCCGAGGCGGGTGGATCACGAGGTCAGGAGTTCAAAACCAGCCTGGCCAGCATGGTGAAACCCCATCTCTACTAAAAATACAAAAATTAGCCGGGCATGGTGGCGCATGCCTGTAGTCCCAGCTACTCAGGAGGCTGAGGCAGAAGAATCGCTTGAACCCGGGAGGCAGAGATTGCAGTGAGCTGAGATTGCACCACTGCACTCCAGCCTGGGCGACAGAGTGAGACTCCATCTTAAAAAAAAAAAAAGAAAAGAAAAAAGAAGAAAAGGTTAAAAACGGAGAATTTGTAGTTGAATGAGTAGTATGGGGGAGAGGGAGGAGTCTAGTATTTTTAGATTGGGTGACAGAGTGTCAGGTAATACCACTGACCCCATCAGGATGGAAAGGAGCCAGGTGTGGCTATATTTCTCAGTGGCTCATTGATATTACTTCATACCAACTTGGAAAGAAAAATGAAAATCCTATCTGCCTGACCCTGAACTCACTCTAAGATACTTTTTTTTTGTATTTAATCCTGCCAGTTTCTTTTTATTATTATTTTTTATTTTTATAGGTTTTGGGGGAATAGGTGGCATTTGGTTACATGAGTAAGTTCTTTAGTGGTGATTTGTGAGATTTTGGTGCACCTATCTCCCGAGCAGTGTACACTGAACCCAATTTGTAGTCTTTTATCCCTCACCCCTTTCCCACCTTTTCCCCAAGTCCCCAAAGTCTATTGTATTATTCTTATGCCTTTGCATCCTCATAGCTTAGCTCCCACTTATAAGTGAGAACATACGATGTTTGGTTTTCCATTCCTGAGTTACTTCACTTAGACTAATAGTTTCCAATCCCTTCCAGGTTGCTGTGAATGCCATTAATTCACATTCCTTTTTATGGCTGAGTAGTATTTCTCATACACACACACACACACACACACATATATATATATATATATATATATATATATATATATATATAGTTTCTTTATTATGCACTAATTGATCGGTGGGCTTCTGGGTCGGTTCCACATTTTTGCAATTGCGAATTGTGCTGCTATAAACATGCATGTGCAAGTGTCTTTTTTGTATAATGACTTCTTTTCCTCTGGGTAGATACCCAGTAGTGGGATTACTGGATCAAATGGTAGTTCTACTTTTAGTTCTTTAAGAACTCTCCACACTGTTTTCCACAGTGATTGTACTAGTTTACATTCCCACCAGCAGTGTGGAAGTGTTCTCTTTTCACTGCAGCAACGCCAACATCTATTATTTTTTGATTATGGCCATGCTTGCAGGAATGAGGTGGTATTGCATTGTGGTTTTGATATGCATTTCCCTGATCATTAGTGATGTTGAGCATGTTTTCATATGTTTGTTGGTCATTTGTATATCTTCTTTTGAGAATTGTGTATTCGTGCCCTTAGCCCACTTTTTGATGGGATTGTTTTTTTTCTTGCTAATTTGTTTGAATTCATGGTAGATGCTGGACATTAGTCCTTTGTCATATGTATAGATTGTGAAGATTTTTCTCCCACTCTGTGGGTTGTCTGTTTACTCTGCTGTTTCTTTTGTTGTGCAAAAGCTCTTTAGTTTAATTAAGCCCCAGCTATTTATCTTTGTTTTTATTCTATTTGTTTTTGGGTTCTTGGTCATGAAATCCTTGCCTAAACCAATGTCTAGAGGATTTTTCCGATGCTCTTCTAGAATTTTAATAGTTTCAGGTCTTATATTTAAGTTCTTGATCTATCTTGAATTGATTTTTGTATAAGGTGAGAGATGAGGATCCAATTTCATTCTTCTACATGTGGCTTGCCAATTATCCCACCACCATTTGTTGAATAGGTCGTCCTTTTCCCACTTAATGTTTTTGTCTGCTTTGCTGAAGATCAGTTGGCTGTAAGTATTTGGGTTTATTTCTGGGTTCTCTATTCTGTTCCATTGGTTTATGTGCCTATTTTTATACCAGCACCATGCTGTTTTGGTGACCATGGCTTTATAGTATAGGTTGAAATCAGGTAGTGTGATGCCTCCAGATTTGTTCTTTTGGCTTAGTCTTGCTTTGGCTATGTGGGCTGTTTTTTGGTTCCATATGAATTTTAGGATTGTTTTTTCTAGTTCTGTGAAGAATGGTAGTGGTATTTTGATGGAAATTGCATTGAATTTGTAGATTGCTTTTGTAATCCTGCCAGTTTCTTAAAGACCATCCTTCTCCCCCAGTGCCTCCTCTTGTAATGTCTACCACATATTTGAATGGTTTCAAGGCTGGGCACGGTGGCTCACACCTGTAATCCCAGCACTTTGGGAGGCTGAGGTGGGAGGATCCCTTGAGTCCAGGAGCTCGAGACCAACATAGCAAGACCCCATTTCTATGAAAGAGAAAAAAAAGTTTTTTAGTTATTTCATAATATTAAACAATAAAACTATCCACACAATTCTACCTTTAGAGTGGAGAGAAAGCAAGCAGAGCTTGAAAGGGGCTCACCCAGCCACCTCTCCTCTCAAGAAAACTGCCTTTGGTTTCTATACTTCTGCTTGCCGGAGGAGCCGGTCTAAATCTGGCAACTAAGCTGTTCTGGGTTTGATTGCTACTGTTGAATCTTCACTGAAGCTGGTCATTGCCCCTTTCTTCTTTATCCCTTCCTTGGAGTGAAATAATATAATCAAGTTCAAAAAATTTAATTGAAATATTCCATGTGAGAGTCTGTTGCCCTTTGTCAGTTCAGGGGCTAATGGGAAAACTCTGGCTTAGAGTAGAGTGAGCTCTTCAAGCAGCCTATGCAGCTCTGCCCCCCGTCTGGGGCAAGGAGTGTTTCTTGACTTCTCCAGGCAGTTGTGTGGGCTTTATCCCGATGCTGCCCCTTCCAATGGCTGTGGGCAAGAAAGTCAAGCTGAGTGCAGTGGCATGTCCCTGTAATCCCAGCTACTCAGGAGGCTGAGGCAGGTGGATCGCTTGAGCCCAGGAATTCCAGACCAGCTAAGTACCTGGTGGTGCACCCCAATCCTTCATTCTTGGGGGTTCTGAGGCCTTGATACTCCTGCTTGTGTATAATTGAGATAATCTACATTTGTGTCTGGCCATGATAGTATAAGGGGGTCCCCAGTGGGTTCCTCAGATTCCACCCATGCTCCTTGTAGCTCCTATTTTGCGGTTCTGAGAATCACTCTAGCAAACACCATGACCCCTTTATCTTTATCTCCTATGAAGGAAACTGGAACGACCAGGTAGTTATCTCAGCTTCCATTTCAGGGGAACTACCATAGTATCCTTTGGTGGAAGTATTCTTCCCTTGGATGCCAAATTATTGATAGCAGTGGTATCCGTATCAGTAGGGCTCAGAGTTGCAGGGGTAGGGTAGCAATTTTTTTTTAATTGACAAGAAAATCCTTTTCAAAATGTATTCAACTTCAATCATTCGTTTTCAACTTTTTCTGCTAAATCTGGAACTGTTAGTAAGGATTGTCTCAAAGAACTGTCTTTTCAAAAAGACTTTAAAGATTATTCAGTAAATGGAATCTTTTTTGTTAAATCTCTGATTTAACCTCTCCTCTTCCATGTCCATCTCCTCTTCCTCTTTCCAAAAGTGGTGACTCAGATCTTCCTAGGACAGGCTTTTCCATAGATAGACAGCTCCAGTAGCTAAGAGAGAACTGAAATATTTCTGTAACTTAATTTTCTGGTTCTAACTTATCTTTATTTGGAGGACTCTGAATAAGTCATTACATTGGTTCTGTTAGTATCTAAGGCCAGCCATCTAATCTCAACTGAGTCTTTTTATCTCCAAGCTAAGCAACAATTCTTTTACTTATTTAAAAAAAATGTTTTAGATTCTATCATTTTTCATCTTTTACTGCATATTCTTTAGTTTAAGATGTGGTATCTAGAATTAAAAACACTATTTCACATTTGATCTATGAGTGCTAAGATTCAGGAGTAGACACTGATTAAATAATGTAGTCAGGCTGTTAGCACTCCCAACAAACCTGCATTAGTTAATTAACTGCCATTTTTCCCCACGTTGTTTCAAATTAGGATCATTAAGATGGAAAGCATCCCTTCAGTGATTATGAGAGACGTAAGAGAGAAATAAAGGTTTTATTACTTACAGGTCCTGCGGTACACAGCATACCTGGAGCCCACATGCAGGGATGTCAGGGAGTGCATGGAGAGAGAGAGGAAGGGACCCGTGGGTCAACACCTTTATTGGGTCCAGGGTGTTAGCCAAACAGGTTTCCCAGGGGGAGTTTGAATTGGTGAGTTTAAGGCATGGGTTCTAGGAGGTCACATGGTGACTAAGAGGTGACCGCTGTGGCACATATGCACAATCCATGTGGGGTGTGAGTGTCAGTGGGGCCAGTTAAGCAGGGTGTATCTAGTTGTTCCATAGGGAAGTCACCAGGAAGCAGTTACATAATGTAGATACCTGGATCGACCAGGCTGAGGAACTGGGGGGCGGTGTAGAACTAGTAGTGTGTCAAGGGTGACTGAATCTTGCTTCTGGTATGAGAAAGTCCAGCTTATATTCAAAATGGATGCTGAGGTAACATAAGATTTTAAGAATTCACTAAACATATAAATTGCTGATCATCCTAATCTTATACAACTGATTTCAAAACCTAAATGTGGGTATTTATGATGCTTAAGCTTTAGGTTTTTTGTTTTGATCCATTGTTCCAGCTAATCAACACTCTTTTGGATTGTTTTTGCGATTTGTCGTGTTAGCTATTCTTCCCAGTTTTTCCTTTCCTGGCCTTCTCTTTAAGAATGATCACCTGAGGTCAGGAGTTCGAGACCAGCCTGACCAACATGGCGAAACCCTGTCTCTACTAAAAATCCAAAAATTAGCTGGGCGTGGTGGTGGGCACTGGTAACTCCAACTACTCAGGAGGCTGAGTCAGGAGAATTGCTTGAACCTGGGAGGTGGAGATTGCAGTAGCCGAGATAGTGCCATTGCACTCCAGCCTGGGTGACAGAGTGAGACTCCATCTCAAAAAAAAATAAAAATAAAAAAAAAGACAAAAAAGAATGGTAGATATTCAGGCTGGGCACAGTGGCTCGTGCCTGTAATCCTAGAACTTTGGGAGGCCAAGGCAGGTGAATCCCTTGAGGCCAGGAGTTCGAGACCAGCCTGGCCAACATGGCGAAACCCCATCTCTACTAAAAATACAAAAATTAGCCAGGCGTGGTGGTGGGCGCCGGTAATCCCAACTACTCAGGAGGCTGAGGCAGGAGAATTGCTTGAACCCAGGAAGCAGAGGTTGCAGTGAGCCAAGATTGCGCCATTGCACCCCAGCCTAGGCAACAGAGCGAGACTCCATCTCAAAAAAAAAAAAAAAGAATGCTAGACATTCAAGCTGAGCGCAGTGGCTCGTGCCTGTAATCCCAGCACTTTGGGAGGCCAAGGCAGGCAGATCACTTGAGGCCAGGAGTTCAAGACCAGCCTAGCCAACATGGTAAAACCCCGTCTCTACTTAAAAGAAAAATTTAGCCAAGCGTGGTGGTGCACGTCTGTAGTCCCAGCTGCTCAGGAGACTGAGGCAGGAGAATCGGTGGAACCTGGGAGGCGGAGCTTGCAGTGAGCCAGATCAGGCCACTGCACTCCAGCCTGGGTGACAGAGCAAGACTCCATCTCAAAAAAAAAAAAAAAAAGAATTGTACACATTCAAAGAAGGTACACAAAGAGACAGGATGTCCTTGGGGAGGCCAGTGGGCAGCGCCAATAAATCTGGTGGGTTTGTGATGGTCTACCATCTGGCCCTTTTGGAGAATTAGAAATGGGATCTGAGGAATATTGGCATAAGGCTATATAAGCTCAAATATTATCATCCCCAATTGCACTATGTCTTCTTGTTTTAAAATGTAGGTGACACGGTTTGGCTCTGTGTCCCCACCCAAATCTCATCTTGTAGCTCTCATAATTCCCACGTGTTGTGGGAGGGGACCCAATGAGAGGTTATTGAATTATGGGGGTGAGTCTTTCCTAGTGCTGTTCTCGTGATAGTGAATGGGTCTCAGGAGATCTGATGGTTTTAAAATGGTTTTAAAAATGGGAGTTTCTCTGCACAAGCTCTTTGCCTGCTGCCATCCATGTCTTGCCTTCCAACATGATTGTAAGGCCTCCCCAGCCACGTGGAGCTGTGAATCCTATTAAACCTCTTTCTTTTGTAAATTGCCCAGTGTCAGGTATGTCTATCAGCAGTGTGAAAACGGACCAACACAGTAGGTTTAATTATTATTCAGGTATGGTGAGGCCAACAGATCAAGAGACAACTGATATTGGCTGAGCGCAGTGGCTCCCACCCCTAATCCCAGCACTTTGAGAGGTTGAGGTGGGCAGATCACTTGAGGCCAGGAGTTCAAGACCAGCCTGGCCAACATGGTGAAACCCCATCTCTACTAATAATACAAAAATTAGCCAGGTGTGGTGGTGCGCATCTGTAGTCCCAGCTACTCAGGAGGCTGAGGCAGGAGAATCTCTTGAACCCAGGAGGCCGAGGCTGTGGTGAGCCAAGATTGCACCACTGCATTCCAGCCTGGTGACAGAGCAAGACTCTCAAAAACTAAAGAGACGACAAAGTGATATTGAAAAAGAGTTTGTTACTCCCAGTTCCCAAGAGGAAACGGGGTTGGTGGCAAGGATGGTGGGGGGGGGATCACACTGTGCAGCACCACATGTGGAGAACCCAAGTTGGTTGGGAGGCAGGAGGAGCAAGGGGGAAAGGTGGGAAAGGGGCTTTATTGTGGTTTCGGTGGGAAGGAATGGGCAAGGCAAAATAAGCAGGTTTCCGGTTGGCTCATTTGAATAACTTCAGTGGGCTCTGGGGTGTAGGAGCTGTCTCTAGCTGTCTGGTTCCTGGCCCTGGGGTGATTAGGACAAGGGATGGCGACCCAGAGTGTGAGAGCCCTGTGAGAGCCTGATAAAGGAGATGTTTGGGGAATGGGCTCTGGATTGGTTGTTTTGCATATGGAAGGTGTGCTCCCTGGGTGAGCTGTTTTCTATCTCTAGGAATTAGTTAATCCTGGGAGGGGCTGTCCCTCCAGTGTCGGCAAGGTCTCAGGATGTCAAAGGCTCAAGAAATACAAAAATTAGATATGATGAATACTCTTACCAGCCTAACAGGCTTATTCTCTCCTTTAAGCAAACAATATGGGAATCAAATTATTAAAAGGCTACACAGTGGGTGATTAATCAGAATAAGGGTAGTTTTATTTGAAAATTTATAAGGTTCAACTTACTAGATGCCTGATAGGTGTGTTTCCAGCCAAGAATATGCCAGGCAGTTGTTTACCCCTTCCCTGGGCACTGCTTGGATGGGCACTGTCAACACCTTTCTCAGTAACTGGAGTTGCCCTTTGTCCTCGACAAAAGGACTCTGTACTCATTGGAAATCCTGGTCCCAAGTAACTAAGAATCGTACCTGTGAAACGAATAAATAAAATGTCATTATACCTGTAAGTTAAATCTACTCTTAAATGAAGTTAAAATATAACAAAAATGTATTTAAAAATATGTGCATATATACACGCCTAACTGCTGTTGCAAACATCTATAGGACCCACCATTGGGATCACAATGGTATATTTTACTTAATGGGGTGAAAAGTCTCACTAGATGGCTTTACTACCAGACTCAAACACCATAAGTGTTCTTAGGATTGCTAGTAGGTTTAAAACTCTTCCAAATATGGCCAAATTTTTTTTTTTTCTTTTTTTTTTTTTTTGAGATGCAGTCTTGCTCTGTCGCCCAGGCTGGAGTGCAGCCGTGCGATCTAGGCTCACTGCAAGCTCCGCCTCCCGAGTTCACGCCATTCTCCTGCCTCAGCCTCCCGAGTAGCTGGGACTACAGGCACCCACCACCAAGCCCGCTATTGTTTTTTTTTTTTTTTTTTTTTGTATTTTTAGTAGAGACGGGGTTTCACTGTGTTAGCCAGGATGGTTTCGATCTTCTGAACTCGTGATCCCTCCTCGGGCTCCCAAAGTCAAAAAAATTTATTTTTTTTTTTTAAGACGGAACCTTGCTCTGTCGCCCAGGCTGGAGTGGAGTGTCACGATCTCGGCTCACTGCAACCTCCACCTCCTGGGTTCAAGTGATTCTTGTGCCTCAGCCTTCTGAGTATCTGGGATTATAGATTACAGGCGCGCACCACCATGCCTGGCTAATTTTTTTTTTCTTTTTTTTTTTGTTTGTTTGTTTCCGAGACAGAGTCTTGCTCTGTCACCCAGGCTGGAGTGCAGTGGCGCAATCTTGACTCACTGCAACCTCCGCCTCCCGGGTTCAAGCAATTCTCCTGCCTCAGCCTCCCAAGTAGCTTGGATTACAGGCACGTGCCACCACCTCCAGCTAATTTTTGTATTTTTACTAGAGATGGAGATTTACCATGTTGGCCAGGCTGGTCTCGAACTCCTGACCTCATGAGGATCCACCAGCCTCAGCCTCCCAAAGTGCTGGGATTACAGGCGTGAGCCACCGTGCCCAGCATAATTTTTTGTATTTTTAGTAGAGACAGGGTTTCACCATGTTGCCCAGGCTGGTCTGGAACTCCTGACCTCAAGTGATCCGCCTGCCTCGGCCTCCCAAAGTGCCGGGATTATAGGCATGAACCACCGAGTCCGGCCAAAAAACATTTTTAAAATGCTGTTAAATATCTTTTTCATGTTGGTTTGAGAATAGCAACAAAAGTTATTCTTTCTTAGTTTTCTATTTATTCAAAGTAGCATGTGGCACAATTGCTCTTGAAATTATGTTGAAATATCATTAGTATTTGAAAGATAAATAAAAATCAGTAACCAAAATGATATTTAAAATCTTTATTGATACCATTTTGTTTATGAACTAATCTATTTACATACCCTTCCAAATTGTATCCTTACAACTTGAAGTCAAGTACTTTTCTCGATATTTAACTTGCAGAAAGCATTTAAATACCTATAAATATCAGGTACAATTCTAAGTTCTGAATCAAAAAATATTTCTAGTGTAATTAATATTAATGTTGTTCAAGACATGAAATGGAAAAACCTCTAATTACTTTTTAAAATAAAAGCCACAGTAATTAAATAATTACTATGTACATTACAACTTGCTTATATCAAATTACCAAGAAAAGCATCATGCCAATTGTTAGGATCACCTCTACTTGGAAGGCAAAGAAAGTTGTACGTGACAATCATCAAATTAATACACTTAGGTTTTGTATAGTCTGATTTATCCTTTGTTGTTAAGCTGCTAGACTGAAATAAGGATTCTTTGTATAAACATCATACTTTGAAGTTATATAGATGATATAATTATTACTTTATAATATTTTATAATACTAATATGGTATTCATTAATTTTGTTGGAAGTTATTCACAGGTCCTAAAATACTAAATGATTGGAATGTCACACTAAGGAAGTTATCCTTAATATATAAATGTCTAATAACTACATATCAGAAATAAAAAGGCATTGTTTAATATTGCCAAATATTTAGTACATTTTGTGATTAAGTTTCTACTGCCTCTATTAATTTTAGCTAACCTAATCTAATCATCAGTTTTTCTTTTTAAAAGAAGGCAAGCGCTTAGTTTTTATCCATGATGAATTTTTTTTTTTTGGTTCTTTTTGAAAGACAAGAATAATTTGATATAAGTAAAGAGGAATGCTTTTTAACTTTTATATCATCTTGTCTTTGGAAACTTATGGATAAGCTTCCAAAACTAATAACAGGAATTAAAAGATGATATGGAGAAAGAATAATTCCTTAAAAGATATGGAGAAAGAATAATTCCGTAAGATAACTTTACAGGTAAGTCTGTTTAAAAACCAAAACAAAGCAAAGCAAAACACAGTGCACAAACAACAAGACCCGGCATAGATTACTAGTAGGTTGTAAAACTCTGACTTGCCAGTTTGACACTAATTAAACTGACACCACGAATATTTTAGTTGCCCATTCTAATACAGTGTTTAACCTTTTAAATTTTTAATTAGAGTTTTATCTATCTTCAGTCAACATTTGTAAAGAATTAGTTCATTCTTTCTTTGTAGCTCGAGTTTTTTTATCTTAGAACATTTTACAGCTGTCGGTGTTTTCTTTTATGGTTTAGAGATCATAAAAAATTTCAATCTCATTTATTAACATGAAATGTTAAAAAAATTATTGACTTGAAAACTGTTTCCTAATAAAATATTTAGCCAATCTGAAAATTTTTAAAAATTACCCCAACATACGTGGCCTTCTTTCTTTGATTTTTTTTTAATGACAAATTTGGACTACATGGAGATTGTTAAATATTAGAAGCATTGAGAAAAATCGCTTTCCTTTTGTTTGAGAGAATTCCCTTAACAGAAACTATGTATTATTTTTTATGCTCATGACGCCTAGTACAAATCACATTACATTTTAATCCATCTAGCCATTATGGACTAACCAATCACGAGATTTAAAAGAATGAACATTTAAGATTTCTTCTCTAGTTCTTTGTTTCTCTGATATAAACATTTGAAGAAGATGTGTTTTATACCCATCTCCTAGAAGTTTACTAATTGCTTAATTTGTTCAGTTTGCAATGATTGTCTCCTTAACAACATTTTCTTACTTTTGAATTCTTTAGGGAAAATCGGAACTGTTGGCATAAGCACTTTTTGACCACAAGAAAGAAGGCTGCAAATCTTGTTGTTGACATTGATATCTGAGATGGGAGGGTGAGAATTTACATTTAAGGGTGGGAGAAACCCTTGTCTGGTTTGGGTAACACTGTGATCTAAAGGGAAAGCTCCTGAACCTCGCCTTTCTAAAACTGCATGATTTCTCCTGCTCAGGGGACCTGGGGGGATATTCTCCAACAATTCTTTGGACTCTGACAATTGGGAAGGAGATGGTGAGAGGATCTTTTTCTTTCCTATAAGTGCTTTGCCGTCTTCTGAAGTTGGAGGGGTAAGGCCAGCTGAGAGCTGGGAATCAGAGCTGTAGTGATTTGCCCCCAAGTTTCTTTTTTGAACTATACTTCTTAAGGTGGAAGCAAATATTGTCTGGTTAGAATCTGGGTCCTGGTCAACAGGGACTTCAATGCATTGCTGATTTCCTTCTGAAAGATAAGATTGACAATTTATTTCATCATATGACATCTTCCTTGAGCTGGCCTGATCAAAGGCTCTTAGCAAATGTGCAGTGTCTTTTACATCAATGCTTTGGTGCCTAGTGATGAACCGCTTGGAAAGTGCCAGCCCATTGGTTTTATAGGATAGTTCTTCCTCTGGTGTAATATCCTGGAGCTCCTCTTGCAATGAAGCCACTCTGTTCTGGTGCATTAATAATGGGGGACTCTTGACCCAGGGTGGAGCGTGGGGGAGCTTGGGCCCCTTAGGGGCCAATGCAGGTTTCCTCACAGGGGAACCTGGGTCCCAGGTATCATCATTGCTTCCAGCAAGCTCAAGATCTTTAAAGCCAAAAAGCGTCAGTTCCGTTTCAGAAGAATGTGAAAGTGGCGATGAGGCAGTTTTGATGTCTATTTCTGAAGGAGTGGTGCAGGTAGCTGGGGAATGACACCCATCTATATCCACAGGAGGCATATTTAAGTATTGTTTAGTAGTATGCTTCCCACAGGGCAACTTTGCTGTTGTGATGATGATGACCTCTTTCCCTTTTGCCTTGCAAGCACTAAGAAGAACTTTCAGGGTCTCTGTATCTTCTGAATTTATAGCATAAACAAGAGCTGAGTAACTAGAATGGTCTTGCAAGCTGAGGTCAGCCCCACTCTTGAGGAGCAAGGAAACAACTTCAGGGCCAGCTTTTTCTAAGCAAGCATGCATCAGAGCCGTTTTCCCAGATTTGTCCTGTATGTTGGGATCGGCATTGTTCTCTAACAGGTATTTCACCATTTTGGCTTTACTGACACTCTGGTGATCGACATGTTTGGTCTTACAAGCGATCATTAAAGGGGTTTCCCCACGGTCGTTGCTCTCATTAATGTAGGCACCGCCTTCTAGCAAAAGTCTTGTGAGGCGAAGCCGGCTCTGATGGACTGCTTTGATCAAGGAATTTCCTTCACTTGAAATTTCCATACCTTCATCCATCTTCGGAGGTTAGAACTCAATACCTGGTTATCAAAGATGGCAAAGACCAAAAGATTAGCCAGAATCAGCATCCCAACTTATATTCATTTTGTCAGAATTAATTTTGAAAATATGTAGGGGACATAAATGGGATCATGCTATTAATAAATGCAGAACAAAATAGTGAATTGCAAAATAAAGTAAATTTTTGAATAATAATGACCTTTAGGAAATTACAAATTAAAATTTATTTTCAAAATCTTCATTGAATATTTATAGCACCAAAATAGTACTTTCCTAAGTCCCACATTAATTAAAAAATAATTTACCTGTGAAAAATAATTTTTAAATTAATAATATTAAAAAGCAAATTTAGGACAAGTACAGTGGCTCACATCTGTAATCCCAGCACTTTGGGAGGTTGAAGCAGGAGGATTACTTGAGGCCAGGAATTTGAGACCAGCCTGGGCAATGTGTAGTGAGACTCCATCTCTACCAAAAATAAGTTTTAAAATTAGCTGGGCATGGTGGTGTGACCTGTAGTTCCAGCTACTCAGGAGACTGAGGCAGGAGGATCACTTGAGCCCAGGAGTTTGAGGTTACAGTGAGATATGATCATCCTACCTGCACTCAGCCTGGGTGACAGAGTGAGAACCTGTCTCTAAAAAAAATTAATTAAAATGTAAATTTTAAAAAGTAAACTTAAGCCAAAAAGCCAAAATTCTGTTGTCATTGCAACTGAATCAATTAAAATATTGGTAGCTTAATGTAAAAACTTTAGTATTACATTACTTAAACATGCTCTTCAATTAAGTAATGCAAGTGATATCTAGACTTTCAATTTGAGGGACATTTTTATGTTTCTTTTGAAGGACGAAATATTGTTTGGGCTACAACGTGTTAAAATAACTGACATAATATCTGAAATTCACACTGAGATTGGAATGGTGAGCATGTGATTACGCATTTCTCTTGATTCTATTATTTAAATCATATACTGACCACATAACGAGGTTAGCAAGAACTATAGGGTTAAATTTTGACAACAGTATATCTGCTCTGAAAAAGGAGTTTCATAGGCAAGAAACCTGAAAGGAGCCATCCAGACTTTGTAAACATTTTAATTTTTGTTATTGAAACTAAAAAATATTTATGTTTAATTTATTTAAATATTTTAGATTTAGATTCCTTCAACAGATAATTCCATTAGGTGGTAAGAATTATGTCTTCATCGAGGACTAAGAAAATTTTTGTCTTTTAACAGTCCTTAGAGTTGGGAGGGGGAGAATCAGATGAATGTATATATAATATTTACATCTGTTTCATTGATTCAGTAGTTTTTGGAAACTGAAAACTATTGTTTATTCTACCTATTTACTTTTAAAATTAAGATTATGGGAAATAGATTTCTATTTGATAATAGAATAGATAACAAATCTAATAACCAAAAGAAAGAAGAGATGAAGAGAGCAGAAAGAAAGGGAAGAAAAAAGAGAAAAGTAAGCATGCAGGCAGAAATTTCATTGTTAAACATCTACAAGCTCCTGACATGTGCTGGGCACTGAGCTACAAAGATACAAGCCCTATCTCTGAGGAGCTCACAGTCTTTTGGGAGAGATACTGTATAAGCAGCTGGTTACAGAGTCAGGAGAGCACAGAAGCTTTAACATCCTGGGGACCAAAAGGGGCTTCACAGAAGCCAACTATTTGAGTTGGGTCTTGAAGACTTTGTAAGAATCTGGCAGGCAGACAAAGGAGGAGGGAGAAATAGATAATACTCCTTTTGCAAAGACCTAGAGGCCTAAAATAGCGGTTATTTATAAGGAAACAGACTTTATTTACTTGGTTACAACCAAACTTCAGGAAAATATTTTAGCAGATAGTTAGGGTTAATATGGCAGAACACACACATCTAATTTTGCTTCTTCCTGAAAATCCTTAAAACCAAAGAATTTTGTCAAAGACAAAATTAAAGACAGAGGGAAGAGGAGAAGATGGCAGCAACAATATTTTGGAAGCCAGAAAGCAGATGAGCCAGTAGTAACTGACTCAGCGTGTGTGTGTGTGTGTGTGTGTGTGTGTGTGTGTGTGTGTGTGTGTGTGTGAAGAATACAGCTAAAATAAGGAGGAGTAGGTGAAAAGCTGTCAGATAAGCAGTTAGATTCCTAGGTCCTTGCTACTTGAGGTGTGATCCTACCCTGGCATCACCACCACCAGAAAACTCTTTTATATGCAGAATGTCAGCTCCACCCCAGAGCTACTGAATCACAGCCTATATTTTAACAAGATCCCCAGGTGATTTGTATGCACATTAAGGTTTGAGAAGTGCTACCTTAGGTCACTCCTCCAACTCCACTAGGCAGTCACTAGGAGATAGAAGACTACCCCTCCCGCTCTCTGGGATGTCTAGAGGTTTATTCTCAGGAAATGATGAAACAGAGCATCTCTGGACTTGGAGACACCAGGCATGTTTGAGAACAAGAAAACAGGGGAATAAGTGATTGCTTACTGACCACGGCTGAAGGGTCCCACAGCCTGCTTCCCCAGCTTGGCTTCGAGGAGGCCGGCAGCCACGCCCTCAGCCCTCAGGGATAAATTGCTATAGTGTTCTCTCAAGAATCTGACATGCCACCCAGGTCGTACTTACATTTGGTGCCACCGCGCCCAGCCTGTTCACTCACTTTTTAACATTTAGTAGAGAACTTTTGAAATTGTCTAAACATTAAACTTGTCAGGGAAAAAAGGTGTCAGATACTTTATTCTCCAAATGTACCCACATGTTTAGGTTCTTTCTGTAATCAGTACCCGAAATGAGGCTGAAAACGCAAGCCTCATTTGTGTGTTTAAGGCTTCTCATCAGCTTTTAATCCCAACCCTTTAACCATGAGCAGCCACACCAAAAATTTAAAAACAAACAAAAATGCCTCTTACATTAAAGATAGAGACTAGAACAAACTGAAAAAAGCAACTTGGAGGAAACATATTAATCGGAAAAATGAAAAGATGAAAAATTGAAAAAGATGAAAAATGAAAAGCTTTTGTCATACACTGGCAATATTGTCCTTTCTTTATTCATCTAATTTTGTACCTGCTACTAAGTTTTTAAAAAATAAATAATTATTTTACTTAGGGATCAAATATAAGGGGGAACCTGAAAAATTTTTTTAAAAGCAAAGGGAATGATTAATACAAACATCAAGAGACAGCTACTCCTTGGTAGAGATTAGGAGAACAATGCCGTTTGGGAGGGACAGAGAGAGGCCCGAAGGTTCAGGTGATGTTCTATTTCCCAGTCTGGGTGGTGCATAGGTGGGTGTCCATTCTATTCTTCTTCTTTAAACAGTACGCATTTCATGTACTCTTCTATATATCACTTTTATTTACTTATTGTAAAATAGAATGTGTGTGCAGAAAAGAGCATAGCATATATGTGAGATATACTTCATTATTAAAATTTACAAAGAGTCCTATTAGGTCTTCCTTTTAAAAGAGTCATTCAGTTCTCATGACATTATCTATGACATTTGTGCCTTGACTTTCACTGGAGTTTCAACAACTAAGCTCCTGAAAGGCAGTATTCAAAAGGACATAGTGTTCATCTCCACTGCAGTATCATTCATGATGCAAAGCAAAGAACTACTCAATATATACATACATAAATGCAATGAGAGTGAATGCTTTGATTTTATGTCCCCTGTGACATACTCTATAAAGGCTATCTTGGAGCCAGACATACCTGCAAGTCAGGAACTTAGGAATTTGGGATCAGTTGACAGCTTGGGTCCCAACTCAGAGGTCTATTCTGAATGCAAAGCATCTG
Source organism: Homo sapiens (assembly GCF_000001405.40). Classification (NCBI taxonomy): domain Eukaryota; kingdom Metazoa; phylum Chordata; class Mammalia; order Primates; family Hominidae; genus Homo; species Homo sapiens. The sequence continues at coordinate 80,563,819 of NC_000005.10, forward strand.
AAAAGAGCTCACATGAGACAGTGATCACAAAAGGATCATTTTAAAAGCATTTTTCATATATAAATGGGCTTAATAGATCATAGAAATGTAGAGAAATGAGCTGGAATGTAATATCAAATATAGAAACTACTTAGTAATTGCAATTCAATTGCTATACAGTATCAGTCATTTAAAAAAATTGTTTGACCAAAAGTAGCATTTGAGAAACAGATATTCAAATGAGAACAAGTTGCCAGATACCAGATTTCAATATTATACTCTCTTAGAGTTTCTAGTGTTTAGGTCAATCTTGTTTTTAGTTTTTAAAGTCTTAGCAGAATCTTTAGGGGAAGGTATTTTACTTAAAACATTTTTTTAAATATTTTATTTTATTTTTTGGCACAGGTTCTTGCTATATTGTCCAGGCTGGTCTTGATCTCCTGGCCTCAAACGATCCTCCCACCTCAGCCTCCCAAAGTGTTGGGATTACAGGTGTGAGCCGCCATGCCCAGCCAAGACTTTCTACTTTTCAGCTATCATCCTCCAGTAAAGGCCTTTCTCCACAACACTAAACCTGAGCACTTACTGTCACAGCTTTTCTTTCACCAAGGTTGGTGTCAGGAGGTTCTGGGAGAAGAAGAGGAGCCGGTACTATGCTGGCGACGGCCGTGCCTAAGGAGGACAGTGGCCCCATCACAGTCTTGTGGAAAAAGAGGGTGCTGTGGGCTCCAGGGTCTCAGAGAAGTTGAGCAGTGGAACCAACTCGCTGCCTAATCCACCTGCAATGTGGACATAGGCAGACCCTCTCCTCTGAGGACTGGGGGAGTGTCCAGCAAAACCAGCCCCATGAGGTTGACTTTTTCCTCATTATAAAGACTTTTAAAGCCACTTTGTTTGCTCACTTCTTTTTTTTTTTTTTTTTTTTGAGATGGTGTTTCGCTGTTGTTGCCCAGGCTGGAGTGCAATGGCACAATCTCGGCTCACTGTAACCTCCGCCTCCTGGGTTCAAGTGATTCTCCTGCCTCAGCCTCTGGAGTAGCTGGGATTACAGGTGTGTGCCACCACACCCAGCTAATTTTGTATTTTTAGTAGAGATGGGGTTTCTTCACGTTGGTCAGGCTGATCCCGAATTCCCAACCTCAGGTGATCTGCCTGCCTCAGCCTCCCAAAGTGCTGGGATTACAGGCGTGCGCCACTGCGCCCAGCCTGTTTGCTCACTTTTTAACGTTTAGTAGAGAACTTTTGAAATTGCCTAGACATTAAACTTGTCAGAGAAAAAAGGTGTTAGATACTTTATTCTCCAAATGTACAATACATGTTCAGGTTCTTTCTGTAATCAGTGCCTGAATGGAAGAATCCCCTTCTCTTTAGCCCTTCATCCTTTTCCAGGGGTTCTTTTATCTCACCTTCTCCATTTGTACATCAAAAACACTGATATTTATGTCTGACATATTTCCTTTTCATAGAATTGAACTCTACTTTTGACGAAGACCACTTCTCTTGCCTAGAACGTTCTTTCCTCCTTGGAGCATCCTGATTGGACACTGAGTGCTGATAGCATACTAACATCCAGTCAATCCCTTTGTTATGTCTAGACTATAAGCAATCCCCAAATTCAGTTGTACCTTCGATACAGATAATAGTTCAACTGCAGAAAGTTCAGGCATCCGACAGGTGTCAATCGTGACTCTCACACTTATTGGCTATGTGCCCTGATCAAGTCTCTCAGCCTCTAGGAGTCTTGAGTTCCTCATGCGTGGAATGACAATCATAGAACGTGCATTCCATGGGGATGTGGTAATGAAATCAGACACTGTCTAGAGAAATACTTTCTTGTTTTGTCTTCACACTCACTGCATTCTTCTTTTTTAAAGTGTTTATCTCAGAATTAGCTTTGTGAAATGTTTATCATCTCTCCAATCCATAGCCTATTTAAAATAACAGATAAAATACTGGAAATGTTGTTTTTTAAGGATCTCATATTTCTAAGATGCTATGCTTCTTCTCATTTGGTAAACATCAGTGGAATCTAATAAGCAAAACATGGAAAGAGCATATCCTTTAAGTATACTTCCCTTACAATTTCCAAATACTATCATTTCGACATTATTACAAGATATTAATTATTAAACAGCTGGATAAACTGCTTTTCATTCAAAAATTGCAGTGTCTTTAATATCACTTGCACCTCATCATGGCATATTTACGATGCTCCTTTAGTTCCTCCCTCTATGCCCAAGATGCCACCAAAATAATAAGCACTGAGTTATTTTTAAAAAATATTTTAAATATGTGTATTTTTAAGAACAAAGAAAATTGGAGGAGAGATACCATTAGATGAGCAATTTCAAACAAGCTCTGGAAATGGGGGGATGGTGGAGTGGCAAATGGCCTTAGCATAGCAGAGGAGGCTGCAGGACATAGACCCAGGGAGGCTGCTTACCCACAGGACCTGTGACATTTAGGACTTAGAGGTCCCAAGTGCCATAGAAAATGGCAATGAGTATCAGGGCTTAGAACAAGAAGATGATTGAAAGTCTGTGAACAGAACGACTGGACCCCTACATATTCTATCCCACCCCAGGAATCAGACAACCACTTTCCTAGGCAAGAAAATGAAGATTTATTTTCTAAATTGATCAGAAAGGCTCCAAACTTAGAGGCAGCTTGCTGAAAACAGGGATTCAGTGAGCATGTGCAGGCCAAACGTTGAAGTCCCCAGCTCCTTGCCCTGCTACGAGGGGACTGGAAGCCAGGAAAAGGAAGTAAGACACATTGCATCTTGGAAAGATGAGCCCTATTAAAAATATCTGTCGATACATGAAAGAAATTCAAACCATAACTGCATTCACCCTTCCAGACACCCACTCTAAATGGAAATAGAAACTTACCTGAAAACATTATTCAAAATTTCACACTTCACTTTTGTCTCTTCTCTCCCTGGATAAGTTTTCTGTCAGCCAGCTGTCAGTTCCTACTGAAGGAAATCAAAGCTATTCAGAGTTACATAAACACCAATAATTTGTTACATGCATCTTTCCCATTTGGAGTCTAGTTTTTAAATTCCTTATTAAGAAATCCCCCAATGTTTGCTCAGTTAGTCATATCTCACTGATTATGAGTTTGTAAAGTGTCTGGAGATTCTATGCACAGCAACCCCGTGTGTGTCTGCCTGCAGGGCTGAGTCTGCCATGCGAGGACTGCTGGGGTTGGAAGGGCCTCGGCACTCACTTGGTGCAGATCAGGAGGCTGAGAAAGGAAAGGTGAGGGCACTCTCCCAAAGCCAATCATCTTACTCACCTGTTTGCCAGAGGTCAATTACATGTTTGTGTCCTTTATCTCAATATCACCTTGCTTCTTGGATGAGCTTCGCACGGAGTAGGACTGTTTTGAGGGCCTGATTTGTGTGTTATCTCACATGGCAGTGCTGCATGAGCTGAGGTGCTTGCAAAGCCATCTTGGAGACGATAGGCCAGGCCTTTCCTGTGGCTTTTTGTCCCCATGCCACCCCCAGTTTTCCTTTCATTAAGGCAGAAAAGTGGCCGGGCATGGTGGCTCATGCCTGTAATCCCAGCACTTTGGGAGGCCGAGGGGGAGCGGATCAACTGAGGTCAAGAGTTTGAGACCAGCCTGGACAGCATGGTGAAACTCCATCTCTACTACAAATACAAAAATTAGCCGGGCATTGTGGCGGGTGCCTGTAATCCCAGCTACTCAGGAGGCTGAGGCAGGAGAATCACTTGAACTCGGGAGGCGGAGGTTGCAGTGAGCCGAGATTGCACCACTGCACTCCAGCCCGGGTGACAAAAGCAAGACTCCGTCTCAAAAAAAAAAAAAAAGAAAAGAAAAGAAAAGAAGGAAAAGTTATTTTCTTTTGAGCCTTTCACTCTACCTCCAAATAGGATCCACGCTTCCTCTCATAAAGTTCATCATCTGGCCATGGTGGGGAAGAACTTAACAAATGGGTTTGAACTCAAAATTCAGCCCGTCGCCCTTGCCCCAGTCCCTGCCTATGTGCTGCCCCAAAGGGGATTAAAGACTGCTCAGATGAGGCAGCAGGGTGCGTATCAGGGACCTGGGCTCCGGATCTCTCCAAGTTATCAACCTCTGGGAGGTCATTCTTCTGAGCCTTAGTTTCCTCACCCCTGAAATGGGGATAATATCTACTTTACAGTAGATGATTGTGAGGATTTTAAAAGATCCGAACATACTTGCTACTTACGAATTCAATAAATGTCCATTTACAAACATGCATCACCAAATACAGGCACTGCATACAGGAATCCTCAGGACTGATGGGGTCTGACGATGGGATGCTAAGTTCCCTATACCAATGGGTTCTTCTTTTGTGGGCATAAGAAACACATGGAGTGCCTGTTAAAAAGAAAATTCTAGGCTCCACTCCCACATATTCCATGGGAGGTGCTTCTAATGCACACTTGGAGAAAATCTGAGGCAAACTCTTCATTCCTCATTCCAGGCCACTTCCTGTTTGCTATGGACCCCTGCCTCAGATTCACACAGAGCTGTCTCCGACATTACTTCCAAGTGGTGCGATGCTCGGCTCCCCTGCAGGAGTGAAAGGCAGAGATAGATGGCTGCCACAGCCTAGAGACGGGTCCAGGGAGCTCACAGGTCCCAGAGAAGAGGACAGCCTTGAATTAGTAGAATGGGCCAGGAGCTGGAGGTTTGCTGCCCTGCCTTTCCTAGACGGGTTTGAAAAAACCCAGAGCCCTAGTGGGCAGCCGAAGGCCAGGAGGGAGGCCAGCTACACTGGAATAAGGCAAGCCTGCTTGCCACAAGCAAATGTGTACCTCCTCCCACCCAAGGAAAGGGGCAGAGACAGAATAAAAGATGCATCTGAGGTCGTCCTGGAAAATGGAATGACTGGCCAGAAAAAGATTCTTCCCTGGTATTGACTTGCAAGAAATATTTAGAAACTGTCCAAGGAGACGCGTAGCTGGTAAGGTTTGCTGTGTTTCCCACACATACCCGCAAAGGGCTGCCGTGTTCTCCTAGTTACTTCGGCTGTCCCCCAGGCCTTTGGGGCATCTATGCCCCAACCTCTGTTACTGATTCACCTCCCCCCAAAACACACACACACACACACACACACACACACACACACAGAGAGAGAGAGAGAGAGAGAGAGAGAGGCCAACCTAGTCCTCCAAGTCTCAGGGAACCAAGGTGATGGGATTTCCAAGCTGTTGAGGATGCTGGCAGCGTCTCCACGGTCCCCGCCGACCCCTGGAACCAGGCGCGTTTCCTCAGTTTTTCCTGAGAGCAGGAGGAAGCGAGCTCAAGGCGCTGTCGGAGAAGGGCAAAGGAAGGTGACTGGGGCGACAGCTCCAGGGCACCGATGGGGGCGGGGTGCGCGTTTCGTCGCCTCATCTCTGAGCCAGGGCAGGCAGCTGGCGGGCTAAGGCGATCACCATCCATGAAAACGGGTTCTGCCCACAGCCGCTGCGGAGCGGTCCCTGCGCCGCTCGCCCGCCGGCCGGACGCGGCCCTCCCTTGGGAAATGGTGCGTCTGAGGGGCGCAGCCACTGCCCCCATCCCGGAGCAGGCGCACCTCTGCACCCGGCTCTCTGCTAAGGGGGTCCGGTATCCTGGTGCCAAGGCTGTGCGCACCTGAGAAGGGCGGGAACCGGCTGCCCGCCCCTGTGTGGCTCCTGGAAGCAGGAGCTCCTGGAAGCTGCAAAGGGCTCCGCAGTCCCCAGCCCGCCCCCAGCGCCCAGCCGGCACCTCCTGCTGCCCAGCTGCCGAGGCACCTGCGGAGACGCGCCCAAGTCAGCCCCTCCGGAGACGCGCCCAAGTCAGCCCCTCCGACCCGCGCGCTCTTGCGGCCCAGCGCGCGCCGCTCCCGCTGCTGCGCCGACCTTCGCCCATCAGGCCCCCCGCCCCGCATCCTCCTCGACACCCCGCGGCCGGGCAGCCCTCGCCGGTTCCCGCCGCTCGGCGAGGCTGAGAAGGAGGCGGAACCCGCATCCCCGCGGAGTCCAAGCCCCAGCGGCCGCAAAACTGGAACCGAGAACCAGTGGGAAAGGCAGGAGGCGCGAGGGTGAGCTCGCGTGGAGCGCGCCCCGGGGTGGCGGGGCAGAGTCTCTCGGGAGGCCCCTGCAGCCCGGCGGCCCTCGGCTGGCCCTGGGTCTCTCATCCTGCTCGGGGCACTGCAATGTCAGGGTGAGCGGGAGGTGCGGGCTTCAGGGGCTTGCGCGCACCGGGCAGGGAGCACTGAGGCCGTGCGGGCCGCTGGGTTCCACGCTGCGCCCTCGATGTCCTCCTCCCGGCAGCCGCCACTGCAAGCCAAAGTTTCCCAAGTGCAGCCGGCAGGGACGGCGCCTCACACTGACCTGGGACGCGCTGTCGAGTTGGCGGCGGCGCTTTCAAACCTCTCTCCGGCACTGCCCGACCCTCTGTGCGGCCCTAGGGCGCCGTCTGAGCTGAGCTGTGGTCTTCGGCTCCTCGGCGCCTCGAATCGCAGATCTCGGTAGATGCCGCCCAGTCCCCGCCCTGCTTGCGGAAAGAGGCGGGCGACTGCCGCGAAGCGCTGGAGCTGGGACCCGGAGCGCACACCTCGCCAGACGCCCGGGCAGCGAGGCGCTTCCGCTGGGGGTGACGCGTCGGCTCCAGGCTCTGCGCAGGTGAGGGCGGCAAGGCTCCTCTGGACCCAGGGGGGCCAGCAGCTGCTGGAAGCTCCGCCTTCTGTCCCCGTAAGTCCCACCCCCGTCCCCCGCTTCGGCCACCGCGCTTCGGCCACGGCGACTTGGCCAACAACAGCGGCAGCAGGGTCTCCCCATTGAGGGAAGCACGCACCCCTACGTCACGGGCTTTGGCTCCTCCAGTCCGTATCCCTCCCCTCAGCTCACATCCACCCGCTGGTTCATGGGTCCATCTGTCCCCACCGGTCCTTCCACCCCTCCGCATCCCTGTACCCACTTCAGGTAAAGCCAGAGCCACACTTCAGGTTGGGGTGTTAGTGGGAACAACCGTTCTTATTTACGTCTTTAGGAATTTATAAGGTTATTATGCTATTATTAAAACATGAATAAACATATTAACAAAATTTCGAAAAATACATTTCATATGTTAAACTCTACTGAGAGATGAAAAGGAAATGAAGCAGAAGCAACTTTTTCTGTCGTTTTTAGTTTTTGGTTTTTTTGAGACGGAGTCTCATTCTGTCACCCAGGCTGGAGTGCAGTGGTGTGATCTCGGCTCACTGCAACCTCTGCCTCCTGGGTTCAACCGATTCTCATGAGCCAGCCTCTGGAGTAGCAGGGATGACAGGTGTGCACCATCACGCCTGGCCAATTTTTGTATTTTTAGTAGAGATGGGGTTTCACCATGTTGCCCAGGCTGGTCTCGAACTCCTGACCTCAAGTGATCCACCCACCTCGGCCTCCCAAAGTGCCGGGATTACAGGTGTGAGCCACAACGCCCGGCCAGAAGCAAAGTTTTTAACTCTTCATTTATCTTGGAGGGTCTGGTGGAGAAAGGCCATCACTATTTTTGTTATTCAGATAATGTCAATCAAAACTTGTTTATAGTTTTGAGTTCTCGGGAAAAGTAGATTTATCTCTGGTCAGGCTTCCTTTATTAAAGAAAAGATCTCTCCGAAATGAGGACCTAAAGGGTCCTCATTTAGTAAACATATGCAAAGCAATTGCACAGGGTGCTTTACCCCAAAGTTAGGCTCTAGGGAGTTTGAATCCTATATCTGGGCTGCCCTTTGCCTACAGCTGTTTGTTTGGAGGTTACCAGGAAGACTGAGCCAATTTGCATGAAGGCACGGGGCTCCTCCCCCTTACCACCTCCGACTGTTCTCTTAAAAAAATTTCATCAATGTGCAGTGTACCTATTAAAAGGCAAATATTTTGGCTGAGTGCTGTGGCTCATGCCTGTAATCCCAGCACTTTGGGAGGCCAAGGAGGGTGAATCACTTCCAGGTCAGGAGTTCAAGACCAGCCTGGCCAACGTGATGAAACCCCATCTCTACAAAAATACAAAAATTAGCCAGGTGTTGTGGTTTATGCCTGTAATCCCAGCTACTGGGGAGGCTTGGGCAGGAGAATCACTTGAACCCAGGAGGCAGCAACTGCAGTGAGCCGAGATAGTGCCACTGCACTCCAGCCTGGGCCACAGGGCCAGACTTCATCTCAAAAAAAAAGACACACATTTCACAAGTCCGATGATTTTGCACAAAATGAGCATCATCCAGATCAAGAAGCAGAACATTACCAGTACCCTCACAACACTCCCTCTTCAGATTTCTCATTGGAGGGAGTGGTGGCTTCAAACAGCATAGAGTAGTTTTGTTTCTTTTTGTACTTTATAGTGATTGAATCACTCTGTTGACTGGCCTCTTTCACTAATAGTATGATTAAGAGATGCATACTGTGTGTGGCTGTAGTCTGTTTATTCTTTTTGCTGTATAGTATTCCGTTTTGTGATTGTGCCTCAATTGCTTATTCATTTTACTACTGATAGACATTTGGGTAATTCTCAGGTTTGGGACATTACAAATAATGCTGCTATGAACATTAAAATAGATGTCTTTTGGTGACCATATATACTTATTTCTGTTGGGTACATACCTAGGAGTGGAATTGTGAGTCATGATGTAGGCATATGTTCAGCTTCTGGAGATGCCACCAAACAGCTTTTCAAAGCAGATGATCCAATTTTCACTTCTACTTTATTAGTTTTCTATTGCTGCTTGTTACCACAAACAAAATCACCACGAACTTATTGTGGCTTAAAGAACACAGATTTATCCTCTTACAGTTCGGGAGGTCAGAAGTCCAAGTTGAATTTTATGTGGTTAAAACCAGAGTCTCAGCAAGATTGCATTACTTTTGGGGGTTCCAGGGGACAATCTGTTTCCTTGCCCTTTCTAGCTTTTAGAGGCCATCTGCATTCTTTGGCTGGTGGCCCCTTCCTCCATCTTCAATATCTGTCTCTCCCTCTCTCTCCCTCCCTGCCCTCCTCTCCCCACTGCCACGCTTCTGTTGTTACATGTCTCTCTCTCCCTCTGCTTCCTTCTCTCCCTCTGACTCTCCTGCCTCACTCTGGAGGACCTTTGTGATGACACTGGACCCACTTGGATGATCTTCCATTTCAAAATCCTTCATTTAATCACAGCTGCAAAATTAATTTGGCCTGTAGGGTAACATATTCATAGATTCTAGAGATTAGGACATTAAACTCTATGGCGGTTCATTACTCAACCCACCACACCTATCAGCAGGATATTGGAACATGTTGCATGAATGGAGGATGGACTGAATAAACAGAGGATAATGAATTTACAATTTACATTGTATCCCAGATACAATTTACCTGTAGGATTTTTACTGTTGACCTGGGTGCTGTGCCAGGACTGGTGGGCAGGAGAGGAGGGCTGATGCTGGAACACCACTTCTAGCCACCACCAACCTGCTGGCACTACGTGATTTGTGCCTGGGGGCACCCATGCTGAGTGACATGTTAGAGAAGGCAGATCCTCCTTCGTGGGAGTTGGTAACAGCAGTTAAACAGTGGTGAACACATCACATTTTACAGTGGGAAAGGCCCTGTGGTCAGTGGACAGTGTCGCATCACATGCCACAATGGTGGAATTATGAGGACTGACTTCCACAGCAGGAGAGTTAAGGGGAGGTCTGGATTAGACTACAAAGCTCATCTGGTAACCTGGGCAGGCCAGTCCATGCCATCGTTGTAATCTGAATGTTAAAGGGAGATGATTTTAACATTCAAAGTCTGAGAATGAGAATTTCTAGATTATACCTACTTCTGATCTCAGTTTAGTCCAGCAACTACACCCCTGAAGGAGAGAGGACAGATGTTTTTATCCTCATTTTAGCAAAGGGACTGCCAGGGAGCAAAGCTCCATGATTCACCTAAGAAGCCTCAGGAGAGGAAACAGGAACAGAAGGAAGCTCCCAGCTCTTCCCGCTGTCCTTTGTGTGGCTCCACCTCCCTGGAGTGTAGATTCACTACGACCTGAGGTCATGGAAGCTGAGGACCCAGAACCGACCCAAGCCATTCAAACCAAATTGGATACATCCTACTTTGTGAGTGATAGACTGGGATTCTCTGGAATGTGAGACTCCCTGTCCTCATGGTTTTATGCCATCAAAAAATATATTTTAGAAACAAGTAGAAGTAGATGCTTGGGCCAGGCGTGGTGGCTCATGCCTGTAATCCCAGCACTTTGGGAGGCCAAAGTGGGTGGATCATCTGAAGTCGGGAGTTCGAGACCAGCCTGGCCAACGTGGTGAAACCCCATCTCTATTAAAAAAGAAAAATACAAAAAATTAGCTGGGCATGGTGGCATGCACCTGTAATCCCAACTGCTTGGGAGACTGAGGCAGGAGAATTGCTTGAACCCAGGAGGCAGAGGTTGCAGTGAGCTGAGACTGCACCACTGCACTCCAGCCTGGGCAACAGAATGAGACTCCATCTCAAAGAAAAAAAAAAGTAGATGCATGTGTTTGATAAACATTTTCATCAGAAACCCCTCCATCTACTTTCTGTCTTCTAGAAATCAGCTGAAAATTCTAGTCTACTGATGAAATCACCCCAGTTCTCTTCACAATTGTGGTTTATACTATTTTACAATTCACTTACTGCCAATTTAATTTAGATCCAGCCTTTAGTGTAACCATTACCCAAAACATGTACATTGCACCTATTGAGTAATTTCTCACCCCTCACCTGGACAGAGAAACGTGTGGTTAGTCTGACATCTTGAATTTAAAATCCCATGGTTGAGCTAAGTAATGTGTAGACATGGACATAGAGTATAGAATAATAGACTTGGAAGACTTAGAAGAGTATGAGGGTATGGGAGAGGGGTGAGGAATGAGAAATTACTCAGTGGGTGCAATGTACATTTTTGGGGTAATAGTTACACTAGAGGCTTAGACTTCACCACTACCCGGCATTTCCATGTAACAGAACTGCACTTGCGCCCTTAAATTTATACAATTTTTTTTAAAGTTCCATGGTTATCAGTATCGTAGTTATCATCATTTCATTAATATTTTATTAAAGAAAACAGAATTCTAAGCTTGCAGTGGAGACAGCCTAAAACCATCCAGCCGACAATCCAGAAGCCCTAAAATGCTCAGAAATTGGTAGCATTATTATCTTAGAACTAGGGGTAAAAAGGCAACTAAAATAAGAACTGATTAAAATTCTGTTTTTCCCAAGGTGGGCATCATACTTAATGCTGAAAGACTGAAAGCTTTCTCCCTAAGATTAGGAACAAGACAGGGATTTCCACTCTCACTACTTCTATTCAACTTTCTAACCACCAGGGCAATTAGGTAAGAAGATGAAATAAAAGGGATTCAGATTGGAAAGAAAGAAATAAAACTATATCTACTTGCAGAAGATATGATCTTGTGTTCAGAAAATCCCAAGATTCTATATACAATTAGAACTAATAAATGAGTTCAGCAAGGTTGCAAGACACAAGATCAATATACAAAAAAACCCAATTATACTCCTATATGGTAACAATAAATGATATGAAATGTAATTCTAAAAACAATTTTATTTACAATAGCATCCAAAAGAATACAACACTTTGAAAGAAATTTAACAAAAGAAGGGGAAAACATATTTTGGAAACAAAATAATTGCTCAAAGACATTAAAGAAGTTATGTCAAAGAAGTCAAAGACATTAAATAAATGGAAAGACATCCCATATACATGGATCAGAAGATTCAATGTTATTAAGATGGCAATACTCCTCACATTGATCTACAGATACAGCACAATTCTTATCAAAATCCCAGCTGGTTTTTTGGAGGACTCATATTTCCTGATATCAAAACTTACTTACAAAGCCATGTTAATCAAGACAGTGTGATACTGACATGAGGACAAAAAGATAGATCAATGGAATAGAATGCAGGGTCCAGACATAAACCTTATATTTATGGTCAACAGATTTTCAACATAGGTGCTAAGACAATTCAATGAGGGAAAGAACACTCTTCAAAAAAATGGGGTTGGGACAACTGGATATCCATGTGCAAAAGAATTTTAAACCTCTACCTCATTCCATATACAAAAATTAACTCAAAAGGATTAAAGACCTTAATGTAAGAGATAAAACTATAAAACTCTTAGAAGATAACATAGGCATAAATCTTCTTGACCATGGATTAGCCAATGGTTTCCTAGATATAACACCCAAAGTAAAAGCAATAACATAAAAAATAGATACTTGGGCTAAATGAAAATGAAAAACTTTTGTGCTTCAAAGGACACCAAGAAGAAAATGGAGAGACAACAAAATGGGAGAAGACTTTTATAAATCATATATCTGATAAGGGGCTTGTGTTAAAATGGGCAAAGGATCTGAGTAGACATTTCTCCAGGGAAGGTATATAAATGGTCAATAAGCACAAGAAAAGATGCTCAGCCGGGCACAGTGGCTCACACATGTAATCCCAGCACTTTGAGAGGCCGAGGTGGGCAGATCACTTGAGCTCAGAAGTTTGAGACAAGGCTGGGCAACACGGCAAAACCCTGTCTCTACAAAAAATACAAAAATTAGTCAGGTGTCGTGGTGTGCACCTGTAGTCCCAGCTACTCAGAAGGCTGAGGTGGGAGGATTGCTTGAACCCAGGAGGTGGAGGTTGCAGTGACCGGAGATCGTGCCACTACACTCTAGCCTGGGCGATAGAGCCAGACCTTGTCTCAAAAAAAAAAAAAAAAATGCTCAGGATTAGTCATTTAGGGAAAGGCAAGTCAAAACTACAAAGAGATATCACTTCACACCAACTAGGATGGCTATAATAAAAAAACAGACAATAACGTATGTTGATGAGCATGTGGAGAAATTAAAACACTCATAAATTGCTGATGGGAAAGTAAAATGGTGCAGGTGCTTTGAAAAATATTTTGGTTTAAGCCTCAAAGGCTTAAACAGAGAGTTACCATATGACTCAGAGGTTCTGCTCCTAGCTATACCCCAAATAAATGAAGCTATATGTACACACACAAAATTGCACATCAATGTTCATAGTCCAAAAAAGGAAACCTAAATGTCCATCAGCTGATGAATGAACAAATGAAATGTGATATATTAAGACAACGTCATATTATGTGGCAACAAAAGGAAATGAAGTCCTTATACATACTACAACAAGGATAAACTTTGAAAAACATTATGTTAAGGCCGTACATGGTGGCTCATGCCTGTAATCCCAGCACTTTGGGAGGCCGAGGTGGGTGGACCACCTGAGGTCAGGAGTTCAAGACCAGCCTGGCCAACATGGCAAAACCCTGTCTCTACAAAAAATACAAAAATTAGCCGGTTGTGGTGGTGGACGCCTGTAATCCCAGCTACTTGGGAGGCTGAGGCAGGAGAATTGCTTGAACCCGGGAGGCAGAGGTTGCAGTGAGCCGAGATCGCGCCATTGCACTCCACACTGGGTGACGAGCAAAACTCCGTCTCAAAAAAAAAGAAAGAAAAAGTGAAAACATTATGTTAAGGGAAAGAAACCAGTCACAAAAGAACACACACAATCACATTATCCAATATATATGAAATGTCCAGGATAGGCAAATCCATAAACTAAAAGCAGATTGGTGGTTGCCTAGGGCTGAGGAGGGGACATTTGGGAGGAGGGGAAAGTTGGGACTAGCTGCTAATTGGTATAGGGTTTCTTTTGGGCGTGAAGAAATGTTTGAAATTTATTGTGGTGATAGTTATACGACTGTGAATAAGCTAAAGCCCCTGAATTGAACACTTTAAATGGATGATAACATGGTATCTGAGATGCATTTGAATAAAGTTGTCACACATTTTTTAAAGTCTGTTTGAGAAGCAGTGATGTTCCCACTTCCTCTCCCCTACTCCTCTCAGTAGTGTGACTGCCCCGTGCCATCCCAGCAGAAAATGGCAGTTTTTTCCTCTGGAGAGGAAAACGGAAGGTCTCTGAGGACACCAGGTAGAGTCGAGGTGAAGGTACCATCCTGACTACGTGGGAATGTCATGAATGCTGGGGATGGGATTTCCCCCGCCCTCGTGCTCCATTCCCAGATAGCTTGAAGCCAGACCTGTCAGGGACTGTCTCCAAATGGTGCTCAGATTAGCTTCCAGTGAAGTTTCCTGTCCAAATGTCTCAGCCACATGCTCAGAGCTGCCAAACATCTTTTTAGTCCCTCACTCTCAAATATGAGCTGACCATCAAATATGTGACATTTGAGGGAAGCTTTTAATGGGAAAGATTAAAACTAAACTAAATAAATAAACAGAAGTATCAAAATCTGAAGGAAACAGACAATGTAAGGAGAAAAAAATAAAAAACTATCATTCAATATCATAGGTTCAATATTTCAACCACATAATAAGAACAGGATTTTTTCTTCTTTTTTTGGGGGGGTGGGGGGGAGGATGGAGTCTCACTCTGTCACCCAGGCTGGAGTGCAGTGGCGCGATCTCAGCTCACTGCAACCTCCGCTTCCCGGGTTCAAGCAATTCTCCTGCCTCAGCCTCCTGAGTAGCTGGGATTACAGGTGCCTGCCACTATGCCCAGCCAATTTTTTGTATTTTTAGTAGAGACAGGGTTTCACCATGTTGGCCAGGCTGATCTCAAACTCCTGACCTCATGATTGGCCCGCCTCGGCCTCCCAAAGTGCTGGGATTACAGGCATGAGCCACCGCACCCAGCCTAAGAACAAGATATTATAAAAGAGATACCATCAGGCTGGGTGCAGTGGCTCATGCCTGTAATCCCAGCACTTTGGGAGGCAGATATGGGTGGATCACTTGAGGTCAGGAGTTTGAGACCAGCCCTAATACAAAAATTAGCCGGCCATGGTGGTGCATGCCTGTAATCCCAGATACTCAGGAGGCTGAGGCAGGAGAATCACTTGAACTTGGGAGGCAGAGGTTGCAGTGAGCCGAAATCATGCCACGGCACTCCAGCCTGGGTCATAGAGTGAGTGAGACTCAGTCTCTAAAAAGAAAAGAAACAATCAGAGAACAAGAAAAGGCCTTTGAAATTTTAAAATTTAGAGCAGATATGAGAAACTTGAAGTAGATAACCTCAAAAGAAGAGTTAGATAACAAAAATAAAGCTGTCTTTGAGTAAGTACAGCCCTCTCCACAAAAGAGGGAGAAAACAATGAGAAAAAATGAGAAACATAAAGGATAGATTTAAAATATCTAACAGGTATGGTGAGTCACATTGGTGAAGAAAGAAGGAAAGAAAGAACGAATGAACGAAGGAAAGAAAGAAAGATGAAAAAGAGAAAGAAGAAAGAAAGAAGAAAGAAAGAGAAGGAGAGAGAGCGGGAGGGAGGGAGGAAAGAAGGAAGGAAGGAAAGAAGGAAGGAAGGAAAGGAGAAGCAAAGAGAGAGAAAGAAGGGAGGGAGGGAAGGAAAGGAAGGAAGAAGAAAGAAGGAAGGAAGGGAGGGAGAGAAAGGAAAGAAAGGAAAGAAAGGAAGAAAGGAAGAAAGAGAGAAAGAAGGAAGGAATAAAGGAAAGAAAGAAAGAGAAAGAGAAAGAAAGGGAGAAAGGAAAGAAAGAAAAGAAAGAGAGAAAGAAAGAGGATGAGGTCTAACATCAGACCAAGATAAGTTTCAGAAAGAGAGGACAGTGGGACTATAGGAGGAAATCATCAAGAAAACAATCCAAGAAAATTTCCCCAAACTGAACAACATGAGTTTCCATATGTAAAGAGTTAACTAAGTACCTAAAACATTACATAAAAATAGACTCAGAGCAAGGCAAATAACAGTGAAATTTTAGACTACCATAGAAAAAGAATAAATCCCATATGTTTCTAAAGAGAGGAGGTGGGAAATGTCACAAATAAAACCCAGGAATCAGGATGGCTTCAGATTTTCTCTCAATAACTCTGGGAACTAGAAAACAGGAGCAATGCCTTCAGATTTTTGAAGGATAGTTAGTTTCAATTTAGAATTCTATACCCAAAAAACTATCAAACAAGTGTTAGTTACAATAAAGACATCGTCAGATATGTAAGAACTAAAAAATTTGCCTTCTGCATATGCTTTCTCCTTTCTTAAGCGATGCACACCAACAGATAGAGGAAGTGAAGAGTAAGATTTGGGATGTGACACATATAGCTGAGTCCCTCAGGAGAATCACGGAATAAGGTCTCAGACTACAGAGAGCAGCATTCCCAGCAAGTAGCCAATCAGAATTAGAACAGAGGAGGTAAAAGGGGATTACAAAGATTTGATGCTATCCTTAGGAATTTAGAACAACTTAAGTAAGCAAAAAAGGCAGATAAACTTCACGGGGGTGAAAGGGAAGACGAAAATGCCCCGGTTGGGGAAAAGGCTGTTCAAAAAGGAAAACAGTTATTTATTTATTTTTTGTTATTATACTTTAAGTTATAGGGTACATGTGCAAAACATGCAGGTTTGTTACATATGTATACATGTGCCATGCTGGTATGCTGCACCCATTAACTCGTCATTTACATTAGGTATATCTCCTAATGCTATCCCTCCCCATTCCCCCCACCCCACGACAGGCCCTGGTGTGTGATGTTCCCCACCCTGTGTCCAAGTGATCTCATTGTTCAATTCTCACCTATGAGTGAGAACATGTGGTATTTGGTGTTCTGTCCTTGCAATAGTTTGCTCACAATGATGGTTTCTAGCTTCATTCATGTCCCTACAAAGGACATGAACTCATCCTTTTTTATGGCTGCATGGTATTCCATGGTGTATATGTGCCACATTTTCTTAATCCAGTCTATCATTGATGGACATTTGGGTTGGTTCCAAGTCTTTGCTATGTGAATAGTGCCGCAATAAACATACGTGTGCATGTGTCTTTATAGCAGCATGATTTATAATCCTTTGGGTATATACCCAGTAATGGGATGGCTGGGTCAGATGGCATTTCTAGTTCTAGCTCCTTGAGGAATCGCCACACTGACTTCCACAATGGTTGAACTAGTTTACAGTCCCACCAACAGTGTAAAAATGTTTCTATTTCTCCACATCCTCTCCAGCACCTGTTGTTTCCCGACTTTTTAATGATCGTCATTCTAACTGGTGTGAGATGGTATCTCATTGTGGTTTTGATTTGCATTTCTCTGATGGCCAGTGATGATGAGCATTTTTTCATGTGTCTGTTGGCTGCAAAAAAATCTTATTTTGAGAAGTGTCTGTTCATATACTTTGCCCACTTTTTGATGGGGTTGTTTGATTTTTTTCTTGTAAATTTGTTTAAGTTCTTTGTAGATTCTGGATGTTAGCCCTTTGTCAGATGGGTAGATTGTAAAAATTTTCTCCCATTCTGTAGGTTGCCTGTTCACTCTGATGGTAGTTTCTTTTGCTGTGCAGAAGTTCTTTAGTTTAATTAGATCCCATTTATCAATTTTGGCTTTTCTTGCCATTGCTTTTGGTGTTTTAGACATGAAGTCCTTGCCCATGCCTATGTCCTGAATGGTATTGCCTAGGTTTTCTTCTAGGGTTTTTATGGTTTTAGGTCTAACATTTAAGTCTTTAGTCCATCTTTTTTTTTTTTTTTTTTTTTTTTTTTGGGACGGAGTCTCGCTCTGTCGCCCAGGCTGGAGTGCAGTGGCGGGATCTCGGCTCACTGCAAGCTCCGCCTCCCGGGTTCACGCCATTCTCCTGCCTCAGCCTCCCAAGTAGCTGGGACTACAGGCGCCCGCCACTACGCCCGGCTAATTTTTTGTATTTTTAGTAGAGACGGGGTTTCACCGTTTTAGCCGGGATGGTCTCGATCTCCTGACCTCGTGATCCGCCCGCCTCGGCCTCCCAAAGTGCTGGGATTACAGGCGTGAGCCACCGCGCCCGGCCTCTTTAGTCCATCTTGAATTAATTTTTGTATAAGGTGTAAGGAAGGGATCCAGTTTCAGCTTTCTACATATGGCTAGCCAGTTTTCCCAGCACCATTTATTAAATAGGGAATCCTTTCCCCATTTCTTGTTTTTGTCAGGTTTGTCAAAGATCAGATGGTTGTAGATGTGTGGTATTATTTCTGAGGTCTCTGTTCTGTTCCATTGGTGTATATCTCTGTTTTGGTACCAGTACCATGTGTTTTGGTTACTGTAGCCTTGTAGTATAGTTTGAAGTCAGGTAGCGTGATGCCTCCAGCTTTGTTCTTTTGGCTTAGGATTGACTTGGCAATGCAGGCTCTTTTTTGGTTCCATATGAACTTTAAAGTAGTTTTTTCCAATTCTGTGAAGAAAGTCATTGGGGCTGACTTTCTTCCCCATAGCTTGATGGGAATGGCATTGGATCTACAAATTACCTTGGGAAGTATGGCCATTGTCACAATATTGATTTTTCCTATCCATGAGCCTGGAATGCTCTTCCATTTGTGTCCTCTTTTATTTTGTTGAGCAGTGGTTTGTAGTTCTACTTGAAGAGGTCCTTCACATCCTTTGTAAGTTGGATTCCTAGGTATTTTATTCTCCTTGAAGCAATTGTGAATGGGAGTTCACTCATGATTTCGGTCTCTGGGAAAACAGTTATTATACAGTGTAACGAACAATGTATACACAGTCACAGTGGTATAAATACTTGATTTTAACTGTAGAGACAAAGCGTAGAAGACTTAATCATGATTACAGAAGAGAATATCTTTTATCAATCTTAATGACATAAAAATAAAAGTACACATGACAGCAGGGGGTCTCTAGTCTCCTCTTCTTACAAAGAAGGGGGTGGTGATACAGAGATACTATCCACATTGTCACCAACACTTACACCAATTTTCTCTCTTTTTTTAAAAAATAGCCATCCTAGGTGGGTGTGAACCAAGCTTTTTTTTTTTTTTTTTTTTTTTTTTTTGAGACAGAGTCTCACCCTATCACCCAGGTTGAAGTGCCATGGGGCAATCTCAGCTCACTGCAACCTCCACCTCCCAGGTTCAGGTGATTCTCCTGCCTCAGCCTCCCTAGTAGCTGGGATTACAGGCACTTGCCACCATGCCCGGCTCATTTTTGTATTTTTACTAGAGACAGGGTTTCACCATGTTGGCCAGGCTGGTCTTGAACTCCTGACCGCAAGTGATCCACCCGCCTTGGCCTCCCAAAGTGCTGGGATTCCAGGGGTAAGCCACCACGCCTGGCCTCTAATAATTTTTTTTTGTTTTTTTTTTTTGAGACGGAGTCTCGCTCTGTTGCCCAGGCTGGAGTGCAGTGGCGTAGTTTCAGCTCACTGCAACCTCCACCTCCGAGGTTCAAGCAAGTGTCCTGCCTCAGTCTCCCGAGTAGTTGGGATGACAGGGGCCTGCCACCACACCCAGCTAATTTTTTGTATTTTTAGTAGAGACAGGGTTTCACCATGTTGGCCAGGCTGGTCTCGAACTCCTGACCTTGTAATCCACCCGCCTTGGCCTCCCAAAGTGCTGGGATTACAGGCGTGAGCCACCGCGCCTAGCCAAGTGTCTAATAACTTTTAAGCATCGTTTTAATATTTGAGATACTGAGATAACAGTATCTTTCCGTATAGCTGTTGAAAAGTGGCTATTTTGGAAGAATGTGCTGTTTTCTCTCCATCCTTACCTTGGGAGGCTTTCTGGATGGTACAAATGAGCTACGTCCTCGTCTGTCATTGCAGGAAGTCATGGAATAAATGTCTAAAATCAGTAATTCGTAAAATAACAGTATAAGCACATTGTTAGGAGTATGGTGTCATGATAAGAAGAACTAAAAATAGACATAATTAAAAGAGTTTAAATGATTCCATCTGGGGAGTGGTGCTGGGGTGGAGAGGGGTAGTGCCAGGGCTAGATTCTTCAGTACAAGCCCTTCCGGAAGGCAATTATTTAATTTTTTTAAAAATGTATACATTTATTACTTTAATAAATTTAAATGCTAATTTTAAGATCAATGGTAGCTAATGCTCAACTATATACACACACGTGTGCACATGCGCACACACACACACACACACACACCTGTCACCCCTTGATATTTGCAGGGGATGGGTTCCAGAACCCTGCGTATACCAAAATCCATTCAAAATACTCAAGTTCCTGGGTTGGTCCTGCAGAACCAGGCTATATAGGAAAAAAGTTGGCTGTCTGTCTAGGTAAGTTTAGAATCCCACCAATGCTGTATTTTATCAGGCTTTGGTTGAAAAAATCTGCATGTAAATGGACTCAGGTAGCTTGAACCCTTGTTGTTTAAGAGTTAACATATATACGGGGGAGAGAAGGAAAGGGATAAAATGAGAGTGGTAAAATGTTAACATTTGGGGAATCTGGGTGGAAGTACATGAGAATTCTTTCTACTTTTTTTTTTTTTTTTTGAGACAGAGTCTCACTTTTTCGCCCAGGCTGGAGTGAAGTGGCGCTATCTCATCTCACCGCAACCTCCGCCTCCCAGGTTCAAGCAATTCTCATGCCTCAGCCTCCCGAATAGATGGGATTACAGGCATGCACCAACATGCCTGGCTAATTTTTGTATTTTTAGTAGAGATGGGTTTCTCCATGTTGGCCAGGCTGGTCTCAAACTCCTGGCCTCATGTGATCAGCCTACTTTAGCCTCCCAAAATGCTAGGATTATAGGCATGAGCCACCACGCCTGGCCCCAAAATAAAAAGTTTAAGTAAAACTAATGGCGTTCAGTGCTTAAAACCATGTGTTTGGCACAAGTAAGCATGTTACGTGCATCACCTCATATAGTCCTCACAACTCTTGTTATCCCTACATTACTGGGGAAGAAACTGAGGCTCAGAAAATTCAGGTGATGTGCCTAAGGTCACACAACTGGTAAAAATGTGGTTGGATTTGACCTCCAGTCATCTGTTGGGTTGTCTCTCAGTCTCTGGATCCAATGCTGTTTTCCACTTTGCTTCCAAAAGTAAAGTGGGAAGAGGGGGAGGCTGGTTGGAAAGGATCACAGCCTCTCCTCTTCTCACTTCCAAGCAGGGGGACGTGATTGACTGTCCGAGCGCTACCTAACATACCCTTTGCCTTCACTAATGACCTTCAGTCTGTCCTGCCTCCTTCTCCAAGTCTCTGATGCATTGGTGATACGGTTTGGCTCTGTTCCTCACCCAAATCTCATGTCAAATTGTAATCCCCATATGTCAGGGGGGGCATCTGGTAGGAGGTGATTGGATCATGGGGGCAGATTTCCAGTCCTCCATGCTGTTCTCACGATAGTGCGTGAGTTCTCACGAGATCTGATGGTTTAAAAATGTGGCACTTTCCCCCTCGCTCTCGCTCTCTCCTGCTCCACTGTGATGAGACTTGCTTGCTTCCCCTTTGCTTCTGCCATGACTGTAAGTTTCCTGAGGCCTCTCAGTCTGATTCCTGTACAACCTGTGGAACTGTGAGTCAGTTAAACCTCTTGTCTTCATAAATTACCCAGTCTCAAGTAGTTCTGTATAGCAGTGTGGAAACAGACCAATACAACTGGGGAACCCACTCCAGAATGTCTGCTCTCTGCTTGACTGAGGCCTCGTCACCTCTCTGGTCACTCCCAGAAGCCTGTGTGTACAGTGAGGGTTTGGAGGTGAGAGTGGTAAGGGGGAGGAGGCCTTGTGGGAAGGGGTTCAGCTGTCACCCCTCCCACCTGATTTGAAGAGGACCATAAAATGTCTTCATCTTGGAAGTGATAGAGGGAAAGTTTATATTTTGAGTAATTGTATTAGAAAGACTGAGATAGCAGTTACCCATTGTCCTGAATATCCCAGAGTTGATTTTTGCCTTAGCTCCTTAGCAGGCTTGATTTTTATTCTGATTTCATGTGATAGTGCATAAATATATAAAAGAAGTAGTTATTCGAATACGTGGTAGGTTTTTGTTTTTTTTTTTTTGAGGTGGAGTTTTGCTCTTGTTGCCCAGGCTGGAGTGCAATGGCATGATCTCGGCTCACCGCAACCTCCACCTCCTGGGTTCAAGCGATTCTCCTGCCTCAGCCTCCCGAGTAGCTGGGGTTACAGGCATGTGCCACCACACCTGGTTAATTTTGTCAAATATGTGTTTTTAATGTTAAGTATGTTTTCTTATTATGAAAGTAATATATGATCACTATAGACTATTTGTAAAACTGGAAATATAAAAATGAAAAAATGGTATATTTCCTTCCAATCTTGTCTCTGTCCAGGTATATTTTTAACAAAATGTAGATGACAATGAACAATTTGTATCGTGCTTTTTTCACTTTTTAGATTTCAAATATATTGTATTCTTTAAAATATTTTTTAAATGCATTAATGACTGCATAATATTCCATCCCAGGGATAGAGAGTAATAGTGATAGTATAATGCCTATTACCCGTATCATGCTAAATATTTATGATTAATGTTAATCATAAAAGGGGCTGTGAGTTTGATATCTCTCTCTCTCTCTCTCTGTTTAACTGAGGTAGTGACTCGATTTGTCACCCAGGCTGGAGTGCAGTTGCGTGACCATGGCTCATTGCAGCCCAGATATCCCAGACTCAAGCAATCCTCCCACCTCAGCCTCCTGAGTAGCTGGGACTACAGGCATGCAAACCACCACACCCAGCTAATTTTTGTATTTTTTGTAGAGATGTGGTCTTACTATGTTGCCCAGGCTGATCTCAAACTCCTGGGGTCAAGCGATCCTCCTTCCTTGACCTCCCAAAGTGCTGGGATTACAGGCATGAGCCACCCACTGCACCCGGCCTCATCTTTCAAATACAGGACAATATTTCGTCTCAGCTCTTGAGATGTAAATGCATTTTCAAGGTCTTTTTCATTTCAGAAAAGATTCAAATACAGTGAATATTATCTTTTCTGGAGGAGGTTCTCTTTAGGACAGGAAAGGCAGTGGCAACAGGTTAAACATAGCTTCTAGTCGCACTGAACAAAACAGAGGCTGTTTTGCTTCATATATTCATGATGTTTTTCCTCCTGGTTTCTTTGCACTCGTTTCCTCATGTCTCCCCCTTTCTGTTCACTGTCCTGATGTTCTGGATGAACGTTTCCCCAACATTTTCTCAAACAGCTTAACACGGGGATGGGCTGCGGTTTCCAGGCTGCCAGCAGTTTTCTGATTCATCTTTGGGAGATAATTGCATCCCTTTTCTGGGAAAGAAAAAAAATGCTCTGATGTCCTAGAAAGATCAAAAGTGAAGGTTAATGCCTCCATTTGAAAGTCCACGCTTAAAATCCATGAGCCTCAGACTTGGATGTGCTCAGTCGTCCAAAAACCCCAACCGCCTATGCACCTTGGTCCCACATGCGTCCACCACACACTTACTGATGGGAGGAAAGAGAAGCTGCCATAAAACAGGCGCTTCATAAATAGCCTTTGGAAGCTTCCCAGAGGGCAATAAAATATAAATTGTATGTCCAATCCTTGGTCCTTAGGCCATAATCATTAAGCCAGGCCATCTTCCCTAGGGTAGGAGCTGGGCCTCTATATCTCAATATTACACAGCAGGTGAGTATTAATATGACTCTTTTGGATTGAAAACTAAGTCCTTCAGAGTTGAGAGGCCTATTTCTTGGTCCCTCAGTGAATGGCCTCTTGGACTTTATAAAAAGGCTGTGGGCTTGTTGCAGTGGCTGGCTCATTCCTGTAATCCCAATAATTTAGGAGGCTGAGGTGGGAGGATCACTTGAGGCAAGGAGTTCGAGACCAGCCTGGGCAACATATTGAGACCTCGTCACTACAAATATTAAAAATAACCAGCTTGGTGTGGTGGTGCACACCTGTTGTCCCAACTATTCAGGGTGCTGTGGAGGAAGGATCGATTGCTTGAGCCCAGCCGTTCAAGAGTGCAGCGAGCACCACTGCACTCCAATATGGGTGACAGAGACCCTGTTTCAAAAAAAAAAGCCTGCAATTTTCCAAAATTTAGATGTGTCTAATTCTTTTCTTGGCCTTTGTAAATGGCTTTGTACATATAACCACAGGGGCAGCAGTGAAATTGGCTTACCCAGTTTCATGACTGCTTCCCTCAGCATGTAAATGGCGAGATCCAAAATCCTACTCCGGAATGCGGAAGTTCAAGACCATGAGGAGCTGGATTGCTGTGCATCATGACAGGAAAAGATGGCATTGGGGCCTGATGCAGAGAGTGAGTCTTTGACATGGGACAGGTCCAGTGACAGAGAGGACAGTAGAGATACCTCTAAAGGGGGCCAATTGGCCTATGGACTTTGGGGTGATCAGGACCAGGATCTATATCTAAATACCAGTTACAACAGCTTTAGGCAAATTTTAGTGTTTAACTTAATGAGACTATATATATAATATTTTCACATAACAGAGAGTCCAGGGCTAATGTAGCTGGCTCCTTCTTTCCCATTCAGTCCTCTTTGGAATTGTAGCTTTGATCTTACGATCACAAAATGCTCTTATCCATATTATAGACCAGAAGGGCAAAGGTCAAAAGGCAAAAGATGCATGCCATTTGTATTTCTTCTAATGTATCAGAAGAACGATAGCTTTCTTTGGTGCCTGGCCCAGTGATTCCCACTTCTAGTCACTGGCCTGAAGTGAGTCACATGGCTATCTCTACCCGTAAACAAGAATTTTTTACTGAGCTGACTGATATTACAGTGAAATCAGGCTTCTGTCATTAAAAAAGGTGAATAGCATAGGTTTCTAGTTGTGACACTAGGCAACTACCTAACCTCTCTTTGTTCTTTCTGACTTTCTCATCTATAAAAGGGACACTGGACAGTAATGATGCGTGCATCAGAGGATTGCTGTGAATATTTTTTTTGAGACAGGGTTCTCGCTGTTGCCCAGGCTGAAGTGCAGTGGTGTACTCATAGCTCACTGCAGCCTTGACCTCCTGGTCTCAAGCAATCCTCCCACCTCAGCCTCCCATGTAGCTAGGACCACAGGTACACACTACCACGCCCAAGTAATTTTTAATTTAATTTAATTTAATTTTTTATAGAGACAGGTTCTCTCTATGTTGCCCAGGCTGGTCTCAAACTCCTGGGCTCAAGCGATCCTCCCACCTCAGCCCCCCAAAGTGCTGGGATTACAGGGCATGAGCCACTGTGCCTGGCCTGACTTCGTTTTTATAAAGCACAAAGAACACAGCAGGATAAAAGTGTTTGTTAAATTAATAAAGGGAAGAGTATTCGCTAGGCAGGCCTAGATAGGGCCTTCCATTAAGCATGGCTATTCTGCATGGTAATTCTCTTTTACAGTAACAGTCGATTAACCATTACAACCTGATATTAGCTGTACTTCAGGGGATTAAGAGAAGGGCTGCCTTTATTTGGCAGAGGCACGTGGCAGCAGCCTGGAAAAGTGTTGTAAGGTGACCTGTAGAGAGCGGGCCAGGCCTAAGGAACTCACCTCCTTAAAGTAACAGGGCACAACCACAAGAGCGGTGGCAGACTTGTAGCTGGGATATGGCTATATTTCCCAGATTGCCCTCAACTAGTGCGGCCATGTGACTAAGCTTTTGCCAATAGACAGTGAGTAGAAGTGGATTGTGCCTAGGAGAAAATCTCTGACCTTTTGCCTTCTGCTCCTTCCCCCAACCAATGGCAAGAGCAACAATGACTGAAGATATTTTGTGACAATGGCAGAGCTGCCAGGAAGCCTGGATCCCTCAATGACTGCCTGGTACAGAGCCACCCACTGACCTGGAACACCTACGTGAAAAGAAAGAAATTTCTATTCTGTTTAAGCTTTTAAATTTTGTAACTCTTCATTGTAGCCTTTTACCTCAACTAATACAATTACTTCCATAATTTAAAATAGGATGTGTTAAAACATCTGCTGATACTATGCGTAAAATATTTCTGAAAGGATATTTAGGAAGTGATAAGAACATAGGCTACCTGGAGAAGGGGGAACTGAGAGCCTGGGAGATAGTGGTGGGAAGGAGTCTCATTTGTTTTGTTTTCACTCTATAACTATGTATAATTGTTGAAATCTGAACCATATAGATGTAATGTTCATTCAAAAAATACAGGGGCTGGGTGCAGTGGCTCACACCTGTAATCCCAGCGATTTGGGAGGCTGAGGCCAAAAGATCGCTTGAGGTCAGGAGTTCAAGACCAACCTGGCCAACATGGTGAAACCCTGTCTCTATTAAAAATACTAAGAAAAAAAAAATAGCTGGGTGTGGTGGTGGACGCCTGTAACCCCAGCTACTCAGAAGGCTGAGGCAAGAGAATCACTGGAATTGCGGAGGCAGAAGTTGCAGTGAGCTGAGATCATACCACTGCACTCCAGCCTGGGCAACAGAGCCAGATTCTGTCTCAAAAAAAAAAGAAAAGAAAGAAAGAAAAGAAATATGAATAAGGGCAGGTGTAGTGGCTCATGCCTGTAATCCCAGCACCTTAGGAGGCCGAGGCAGGAGGATCACTTAAGCCCAGGAGTTCGAGACCAACCTAGGCAACATAATGAGACCCTGTTTCTACAAAAAATTTTAAAAAATTGGCCAGGCACCATGGCTTACGCCTGTAATCCCAGCACTTTGGGAGGCCAAGGTGGGCAGATCACGAGGTCAGGAGTTCGAGACCAGCCTGGCCAATATGGTGAAACCCCGTATCTACTAAAAATATAAAATTTAGCCAGGCGTGGTGGTGTGCGCCTGTAGTCCCAGCTACTCAAGAGGCTGAGGCAGAAGAATTGCTTGAACCCGGGAGGCGGAAGTTGCAGTGAGCCGAGATCATACCACTGCACTCCAGGCTGGGCAACAGAGTGAGACTGTGTCTCAAAAAAAAAAAAAAAAAAATTAGCCAGGCGTGGTGGCACACACCTGCAGTCCCAGCTACTCAGGAGGCTGAGACACTGCACTCCAGCCTGGGTGACAGAGTGAGACCCTGTCTCAAAAACAAAAACTAAACACAAACAAATTAATTAAAGTGTTGATCTTGCACCACTGTAGTTTGTTCAAAGTCATTACTGATTGGCACTCAGCCTGCATGTGAGCATCTTGTCTGCTAATCTATGATCAGGGCAAGGAGAAAGGTGATGGAAGAAGCTGGCACAGAGGAGTCCACTGGGTGAATGACCGGGTGGAGGGAGAGCTGCAGGGCTGCACCTGAGCATCCACCCAACACAGCTCATCTGGATGCCTGCGACCCGACTGCTTGCCCCCATAGGAGAGCATGTGTCAGCGTGAGGGAGGTGATCACTGCATGCAGATTAGTGTCTCTCCATTTCCTGAGCATCCTGTCCCAGGACAATATCGTTTTATATGAGGCACTCAGAGATTTGTCCTGAATTTTTGGTTGAGTGAGCAACGTGACATTCTGTAACTAACTGAAGGGAAATTCAGTGTTCATTCTTGTAACTCATTGATTTTTCCTGCCTCCTGTATTTTTTGTTGAGATGAGTGATTTGTTATTTTCCTATTCATGATTTTCAACAAGACTCCCATTCCAAA
Source organism: Homo sapiens (assembly GCF_000001405.40). Classification (NCBI taxonomy): domain Eukaryota; kingdom Metazoa; phylum Chordata; class Mammalia; order Primates; family Hominidae; genus Homo; species Homo sapiens. The sequence goes on from NC_000005.10 coordinate 80,591,132, forward strand.
GCCAAAAGATAAGGGACAATATAATATTTAGTCATTTTCTCCTGAAGCACAAAATGGAGGTTTCTGATTCAATATGGATTGAGGGAGGGCATTGTGTGATTGATAGGAGTTCAGAGTTTGCCCAAAATCTAACAAATATTTGAAATTATTTTATTCTTGCTTTCATACAATGGAAAAATGATCACCCTGATAAACCATTAACTGCCTTTTTCAGCAGTCACCGATGACTCCCCTCTTCCACTTTCCTGGACTCAATCCATTTTTTCTAGAAGACTTTTCCAGGTGGATGGTTTGGTATGTTAATAGCAGAAAAAGATTCAAATGGCTTCAGAAACCACTTTTTATTGTTTTGAAAGTTAGAACATTAAACCACTGATACACTGTTGGGAGCGCCCAGTTCAATTATCCCCATTGGTTCTCAGTTGCCCACCAGACAATGATTCATGCTGGCCCCCGAGGGCCCTTCCATGGCTGGACAACTGCCTTTCCAGCCTTCTCATAGCTCCCTGTGGGATTTGCCTGCATGCACAGGCACTTGACTCACTTCACAGCTCTCAGATGCCACCAAAAGGGAATAAAGAAAAGAACCAAAGGTAGAGAGTCTTCTCTGCCAAAAATGTGCCATCTAACAGGGGTTGGCTGTTAACTATAGCCTGTGGGCCAAGTTCACCCGCTGCCTGTTTTCACAAAGTCCATGAGCAAAGAATGTGTTTACATTTTTAAATGGTTAAAAAAGAATGGTTAAAAGAAGAATAATACTTCATGATGTGTGAAAGTCATATAAAATTCAAATTTCACTGTCCATAAGTAAAGTTTTATTGAAACACAGCCATACCCATTCCTTTACACATTGTCTGTTGTGGCTTTTGCACTGCCAGGGCAGAGTTTCATAGTTTGCAACAGTGATCGTATGGCCTAAAATATTAATTATCTGTCACTTTACAAGAAAAATTTGCTGCCCCTGTTCCTATCATATGCTAAGGTCCTTCTGATGGAAATATCTGTTCTTGTTCTCTTCCAAATCTTCAGTCATACTAGGGACATTAACAGTTACTATCTCACTTATTTATTTTTTACACTATTTACTCTTTTGAAATCTTCTGGGCAACAGCCCTTTGTTTGATAAACCGGAAATATTCAATTCCTGTGATCCTCAAGAACATTCCACAAACTAAGTACCTGTGATAGGAATGTGACAGGAAAGCTCTCTAGAGCTATGGTAAGGAGCAAGATAAACACAACCTTCCCTTGTGTTGCTAATTCTAATGGGAAAAATTAAGCAATCTGTAACCAAAAGTATGGTAATTTTTTTCATAGAGAAGATAGAAGGTGTCCAGAGACTACAGAGTGGGAATACCTTAGCTTATGTAGGTGATATCAAGGGAGGGCTTCTCCGAGGAGGTGGATTTCCAGTGAGACCTGAAGGACAAGTAGGTATTAGATCAGTGAAGAGCAAGGTGACATTTACATGGAGAGAAACAAACTTCTGTGCTATTTAAGTTGTTATTTGGGGGTCTTTGTTACATTCATCCAAGCCTTTTTTTTTTGTTGTCACTCTGTTGCCCAATGTGGTGGTGTGATCCCAGCTCACTGAAGCCTCGACCTCCTGAGCTCCAGGATCCTCCACCACAGCCTTCTGAGTACACAGGACTACAGGCATGCAGCACTATGCCTGCCTAATTTTTAAAATTTTAGTTTTTTGTAGAGACAGGATCTCACTATGTTGCTCCAGCTGGTCTCAAACTCCAGCCTTTAGTCATCCTTCCGTCTTGGCCTCTCAGAGTGCTGGAATTACAGGCATGGCCACTGCACTTGTCCCTAATGCGTTCTTTGTAGCAAAACTGCATGACCTGCTTCCTCCTGTGGAGCTGGGAGTCAGAGCCTCTGTGTGGACTGGTTTGGGGAGGAGCTTGAAGTTCCAAGGGGCAAGGACTCTGGGTTGCTGGCTGTTTTTTTCTCTTTGGGGGAGTTTATTTGGTTGGCCCCTAAATGTCTTAAAAATGAAAACAAAGGCCTTTTATGCAATGATGCACCTACCCTTCTTCAGCCAAGCTGTTCTCTGTGAGCTTAACTTTTATTCTGAAAGACTCTTTTAACTCGAGCTCCTTGACATAACAACACACGATTTGATGGGAATCTTCTTGCCAGTTTTGTTTTTAGGGTAGAGGAATTGTTTCCGAGGTTTAGTGAATATACTCTGAGAAGAGACTGAGAGGATTTCGCTCTGATATCTCTTCTGACATCTGTCATCTAACTTCCAGGTAATTTAGACATCCCTGCTGACCTATATATAAAACTAGCACAATACATTGTCTTAGGAAAATAACACCAGCTTTGCGAAGAACTTTCTTCCAGGACTAAATACTAGGTACTATTTTCACTTTAAAAGTCAATGGGCGCCGGGCGCGGTGGCTCACGCCTGTAATCCCAGCACTTTGGGAGGCCGAGGTGGGTGGATCACGAGGTTAGGAGATCGAGACCATCCTGGCTAACACAGTGAAACCCCATCTCTACTAAAAAATACAAAAAATTAGCTGGGCGTGGTGGCGGGCGCCTGTAGTCCCAGCTACGCGGGAGGCTGAGGCAGGAGAATGGCGTGAACCCAGGAGGCGGAGCTTGCAGTGAGCCGAGATCTATCACGCCACTGCACTCCAGCCTGGGCAACAGAGTGAGACTCTGTCTCAAAAAATAAAAAAAAATAAAAAAATAAAAAAAAAAGTCAATGGGCTGGGCACAGTGGCTCACGCCTGTAATCCCAGCACTTTGGGAGGGCAAAGTGGGTGGATCATCTGAGGTCAGGAGTTCGAGACCAGCCTGGCTAACATGGTGAAACCCCGTCTCTACTAAAAATACAAAATCAGCTGGGAGTAGTGGTGCATACCTGTAATCCCAGCTACTCAGGAGGCTGAGGCACGAGAATCGCTTGAACCTGGAAGGCAGAGGTTACACTGAGCCGAGATCACACCACTGCACTCCAGCCTGGGCAACATGAGCGAATCTCTGTCTAAAAAAAAAAAAAAAAAAAAAAGTCAATGACAGGCTGGGCATAGTGGCTCATGCCTGTAATCCCAGCACTTTGGGAGGCTGAGGCCTGCGGATCACCTGAGGTCAGGAGTTTGAGACCACCCTGACCAGCATGGCGAAACCCTGTCTCTACTAAAAATAAAAAAAATTAGCCTGGTGTGGTGGTGTGCGCCTGTAACCCCAGCTACTCCAGAGGCTGAGGCAGGAGAATCGCCAGCCTCCCGGGAGGCAGAGGTTGCAGTGAGCTGAGGTTGCACCATTGCACTACTGCCTGACCAACAAGAGCAAAACTCCATCTCAAAAAAAAAAAAAAAAAAAGTCAATGACAGCCTGTGCTCAGAATGAAGATGTGTTTTTTTTTTCCCAGTGATTCAATATTCACTCTTAAACACTCATTTTGTCATGCAGAGGAGTCATGCACATAAGAAAAGCCAGCCCAAGAAATTAGTCAGTATACTGATGAATATGTTTTCATTAGCTGGATACTGATTCATGTAAATCAATGAAGAGATAAAGTAATGTTGGAATAATTGACCAGATATAAACCTGTCCATAATATAATGAAACCTCTTACAGATGCCTTCAGGATGTGTTACATTTATAATCATAAGTGAGAAAACTGTAGTAAACATTTGTCATTTTTGGTTGTCCAGCATCCAAACACCCTTTCTATTTTGGCAAGTACAAGGTCAGTGAAGGCCAGGATCTTACTTCCCAATCTGGAAGCTGGAGAGGAGCAAAGAATCTCCCTCCAGATTCTAGAATAATTACAACATCACTCCACTTCACTCCAGCCTGGGTGACAGAGCGAGGCTCTGTGTGTGGACATTTGAGCGGGGCTCTGTGTGTGAACATTTGACCAATGCTCTGCCAATCACATGTTCTTCCCTGAGGCTTTGGATCTTCAGGGAGTGATACCAAGGCCAGAGAGAGCAGAGACTATTCAGAGTGGCTGCTGGATGGAATTGAGATGTCAGTGGATATTGACAAGTGTCTGGAGCTGATGATGTTAGGGCTGGCACCCTTTGCAGACTAAATCTCTGGTGGGATCCTTATTGTGCCCTGTGTACCTGAGTTCCTGTTTCCAAGGTTAATTCTCCATTTTTCCTGACTCTTTTTTTTGTTTTTGAGACAGAGTCTCTCTCTGTCACCCAGGTTGGAGTAAAGTGGTGTGATCATGGCTCACTGCAGCCCTGACCTCCTAGGCTTAAGTGGTCCTCCTGCATTGGCCTCCCAAAGTGCTGGGATTACAGGTATGAACCACTGCACCCAGCCCGTTCATGACCTCTATTTTTTTTTTTTGAGACAGAGTCTCGCTCTGTCACCCAGGCTGGAGTGCAGTGGCATGATCTCGGCTCACTGCAAGCTCCACCTCCCAGGTTCACACCATTCTCCTGCTAATTTTTTGTATTTTTAGTAGAAACGGGGTTTCACCGTTTTAGCCAGGATGGTCTCAATCTCCTGACCTTGTGATTGCCCGCCTCGGCCTCCCAAAGTGCTAGGATTACAGGCGTGAGCCACCACGCCCGGCCCTTCATGACATTTTTGAGACACCCAGTATCCTTTCAATAAATTTATTTTCTGCATATGTTAGCCAGTATTGGTTTCCTCATTTTCAAGAATACTGGTTGTTTCATAATCTATGTAAGAATAAGATATACAGTGTTATGTAAGAAGAAAATTTTATTCTATATATGGTCCAATTCTAGACTGGGAATGATTAATCTAAAAATTACAGTTACTTTAAGGATGAATTGACAGGAAAGCATATATTTTACAAAGAATATGTTGTAACATGTTTGTTTGGTGCACTTAATTGCTACTCACCCTTTCTATGGACAAAAGACTAATCAGGGACAGCCACAGTCTCTAAGAGCCTGACAGAGAGGCAGTGGTATGCTAGAATTCAAAGAGACCTTTGAAACGATTTCATCCAAACACTTCATTTTACATGCAAGAAAACTGAGGTTCTGACTGGCTGAATTATTTACCCTAAATTGCACAGCCAATTAGTGAAAGAGCGGGAATTCTAATCAGACATCACTCCTGGGGAACTGTGTTATTTGACAGGAAAGACGAGCAGGGTAGGGAAGCGAGTGGCAGTGACTGGTATCTTGCTTGCAGAACTGAGATCACCAAGTGTGCGTTTGGTTAAGAGGCCTGGGCCGTGACAGAATCCGGTCTTGAGGTCAGAGCATGGCCACACAGCAAGGCAGGCAGGTGTGGCCGTGCTGCTGGACAATAGGGTCGGATAAGAAAAGGACAGTCTCAGAGCCAGGGCCAAACCTAAAGTTTTCCTCTTATCCCCAGAGTTGTGTGGATAAGAAGCCTAAGCATTTAAACACTCCTCAGCCCACTCCCACCTTTTTGGTTGTTGTTGAGACAGGGTCTCACTCTGTCACCCAGGCTGGAGTACAGTGGCGCCATCATAGCTCACTGCAGCCTCGAACTCCGGGGCTCAAGGGATCCTCCTGCTTCAGCCTCCTGAGTAGCTGGGATTATGGGCAAATGCAACCATGCCCAGACAATTTTTTAATTTTCCGAGAGAGATTGGGATCTCATTTTGTTGCCGAGGTCAGTCTCAAACTCCTGGGCTCAAGCAATCCACTTGCCTCAGCCTCCCAAAGTGCTGGGATTAGAGGTATGAGCCACTGCACCCGGCTTCCTTCCTTTTTTTAAAATTATTATTTTTTTCCCTCATGGGAACGTCTCACCTTTCTAAAACTCATGAATCTAGCTGTAATTTCTGGAACTTATGTTTCCTGTTCCTTTGGTCTGAATATTGACATGCCTCATAGAATTGGGTTGCAATTGGGCACATCACCAGTTGTGCCTCTGTTTTTTAGAATTATTCCCTCAGTTGGAGGTGTTTACTTTATATGCTGGGCAGATATTAGTTATATGGACCCCTCAAGAGAACTAATACATCATTCAGAAGGAGGGAATTCGACTAGTTTAAACTGCTTTCTCAGGCATCACCATGACTTTCATGTGATGTTAGTGCCAGATGGATCTGTTGAAAGCACTGATATGCCTCAGGATACTCGTCTCTCCTGCAGGCTGTTGCCATTTAGAGTTGATTTTTATTTATCATTTGATTTATGCCCAGTAGAGATCTTCTTACTATTTTTTAAGGTTTCCTGGGTGAGCAAAGGAACTGCAGGGAGAAGGAAACTGTCTCCAAACCAGTCTGGGTACTATGTAGGAAACGGGGGTGTCACCGGATGGAGAAGACAAGAGGAAATTCAGGCCAAATGGAGACCGGCCTTAGTGGGGAAAGTCTAGTATCTTACTTCAGGAAAAAGAGAAATTCAAACAGCAACTGTTCTATAAGGCTGAGCTTGTAGCTCCTACCTAGCAAACATGTAGAAGGAAGAAAGAAAACCAAGAAGTGATTACCTGGTGATATGGTTTGGCTGTGTCCCCACCCAAAATCTCATCTTGAATTGTCATCCCCATAATCACCACGTGTCAAGGGCGGGCCCAGGTAGAGGTAATTGAATAACGGGGCGGATTCTCCCATGCTGTTCTCATGATAGTGAGTGAGTCTCACGAGATCTGATGGTCCCCTGCGGGCATCCATTCCATCCTGCCGCCCTGTGAGGAAGGTGCCTGCTTCTCCTTTGCCTTCCACAGTGATTATAAGTTTCCTGAGGCCTCCCCAGCCACCTGGAACTGTGAGTCAATTAAACCTCTTTCCTTTATAAATTACCCAGTCTCAGGTATTTCTTCATAGCAGCATGACCGTGGACTAATACACCTGGCTAAGGTACAATAACAAAACTATATATTTTTAAAACTTTGAAAATATTTTGTGAGTGTTTTTACATCATAGTGTGATGAAAACAATAAATTGTTATAATCTGTATTGAAGTATTATTTAGGCGATGATAACGATTCATTGTATAATAGGATAATTTGATGCTTTATGGGTTTAAGTTTGGGATGTCCTATTTCTTTGAGATTGTGGAGGTTAAGAACTAGAACATTAATAATGTAACTTTCAGGTTTGTTTCCAATTCAAAGAAAACCATTTTAAGAGTGAAATGTTAAAATGTATTATGAGGCCTTCATATCAATGTAATATCCATATCTTTAAGTTCTGAGGAAAAATATCTATGTGTTAAGGCTCCCTGGGGGAAAGCACCTTTCTTTGTTATTAGAGCCTCTTTCTGGTGGCTAAATTTTACATTCTTTGATTCTAATGAAGATTGATTACACCTGTGACCATGCACAAGCATTTACTCAGGATATTAGCAAGGCCATATTCTGTGCGGTTTTCAAGATCTTATGCAAAGTACAGCAATGACTGAATTATAGTTTAAAAAGAACAGGAAGGCATTTTCTTTTTCTTCTTCTTTTTTTTTTTTTTTTTGAGACAGGGTCTCACTCTGTCACCCAGGCTGGAGTGCAGTCGTGCGATCTCTGCTCACTGCAAACTCTGCCTGGCGGGTTCAGTGATTCTCCTGCCTCAGCTTCCCGAGTAGCTGCGATTACAGGTGCATGCCACCATGCCTGGCTAATTTTTGTATTTTCAATAGAGACGGGATTTCACCATGTTGACCAGGCTGGTCTCGAACTCCTGACCTCAAGCTTGACCACACACCTTGGCCTCCCAAAGTCGTGGGATCACAGGCATGAGCCACCACTCAAGGCCAGGAATATATTTTCAACATCCTGATAGACTCTGGCTTGCCATGCTGACCAACATTCAGCAGGGAGTGAATCAGTGTGGGCAGAGCCACTGTCCTCACAGGTCTAGTCATTTCCAATACTGGAAATGGACTGGACACATTCCTTCCTCTGATTTTTTGTTTGCTCTGATGAAGCCTTTCCTGCCGTCTCCTCTCTCTGCTTTTCGAACTCTCACACCTCCTTAGAAGCCCACCTCAACTCTGTGGAGCCTCTGCTAAGCATCCCAACCATCATGGCATATCCCTTTTGTGAGCTTCTATAATACATGGTAGCAGTCACTGGGTTTTTAGTTTGAATTTAGACTTTTCTTTGTATCCTTTGCCTTCTTAGCAAAAGTCTCAGCTCTTTGAGGTCCAGGATCATGTCTTCTATCCTTGAATTGTTGAGAGTACCCATCTCAGTACAGGCAGAGAGCATTGGATGACTGGTTGTCAGCCTCCACTAAAGCTGGAGATGCAGGAGGGCCCTGAGGGTTGCAATGGGAGAGGGTGGTAGACGTGGTAGATGTGTTATGGGGATGAGGAACATGGCTATACCCTAAAAGAACCAAAAGAGCCACTAGCCAATTTGCAGTGCAGCTTTTTTTTTTTTTTTTTTTTTGGAGACAGAGTCTTGCTCTGTTACTAGGTTGGAATGCAGTGGTGCGATCCCGGCTCACTGCAACCTCCGCCTCCTGGGTTCAAGCAATTTTCCTGCCTCAGCCTCCTGAGTAGCTGGGACTACAGGCACGTGCCACCCCCCCCAGCTATTTTTGGTATTTTTAGTAGAGACAGGATTTCACCATGTTGGCCAGGCTGATCACAAACTCACAATGTCAAGTGATCTGCCCGCCTTGGCCTCCCAAAATGCTGGGATTACAGGTGTGAGCCACCATGCCCGACCACAGTGCAGCATTTATAATAACAACAATATGGCCGGGCAGTAGGTGGCTCACAGCCTGTAATCCCAGCACTTTGGGAAGCCGAGGTGGGTGGATCACCTGAAGTCAGGAGTTCAAGACCAGCCTGGCCGATATGGTGAAACCCTGTCTCTACTAAAAATACAAAAATTAGCTGGATGTGGTGGCATGTGCCTGTAGTCCCAGCTACTCAGGAGGCTGAGGCAGGAGAATCCCTTCAACCCAGGAGGCAGAGGCTGCAGTGAGCCAAGATCATGCCACCGCACTCCAGCCTGGGTGACAGAGTGCGACTCCCTCTCAAAAAAAAAAATATTAATCATATTAATAATATACAAATAATAAAAATATAATAAATATAAATATATAATATATAATAAAAATAAATATATTTATATAATATAAATATATAATATATAATAAAAATAAATATATTTATATAATATAAATATATAATATATAATAAAAATAAATATATTTATATAATATATATATTTAAATATATATTTATATATTTAAATATATACTTATATAATATATAAATATATATTATAACTTACATAATATATAAATATATATTATAAATATATACTTACATAATATATAAATATATATTAGAAATATATACTTATATAATATATAAATATATATTAGAAATATATATATATAACTATTATATAATAGTTATATATGACTATATAATATATAACTATAGTTATATATATAGTTATATATATAGTTATACATATAATTATATAGTTATATATATAACTTATATATAGTTATATGTATAACTATATATATAACTTATATATAGTTATATGTATAACTATATATATAATTATATATAACTATAATATATAGTTATATGTATAACTATATATATAATTATATATAACTATATATAATAGTTATATATATAACTATTATATATAACTATTATATATAGTTATATATAACTATATAATATATAACTATATAATATATATAACTATTATAGTTATATATACTATATAATATATATAACTATTATATATAGTTATATATAACTATATTATATATAACTACATATAATAGTTATATATATCATAGATATATAAATATATATTTATATATACATATATATTTACATATATGTATATATAAATGTAAAATATATATATGTAAAATATCCCAATCACTGCTAGTAAGCAAAGGCAAAGTTATCTGGCCAGCTTTAAAATCTCTGAACTCCCTTAAACTGGGCAGTCATTGATTTTGTGTATTCTGTGTGTATTTTTCTGGGGACAGGGCCCAGTTCCCTTCTACCTACCTTTTCACCAAGTGGTTCTTCACTGTCATTCTCTGCACAGGCTCCTCTTCTGGGCTTTCCCATTTCCCACCTCCTTCTCCCCTTGGTTAACAAAAGCTATTGTCCTTTGAGACCCATCTGAACACCATAGTTTCTGCATACAGTGTTGGACAAGATGATTTTGGTTGCTAGTGACAGAATCTCAACTCAAACTAGCTCAGGCAGAAAAGAGGGGTTAGGCCAGGCATGGTGGCTTATGCCTGTACTCCCAGCACTTTGGGAGGCCAAGTTGGGCAGATCACCTGAGGTCAGGAGTTTGAGACCAGCCTGGCCAACGTAGTGAAACCCCATCTCTACTGACAATACTAAAATTAGCTGGTGTGGTTGTACATGCCTGTAATCCCAGCTACTCAGGAGGCTGCGGCAGGAGAATTGTTTGAACATGGGAGGTGGAGGTTACAGTGAGCCAAGATCATGCCACTGTACTCCAGCCTGGGTAACAGAGTGAGACTCCATTTCAAAAAAAAAAAAAAAAAAGGGTTATTGTGTCACAAAGTTTTGGAAGGACAGGATGCAACTGGCCTTCTGGGTTATCTATAAGCAGCAACTCAGCCTCCTCTCTCCATTTCTCATCCCTGAAACCCTGGCTTGATGGCTCATTTTAAACCTTGCAGAGGCCAGGCGCGGTGGCTCACACCTGTAATCCCAGCACTTTGGGAGGCTGAGGCGGGAAGATCACGAGGTCAGGAGTTTGAGAGTCTGGCCAACATAGTGAAACCCTGTCTCTACTAAAAATACACAAAAAATTACCCTGGTGTGGTGGTGTGCACCTGTAATCCCAGCTACTCAGGAGGCTGAGGCAGGAGAATCACGTGAACCCGGGAGGCAGAGGTTGCAGTGAGCCAAGACTGTGCCACTGCACTCCAGTCTGGGTGACAGAATGAGACTCCATCTCAAAAAAAAAAAACCAAAAGCCAAAAAACAAAACAAAAAAACCTTGCAGAGAAAAATGAAAGCGGCATGCAGAGAAGAGGGTCATCTTCAGATTTTGGAGTCCAGACTCAGCCTAAAGCTCATTTTGGGGTTCCTGAGAATCCACAGGCTCATAATACCCTATTTGATTAAGCTACCATGAGAAGGCTTCTGTTACACGTGGACCTGACAAAATGAAATGAGGTCCTGGAATGTAATTGTAAAAGGAAAAGTACAACTCCTCCTCAGATGATCTTTGATGCTATCACTGATTGGAGCAGGAAGACTTGGGAAGCCACTGGGATGGATTAAACAATTCGGAAAACTCACTGAGAGTCTTCTGAGTGTAGAGCAGGATTCTAGGTATGTGAGCCTCGCCGATGCTTTTGGTGCCTTACATCACATCCCCACCTCTGTTTTCACCCAGGCCCCTGTCACCTTTAATCGTGACCTTGAGAATGCATCCTTTAAAGGCCCTTTTCTCCTCTCCTGCTTTACTCTCTGTATTCCTTAATTTCTGCTTCCTAGGATTGCATTCCAAATAAACTACATGTTCCCAGACCTTGTCTAAATTCTGCTTTAAGAAAAACTCAAACCAATATAGATATATATATATATATATATAAAATATGGTATTTGCCCATAGGGGACTTATAAGTTTAGTTGGAGTATTTGAACAAATATTATTGGAAAGCAATAAAATGAAAAAGCAGGTTTCAATTAAATAACACATGAGTGGTACAGATTCCAGTCCATATAGTTGCTGTAGGTTTTATTAAATTTTAGTAATAATTCTTCCAGTTCTGATTAACCAGGAAGATCTAGTTCTTCCAGAATTATTATTTCATTTGATATTTCATTAATCTTGTATCTCATGGAAGCACTCTGTTCTCAGCTAAGTATGAAGAGGTGGGATTGGGTACACTTTGTACCATATCCTTAGTGATCTGTAATTATATCCTGTCATTCAAATGCTATTCTATTCAACTTTAAAGAACTTTTAAACATCCTTAACATTTTACTTTTTCTTTTTAAACAGAACACTTAGGTCTTCACAAAATCATCCTGGAACATGTCGTGAGAGTAAACAAAGTTATTTTGTAATTGGGGCCAATTATTTTAAAGAAAAAATAAAGGAATTTAATTTTTGTTTTAAAGTAACAAATACATTTTTAATTGATCTAAGATAAAAACTATTTGGAGAAGATTAGTGATCATTTTAGCCCTTAATCTGTTAGAACTGTATCCTGAACAGCCTTGAGAAACTGGGTTTACTGTTTATATTCACTATTTCACATCATCCACAGTATAAGGGAAAAAAAGGCATTGTATCAGTTTAGGTTAAATGCATGGCTGGCAACCAAATCCAATCTCTTATATTCTGTATTTTTTTATTTCGCTCTTCTACTTTGTTGATATCAGCTTTCACAGCATCTTCCTTGGCAGTGTCTTTCAGCTCATTCCAGCATCCTGCTTTGCCTTGCCTTTGAGGTCTAACATCCTGGGCCATTCTGTATTTAAGTCATGCACAGTCGCTTGTTTGCAGCGGCTGTAGATGAACATCCTCTCATCATCTGCTGGCTTGGTCTCAAGGTGCTTAATATCCTTGGCAGCTTTCTCAAACAGCCTGAGACATACTGGCAGTTGTTGCAAGGATTCCTGGGAGCCCACTGAGAAGGTACAGAGCAGGAAGCTATTGGAACTTAATTTTTCAATTGCAAAACTAATATAGCAATATTAAGAACATTTTTGAGTAAATAGAAACATACTATTAAGACTTATTTTAACTTTGTGATTGTTATGGTTGGCCATTTTATAGATATATTTGTTATGCATTGTAGCATTGGTAAAATTTTGTATCCAGTCCTATTTCAAGAAAATTTTGGAGTGTTAGGAAGTCATCCTGAAAGATTTGCTAGTTCCATGAAGTATTCCAGGATTATATACCAGCCAACTGGTGCTATGGTTTGAATATGTAAACCTCCAAAATTCAAGTGTCGTTCATACTAAGAGGTAGGGCCTTTAAGAGATGATTAGGAGATGTAGGCTCCTTCTTCATTAATGGGATTAAGGCCCCTATAAAAGAGGCTTCATCGCTGGGTGCGGTGGCTCACACCTGTAATCCTAGCTCCTAGCACTTTGGGAGGCTGAGGTGGGTGGATCGCCTGAGGTCAGGAGTTCGAGACCAGCCTGGCCAACATGGCAAAACCCCATCTCTACTAAAAATACAAAAAATTAGCTGGACATGGTGGCAGGCGCCTGTAATCCCAGCAATTTGGGAGGCTGAGGCAGCAGAATCGCTTGAACCCAGTAGGCGGAGGTTGCAGTGAGCCGAGATCGCACCACTGTACTCCAGCCTGGGCAACAAGAGCAAAACTCCATCTCAAAGAAGAAGAAGAAAAAAAAAGAGGCTTCACACAGCACGCAGCTTGTCCTTCAGCCTTCTGCCATGTCGGAATGCAGCAGGAAGGCTCTCACCAAACCAAATGCTGGTCCCTCGGTCTTGGACTTTCCAGCTTCCAGAATTGTGAGAAATAAACTTCTGTTCCTTATAAATTACCTAGTCTCAAGTACTCTGTTATAGCAGCACAAAATAAACTAAGACAGTTGGCCTTCACCATCCACTATGCAGAAATATAAAGGAGGCTGTTTTCCCAATTCCCTTTCTCTACTAGGCCCATTTAAACCAGGAATTCTGGTTGCCATATTCATGAAAGAAGGCACTAGAGAATTCCTTAAAATATCAAGCTCTCTTAATGTATCTTATGGATTTTTCACCTCTAATTATTGAAGAGTAATATGTATTACGAAGGCAGAGCATTGTTTGTATTTGCATTTCAGAGTTGGGGCAAGACACTTCTTTACTTCTATATTTTGGTTTTTACTTTCTTCCAAGTCCTATGATAATAAGAATTTATCTTGAGAGACAATGATGATGTGTCTTTTATTTTGCTATGCTTTCAATGGTAAAACCTTATAGTATAAATACTCCTATTTTTCAATTCTAGGAATTTTCCTTGTATTACTTCTTTGACAATTTATTTGCTTTCATTTTCTCTGTTCTTTCTTTCTGGGCCTCCTAGTTTTAGCATGTTAATCCTCCTGGATTAATAATATATTATAAATACACATGTGAATATAATAGATACACATATATGTGTATTATATGTGTATATATGATATGATCTATCTCCTTTTATTGATCTGTTTTTTTGTTCTACTTTTGGTAAGATTTCCTCAAATTTGTCTTTCAACTTCATAACTTTTTATTGCTAACATCCTATTTTTAAATTTCTAACAACTCTTGCTTGGTATCTGAATTTTTTCTACAGCATCATTCTCTTGTTTCATAGATGTATCTTTCATCTCTCTAAGGCTATTAATAAGATTATTTTGAAGCTTATTTTCTTTTCATTATTCCTAAGTTGATATTTTCTGCATCACATTTTCACGACTTTATTTTTAAAATTCCTCCTTTTAAGTCAGAACATTCTCCCAACTTTAAATCTAGTAAGAGTCTTCAAAATTTTAAGGAAAAATCCCTAGAGTTTAATCTAATTAGCTCTGATTGGCTCAACTTGGGTCATTTGCTCATTCTTGAACCAGGCACTGTGTAGGGAGACCACAGTGTTCCAGTTGGTTGAGAGTGGATCAACATTCCTCCCCTAGAACTAATTTGTGAGTGGGGGAAGAGTGGGCCTTCAGAGAAAAATAGGCGGCTGTTACTAGGAAAAGAGCAAAGGGATATTGGATGGCCAGAAAAGAACATACATGCTTAATATAGCACCTTGTCCAGGGGTTTTCTCTGCAGGAACCTGGCCTAGCAGTTGAAAAGGCAATGTCTGAATTCCTGTAGTGACCAGTTACTCACAATTTTAAGGAAATTCAGTCTATCCCCAGATAACACCACCTTATAGGAAAGTCTTGTATTATGCCAATGTCTAGCTTTCTTTGGCTGTCACCTGTGACCCTAGTTTTGCTCTTGGGTATACCCCTGAGATATGTGAAGGCCATTCTCAAGTTCTCAGGTCCTTTCTTTTCAGACTCAATACCTGTTGCTATGTCTTTTCCTAATCTGAAAACATTTTTAGTCCTTTTTCTATTTTTGACCCTATTTTTTCTAAGTTTAGGCATTTTGGTTTAGCATGAGCGATCCAGATCACAGAGTACCAAAATGCTTTATGCTTTCAAAATTGATTCATACTAAGCTGTTTAAGTTTCTGTATATAATCTAAGAATATGTATAGAGTTCATTTGTTTACTCAAGTAGTATGTATTGAGCCTCTACTACAATAATTCTTAAACCTTTGTTGCACATTAGAATAATCACAGAAACAAAAAACCAAACACCGCATATTCTCACTCATAGGTGGGACTTGAACAATGAGAACACCTGGACACAGGAGGGGGAACATCACACTCTAGGGACCGTTGTGGGGTGGGGGGAGGGGGGAGGGATAGCATTAGGAGATATACCTAATGCTAAATGACGAGTTAATGGGTGCAGCGCACCAGCATGGCACATGTATACATATGTAACAAACTGCACGTTGTGCACATGTATCCTAAAACTTAAAGTATTAATAATAATAATAATAAATATTTTTTACAAAAGAAAAAAAAAGAATAATCACAAAAACTTAAAAATCCTGATGCCTGGCCTACACCCCAAACCAAAATTGGACTCTCTAGGATAGGGAGGGGATAGGAACTCAGACACCAGTATTTTTTTTTTTTTTTTGAGACAGAGTCTCTCCCAGTAGCTGGGACTACAGGTGCCCGCCACCACGCCCGGCTAATTTTTTGTATTTTTAGTAGAGATGGGGTTTCACCGTGGTCTCAATATCCTGACCTCCTGATCCGCCCGCCTCGGCCTCCCAAAATGCCGGGATTACAGGCGTGAGCCACCGTGCCCAGCCAGGCACCAGTATTTTAAGCTCCCCAGGTGAGGCTAATGTATAGCTGAAGTGGAAAACCTCTGCTCTACTAAGCAGTAGGCCTCCTTCAAAATACAATGTCAATGGGTATAGGTTTCCTTAAGGTTTTTCAGAAAATGAATTTGAGGCATGTCTCCATCGTTTGCCTCTGTCTGACCTTGGGCAACTTCTGTATAGGATTATTCATCAAGTCACATCAGAGAAAGCAACCTGGGGCAAGCCAGCTCTTTAGCCATGGATAATTATCAAGGTTTCTGAGAAAAAGTACTTGTATTAATATTCAGTTAAAAACTTGCTTTTATATACTTTTCTCAGTTTGGTTGATAATTCCTGGAGGATGATGGTATCTGAATTTATTAAACTGACCTCATGCAGAATCAAGAGTAGCATTATGTTCTGGTGGGAACTTAAGAGGTTCTTGAAATTATTTTCAACCAAAAAAATGTAGTCCTGTCTTTTATGACTATGAATTAGAGGCCATCTATGAAGCTGCTGAGTTTTATAGAAAAGCCTGCATTTAGACTGACATCTATCTTGTAATGTGGCAGTAAAAAATTCTGAAACATTTACAGAACAAAGGTTAAGGCCAAACTTTATCAGCATAATGTTTATAGAGACTAAATCTGCACAAAAAAGGGGCAGATTTATTATTTGTGTTTAACTACAGTGTCTATTGTGTGTTTAAAAGTCCATATTAAATGAAGTAGATTCACTGAAGTAGGAAGGGAGACAAGTTGAGAATCAGGAAAGGAGAAAGTCTAGTGAACTTCTTTAAGAGCCACTTTTGAACTGTCTTCTAGCACTTGCTGACTTTGAATCATTTTTCCCAATTTTTATTGTGAATATTTTCAAACATATAGAAAAGCTTAATAATATGATGACATCTGTATATTCTTGCATATTAGTCAGGGTTCTCCAGAGAAACAGAACCAATAGGATTCATTGATTTGAATTGGCTCATGCAATTATGGAGTCTTGACAAGTCCTGAGTTCTTCAGGGTGAAATCAGCAAGCCAGACACCCAGGAGAGCCAATGGTTCAGTTCCAATCTGAGTCCAAAGACCTGAGAACCAGTAGAGTCAACAGTGTAGCTTCTGTCTAAAGGCCAGCAGGCTCAAGAGCCAGGAAGTGCAGATGTTTCAGTTTGAGTCAAAAGGGAGAAAAATAAGCCAATGTCCCAGGTCAAAGGCAGTCAGGCAGGAAGAATTCTGTTACTTGGGTGAGGGTCAGCCTTTTAATTCTATTCAGGCTTTCAACTGATTTGATGAGGCCCATCCACATTAGGAAGGACAATTTTCTTTACTCAGGCTATTAATTTAAATGTTAATTTCATCAAAAAACATCATCACAAGGCTGGGAGCAGTGGCTCACACCTGTAATCCTTGTACTTTGGGAGGCTGTGGTGGGAAGATGGCTTGAGCCTAGAAGTTTGAGGCCATAGTGAGCTATGATCACACCATAGCATTCCAACCTGGGCAACAGAGCAAGACCCTGTCCCTGAAACAAAAATAAAAACAAAAACAATGAAACCCAAATGAAACAAACAAAAAACACCTTCACAGAAACACCCAGAATAATGTTTAAGTATCTGGGCACCCAGTCAAGTTGACTCATAAAATTAACCATCACATCTTGTATTAGCTTTCTATTGCTGTACAATAATATTACCACACATTTAGCAGCTTAAAACAACATATATTTATTATCTCACAACTTCTGTGGCTCAAGATGCTGGCTATGGTTTAGCTGGATCCTGTTCTTAAGGTTTCACAAGACTGTACAAGATGCCAGCCAGGGCTGTGGTCTCATCAGATGCTTGACTGGGGGAAAAAATAACTTCTAAGCTCACTCACATTATAGGCATAATTCAGGTCTTTGCATCTATAAGATTGAGGTCTTCTGTTTCTTGCTGGCTGTCAGCTGGAAGCTACCCTCACCCCATAGAGGCCATGTTACTTCCTTGTTGGGATTGCCCAAGATGTTCACTTGCTTCCTCAAAGCTAATAAAGGAAAAAGAGAGAACTTAGGTAATCATGTATATCCTGTCACCTTTGCCATATGTTATTGTCCAGAAGCAAGTCACAGTTCTTGCTCACAAGAAGGGAGAGGGAGAGGTGTCACATAAGAGTATGAACACCAGGAGTCGGAATCATGGGAACTACTGTAAGCCTGTGTACCACAAGTCTCCATTTAGATTCAAGAATTGTTAACATTTTGCACATCTGCTTTGTCTCTCTCTCTTTCTACACACACACTTTTGATGAATATTTGTCGTGATTATTTCTCTAAATACATTCATCTCCTAAGAACAGTACACTTCTATATAATTACAACACAATAATCAAAGTATTTTAAAGAAAATTAACAATATTTTCATTCAATCATTTAATGTTCAGATCATGTTCAAATTTCTTTCATTGTAGGAGCAAACCTCTTATACATTTTAAAAAATCAAGATCCAATCAGGTTTCATGCATTACATTTGGTTATGTCATTTTAGTCTCTTTAGTTTAACTCAGTTTTGTCACTAAATTAAAACAACTGAAGTATATTATACATACAGAAAAGTATAAATATCATTGGAGATCGTAGCCAGCATTATAAGTAAACATCATCATGTACAAAGAAAATCCAAAAGAATCCATACGCTATTAGAATAAATGAATTTAGCAAGGCCTCTTGATACAGTCAGTATGCAAAAATCATTTCTATATGCTAGAGACAAAAAACTTAAACAATTCAATTATAACATCAAAAAGCACCAAATTCTCACAAATAAATCTAAGATGTCTAAGACCTTCCCTCTATACTGAAAATTATATAATATTGATGACAGAAATTAAAGAAGAGCTAAATTAATGGAGAGATATTAACTCCTGAAAATTAATCTCTAGCTTCAGCCCAGGGTGGAGGCTTACACGTGTAATCCTAGCACTTTGGGAGGCTGAAGTGGGAGGACTGCTTGAGGCCAGGAGTTTCAGACTAGCCTGGTCAACATAATAAGACCCTGCCTCTACAAAAAATAAAAAAGCTTAGCTAGGCAGGGTGATGCATGCCTGTAGTCCTGATCCCAGGAGTTCAAGGCTACAGTGAGCTGTGATCATGCCACTGTACTCCAGCTTGAGTGACAGAGCAAGACCCTGTCTAAAAAAGCAAAAGAAAAAAAATTAATCTCTGGATTCAATGTAATCCCAATCAAAACCCCAGCAAATCCTTGTGTGAAAATTGACAAGTTGATTCTAAAATTTATATGGCACTGCAAAGCACGTAGAATAGGCAAGGCAATGTGGAATAAGAACAAATATGGGGGACTTATACAATAAGATTTCAAGATTTGCCATAAAGTTAGAATAATTGAGATAGTGTGGTATTAGCTCCAGGGAAGACAAAAGATCAAGGGAACAAAACAGAGTCCAGAAATAGATCCAAACATATATAGTCACTTAACATATGACAAAAGCACCACTGCAATCCAAAGGAGGAAAATATACCCTTTTCAATAGATGGCCCTGGAGCAATGGGATATTGATATGAGTATTATAATTTGGATGTTTGTCCCCGAAGCCTCATGTTGAAATCTGGTCCCCAGTGTTGGAGGTAGGGCCTAATGGGAGGTGTTTGGGTCATGGGAGAGGATCCCTCATGAATGGCTTCGTGCTGTCATTGAGGTAATGAGTGAGTTCTTGCTTTATTAGTACCCAAGAGAGTTGGTCCTTAAAAAGGGCCTGGCACCTCCACCACCACCTCCTACTCTTTATTTTCTCTCTCTTGCCTTGAGATCTCCACACATGCTGGCTCTGTTTTACTTTCTGTCATGAATAGAAGCATCCTGAGACTCTCACCAGAAGCAGATGTTGGTGCCATGCTGCTTGTACAGCCTGCAGAACAGTGAGTCAAAGAAACCTCTCTTCTTTATAAACTAAAATATATTGTATTCAGAAAAATACAGCTTAGATTCAAGAATTGTTAACATTTTGCACATCTGCTTTCTCTGTCTCTTTCTACATCTTCCCCCACCCCCACCCCGGCCTCCCCTCCCATACACAGACACACACAGTGTGTTGCTATAAAGGAATACCCAGCCTCAGGTGTTCCTTTATAGCAACACAAATAGACTAAGACATTGGGGGAAAAAGCATGACTCCTATCTCAGATCATATACAAAAATTAAGGTGGATCATAGACTTAGATGTGTGAAGTAAAATAACATTTCTGAAAGAAAATTTAGAAGAATATCTTCCTGACTTATGGAGGCAAATAATTCTAAAATGGGAAATAAGAAAACATTAACCTAAAAAAAACTAATAAATTGAAGTTCATTAAAATAATGTCTGTTTAGCATAAGACACATTTAAGACAAAGCCACCGGCTGAGAAGATAGCTTCTGCATTTATATTTGTGAAAGTTCTCAGATATCCAGAATATATATAGAACTCCTACAAATCCATAAAAAAAAGACAACCCAAGTGTTTAAAAAAGTGGTAAAAGACTTAACAGGTACTCCACAAGAAAAGCATATTAGGCCATTCTTGCATTGCTATAAAGAAACACCTGAGACTAGGCAATTTATAAAGAAAAGAGGTTTAATCGCCTCACAGTTCTGTAAGCATTCCAGGAAGCATGGTGCCAACATCTGCTAAGCTTCTGGGGAAGCCTCAGGAAGCTTACAGTCATGGCATAAGGCAAAGGGGGCACAGGCATGTCACATAGCAAAAGTAGGAATGAGAGAGAGAGTATGTTTGTGTGTTGGGGGTGTCACATACTTTTAAATAACCAGATCTCACAAGAACTGACTATCGCAAAGACAGTACCAAGCCATGAGAGATCCATCCCCATGACCCAAAAATCTCCCACCAGGCCCCACCTACAGCATTGGGGATTACAATTCAACATGAGATTTGGGTAGGGACAAATATACAAGCTATGTTGAAAAGATATCCAAATGGCTAATAAGCATATGAAAAGGTAT
This sequence comes from Homo sapiens, assembly GCF_000001405.40. Classification (NCBI taxonomy): domain Eukaryota; kingdom Metazoa; phylum Chordata; class Mammalia; order Primates; family Hominidae; genus Homo; species Homo sapiens. Next base: position 80,611,915 of record NC_000005.10, read on the forward strand.
TCAATATCATTAGTCATAAGAGAAATACAAATTAAAACCACAATGAAATATACACCTATCAAAATGGCTAAAATTAGAAATGAGAAATTCAAGAGTTGATGAGGTTACAAAAATATTGAAACTCTCATATATTACTGGTAGGAGTAAAGTTGGTTTAATCACTTTGGAAAACTGGTACTATCTACTGAAGCTAAATATATGCCTACCCAGAGGCTCAGCAAGTCCATTTTCAGGTTAATAACCAAAGAGAAATGAGTGGCTATATCTATCAAAACACATGTACAAGAATTATTCATAGTTCAAAACTGGAAAAAACCCAAATATCCATCAACAGAAGAATAAACATAATGTGCTATATTTCATACAATGGACTAATACATGACAATTTTTTAATTTATTTTTTTGAGACAGAGTCTTGTTCTATTGTCCAGGCTGGAGTGCAGTGGCATGGTAACTCAGCTCACTGCAACCTCTGCCTCCCAGGCTCAAGCAATCCTCCTGTCTCAGCCTCCTGAGTAGCTAGGACTACAGGCACTCGCCACCACACCCGGCCAATTTTTGTATTTTTAGTAGAGACAGGGTTTCACTATGTTGGTCAGGCTGGTCTCGAACTCCTGACATCAGGTGATCTGCCCACCTCGGCCTCCCAAAGTGCTGGGATTACAGGTGTGAGCCACTGTGCCCGGCCGACAATTAAAAAAACACACAAACCATTGATACATGCAACATAAGAATGAATCTCATAGGCATTATGCTGAGCCAAAAAGGTCAGACATGAGCAAATCAGACATGGAAGTCTGATGAAGTTCAGCACAGAAAAAACTAATCAAATATGATAGAAGTCAGAAAAGTGGTATATATATATATATATATATATATATATATATATATATATGTATATATATATATATATGGAGTGGGGGTTGATATAGACTGGGATGGAGTATCATGGAACCTTCTGGGGTGCTGAAGATGTTTTATATCTTGATCTGGGTAGTGGTTGCAGGGTGCATATAAATGTTCAATATCATCTAACTGTACTTTTTAAGATTATTATACTTTATGCATGTCACTGTATGTGTTACACCACACCACAATAAAAAAAGTTTAAAAAGGAAGAAAAGTTTCACAAATCCCATTTACAACTCTACGAATTTTCGCAAATTGAACAGCCCATTTCCTTCTTATCACTATCCCTCTAAGTGAAACCACTATCCTGGCTTCTAACACCATAGATTAATTTCTTCTGTTTATGAACTTTATGTAAATGCAACTCAAGAGTATTGTTTGTTTCTTTTACTCAACCTCATATTTGTGAAATTATTCTGTTATTTGTAATTTAAGCATTCCATTGTATGACTGCTATTATTCCACTGTTGGTAGGCATTTGGATCATTTCAAGTTTATGACCTTAACATTTGTAAGGGTCCAGGCTAGCTGTCTTTTTTTCTTTTTTTCTTTTTTTTGAGACAGAGTCTCTTGTTGCCCAGGCTGGAGTTGCAATGGTGCAATCTTGGCTCACCGCAACCTCTGCCTCCTGGATTCAAGTGATTCTCCTGCCTCAGCCTCCTGAGCTGAGGCAGCTGGATATTACAGGCACATGCTACCAAACCTGGTTAATTTTGTATTTTTAGTAGAGACGGGGTTTCTCCACGTTGGTCAGGCTGGTCTCGAACTCCTGACCTCAGGTAATCAACCCGCCTTGGCCTGCCAAAGTGCTGGGATTATAGGTGTGAGCCACCACACAGGCTAGCTTTCTTTAAAAAAAAAAAAAAAAAAAAAAAAGTCTAACATTCTGGGTTTGTGATGGTACTATTTGACTTCCTCCTTTATGTCCGTGTCTTTCCTATAAATTGAAATTTGAGTTCAGAGGCTTAACTCAGATTAAACTTTTTGGCAAAAAGACTACATAAGTAGTGCTGTGTGCTTCATTTTGCCAAATTTCCCTTCACAGGGGTTATACCTGAGAATGATGTTAAGCTTTGAGTTTTATGGTGCAGTTCTAATTGACATTTATTTAATTTTAGTGATGTTAAGCAGCCTTTCATATGCTTAAGAGCCATTTCTGTTTAAGGGCTATTTTGTGACCTTCATATCATTTGCTCATTTGTTCTATCAGCTTTTGCTTTTTTTCTTCTCTATTTTTCAACTTTTAATATATTATGGAGACTGAAACTTCTAAAAAAAAATGTACTTGCTTGTGTAAACCTCAACAATTGTGTTTTCTCTTAGCATTCTCTATGAATTATTCTGGGTTTATAAGAAAAAATGATGACTTTCCCAGGTCCTTTTTTACTGAAAAGCAGGAATATGTGAGATGTTGTCCTTCACTTTCATCCCCAAATATAGATTACCTTGACAGGTATAATATATACACTTTATGGTCTAAGCATGTGTTGCCCTGACCTTTACATATCTATAGTCCTTGGCCAGCTCCATCTCACATTGGCTGCCAGTTCTGGGGCTCACATTCTTCAAGCATGTGCTCCTCCTCCTCAGAGAGCCTTGCTCCATCTCTCCATATTCATGGATGTCCAAAGAAAACAGTCCATTTTCTGTTGCTTATAACAGAATACCTGAAAACTGTGTAGTTTACAAAGTAAAGGCATTTATTTCTTACAGTTATGGAGGCTGAGAGTCCAAGGTTGAGGAGCCTCATCTGGTGAGAGCCTTCTTGCTGGTGGGGACTCTCTGCAGAGTCCCTGAGGAGGCACAGAACATCACATGGCAAGGGGGCTGAGCATGCTAGCTCAGGTCTGTTTTCCTCTTCTTATGAAGCCATCCATTAGTTTATTAACCCACTAATCTATTAATTCATTAATTCATGAGTAGATTAATCCATTGGTATATATATGAATATATATACATGAAAGAGACCCCAACTGACTCCCAGCAGGGTCCCTGGGCCATGGGGCCTTCACATTCAGGTTTTGGTTTGTGTGTGTATCTTGACACTCAACACCCTGTCCCGCCCAATCACATGAGGTGATTCTAGTGTTTGTTCCTTGCAACTAGTGATTTTAATGAACATTCCAAGGGGGACCCAGAATTGAAACCCAAGCCTTCTCTCTCTGAGGCCAGTGCTCTTTCCACCATTTCAGGGCAAGGGGCATTGTCTTTGTGCAGATTTTGATGGCGGTCCACGTGGAAAAAAGGGCACATATTACATGTATTTTATGACAATGAAAAACATGTAATTGTAAATGTGAGTGGGCAGAGACAGCCAGCAAGGGAAACCAAATCCCCTCTCAATTCAATGGAGACCAGTAGGAGGGTCTCAAGAAACTGAAAAGAGGCCCTGATTACAGTGCCTGTGTGTACAAGGCATCCGCCTTCTCTGCTCTCTCTCTACCCAAATCCAGGGGAGTCTCGGCTGCCCTCCCACCACCTCCACCTGCCAGTGCTTGCCCGCGGGGCTACAGAGGAAGACAGCAGCCACGCCTGCATATGGGCTTCTGCACTGCTAGCCTCAAGGCTGCCAGAGTGCAAAGAATGCCAGGATAATGGCTTTATCCACGTGTGGCCTTTTGACACATAAGCTAATGACTATATTCCAGGTACAAATAGTTCTTTCCCACGAGCTGTTTCTGCAGGTCTCCAAACAGACAATTACCCGGTTCCACTTAACAGAGTGACTCAAGGACGGATCTGAGGGCTGGGTCTTGTGAACGCGGGCTGTTGTCCTGCCCTCTCCCAGCTCTAACATTGTGCTGAAAAGTTAAAATACAAAACGCCAAAGCTCCCCAATCCCATCCCACGCCCCTGCCTGCGCAGCCTTTCATGCATTGAATGGGCAGCTTCATGATGCTGCTGCGACAATAGCGACAATAGCGGGGGCAGAGGAGTTTGCTCACCCTCTTGCTTCTCTGAAAAGATGCCTCTGCCTGACAGTTACCTACCCTGGGGGTCACCTTTTGAAACCGACTGAAAAGAGCTTATCTTATAATCAACATTTCCCAGAAATCACTCACAAGCCACAGGCTATGAAAAGAAACAGATTTTGAGAAACTGCATTCAATGGACATCATTGTTCAAAGTTTGCCGAGCTGAAGGCCGGCTGTTGGAATATTTTCAGATTTGATGTTCCAGAAGGATGCTTTTTAAAGCTGCAAATACCTGCAAGCACTGATAAAAAAGCAAGAGTGGGATGTCCTATTTGAGCTGGAATTTCAGGAGCATAGGGAAGATAATCTTCAAAGTTCGAGTTCACTTTTCATTTTTGATCTAAGCTTGAAAAATCACTGAACTATGGGGAAGGAGGTGACAATTAAGACCCAACCACAAATCAACAACCTGCGGAATGTGGTTGTCATTTTGCTTAGACTGAACCACAAACTCTTAAGCATACTGATAGATCAACAAATGTGACTTCAGTACTTAAAGAGAATGTTGCCTTCTTCCCAAGACACTTTCTGATGTGAAAATGGAATAACTCCAAGGAGGCATATAGCACAATTGCATTTTGTCACTTTGATTGCTGTGATGGTTAGTTTTCTCTGCTGACTTGGCCAGGCTTTAGTACTCAGTGATGTAAACAATCATGAATCTAGGTGTTGCTATGAAAGTATTTTGTAGATATAGTTAACACCTGTGTAGGTATGGAAAGGGATGATACCTTTTCCTAACCATTATAAGAGTCACGGTTGACATTTCTGTAATAAAAGCCAAGTTAACAAGAGAAAAGCATAACAAACATATTGAATCCTAGTTTTATGCAACACAGGAGCCTTCAGAATGAAGACTGAAAGACCCCAGAAAAACTGTCTATTTTTATGCTTAGATTCGATGAAGAATGGGTGGCCATGTAGAACTGTGATTGAACAAAAGGGTGTGACTTAATGGCACCAGAGAGGGGGCAACCCAGCAAGATTCGTCTGTGCAGATTCTTCTTGGCCCCTCTGCAGCACTCATTCCTCCAGGGTACAGGGCAGGACCTTTCCTAGAATGGGAGGCTTATGACCTACAATCAAACAAGGTAGGTCAGAGAATTTATGGCCCATTTTTATACAGAAATGGGGGAAGGTTAGACTAATATGTTTAGTTTTTATGGCTAGCTTTGGGGAAAATAGGTTCTGGTTAAAATAAATCTTTATATATTCTATTGGTTCTATTCTCTATATATATATATATATATATATATATATATATATATATATATATATAATATATATATATTCTATTGGTTCTGTTTCTGTGGAAAACTCTGAGCAATATGATTAAGTACCAGAGTAAAAGTGATTTTTTTTTTTTTTTTTGACACGGAGTTTCGCTTTTGTTGCTCAGGCTAGAGTGCAATGGCGTGATCTCGGCTCACCGCAACCTTCGCCTCCCAGGTTCAAGCCATTCTCCTGCCTCAGCCTCCCGAGTAGTTGGGATTACAGGCATGAGCCACCACGCCCAGCCAAAGCTAAAGTTTTTACGCTGGAAATGCAGAACTGTTCAATCTGAATAAGCATGTCTTCTGCTCCTCTCTGAGTTCATATTAAGCAAATTGATAACATTCTTAATTTCAACCAGAATGCCACAAAGTCCTGCAGAGCTGGGAAGTGAGAAAAATGTTTGAGTTGTCACACAGCCCGAGGGTGAGCATGGGAGAACACTGGGTGGTGAAGCCCAGCAGGGAACATTCACCAAAGAAGGCCACATGGTTCATATTTCCCTCTCCCTTACATCCGGGAACAAAGATCTTCCAGCGTTGAGTTTTGAGGACAGAATGTGGAGAAGTCTATGTTACTAATGGCCTGTTAGGCAAGGACAGGCTTCCTAGTCTAGATGGAAAGGATAAATGAGAATAGCATATCCCACAACAGAACACTTTTTACCAAATATAATGACATAGGCAATGAAAATATAGGTAATATAGAACTAAAACCCAAGCCCAATGTGTAATGTAGGAAAAGGGTCTATATGATAAAATTATCTCCACATGCCAGCCAAGCATAGTACTCATTCCTTTTTTTTGAGACAAGGTCTCACTCCATCACCCAGGCTGCAGTGCAGTGGCACAATCTCAGCTCACTGCAGCCTTGACTTCCTGGGCTCAAGTGATCCTCCCACCTCAGCCTCCAGAGTAGCTGGGACCACAAGCGTGGGTGCCATCATGCCTGGCTAAATTTTTTATTTTATTTTTTTAGAAATGGGGTCTTGCTATGTTGCCCAGGCTGTTCTTGAACTCCTGGGCTCAAGTGATCCTCCTGCCTTGGCCTCCTAAAGTGCTGGGTTTACAGGTGAAAGCCACTGCACCTGGCTTTCATTGCATTTTTACAAGGGAGATAATGCAACATCTGTCTCTGCTCATAAATGAGTCACTTTCCTAAAATATGGAATTCTTTTCTAAGGAGAGCTGAACTCTGCTTTTATTTCTCACAACCATTAAAGAATAATTAGCATTAACTCCTTTGAGTCTTCTGGTTTTAAACACCTCAAGGACCCTCACTACAAGCAAGATGCATTTCCAAACCCTCCACCCAAATCTCTTAATTCCAAAACAAAGATCCAAAAAATTGAAAAATGTGGGGAAGCGAGAGTCAAGTTGTAAGCCTGGTATGTCTTTTTCCTTTTATAGGTATGGCAGAGCCTGGCTAGTTGTTCACCAAGCCTGTGTCGCCTTCCTCCTGGTTCAGAGCTAGACTACATTTCCCAGTCTCCTTGCAGTTGGTATGGTTACGTGATGAAGTTTTGGCCAGAAGAATGTGGGTAAAAGTAGTATGTGCAACTTCCCAGCCCGCCCTCCTCGCCAAACCTCCCACATGTGGTCCTCCATGCACTTTCCTCTTTGGCAACAACCTTGGAAATCCCTTCTTGAAGATACAAGCCACAAGATGGAAGGAGCCTGGATCCCTAAGTCACTACCTGGAGGGCTGCCTGTGGATCAGAAACACCTGTGGTAAGCTGGGCATAGTGGCTGCTTGGGAGGCTGAGGTAAGAGGATTGCTTGAGGCCAGGAGTTTGAGACCAGCCTGGGCAACAAAGTAAGACAAAAAGAAAAAACAAAACAAAAAGAAAAAAAACACCCATGTTGGACTTCAGGTGCATAAGAAATAAACTTCCCTTGTGCTAAGTCATTGCAATTTGGGGTTTTATCTGCCAAGGCAGCTAGCGAGTCCTTTACTGACACAGTGGGTGAACAGCATTGCTTTTCACTTTTAAGGTAAGACAGGGAAAGTGAACAAATTTGTTTAATCAATTGGGAATGTAATTTATAGCAATGTGGCTAATATAATGAAATGCCAGATAAATTCCAAATGTGGATGTCACATAGAATTTATCATCATGAATTTGAATATGTGGTAGCAGTTAAATATGATATTTCAATCCTAGATTGGTCACAGGATTTTTTCCCCCAGGCACTGTGCTAGCATGTCACGAGACTGTGTGTCTGTGTGTCACATGGTCTGAAATTTTTTATTACAGGAAGAGACTGGAATCTGTAGTAACCTGGGAGGAAAGCAGATAGCAGGATGGCTGGGGAGGAAGCTGAAGATTTCCTTTCTAGGTATTTTGCCCATACTTTGGGCACATGGCCACCAGGTACACAGTAAGTAAGAAATAAGTTAGCATGGTTTTCTATTCAGTTATCATAGAATAAAACCAACACACAAACACATCATTAAAGGAACTAAGTATTGGCCAGGCATGGTGGCTCAAGCCTATAATCCCAACACTTTGGGAGGCTGAGGCAGGTGGATCACCTGAGGTCAGGAATTCGAGACTAGCCTGGCCAACGTAGTGAAACCCCGTCTCTACCAAAAATACAAAAATTAGCTGGGCGTGGTGGTGCGGGCCTGCAGTCTCAGCTACTCGGGAGGCTGAGGCAGGAGAATCACTTGAACCCGGGAGGCAGAGGTTGTAGTGAGCCGAGATCAAGCCACTGTACTCTAGACTGGGTGACAAGAATGAAACTTCGTCTCAACAAACAAACAAAAAACTATGGATTGTTTCCTCCTCAGGATTTTTTTTAAAAAACAAATAGTTCATTTGTAAATTGGTTAAGACTTGAAGCCAATTCTCCTAATGAATCAATGTTATACAGGTTATGAGATTCCAAAGACAATATGCAAAATTACATTTAACACATATTGCAATATATATATCAATATCTGTCTACCTAATCTCCAACATTTTTGAATTCTAGACATCTTGCAGGAAGACAAAAGTAAATAAGATGTGGTTTCTGCCCTGAAATAGCTGGCCATATGACAGGGTAGATAAAAGTAAACATGGTTAATTGTATTCTCTCCATTCTCCATTTTTTTTCTTGCCAAGAGACCCTCATTTTGTTTGTTGGGGAGCAATATGCCAGACCCAGATGATGAATCAAGGTTGGTTTTAAGCCAGTGCTCCTAAATTCTGATGTGCATAAATTAGAATTAGACTCTCTGGGGGTGAAGCCAGACGTTGAAGAATCCCTCTGGTTCTGTGTGCAGCCAGGGTTAAGAACCACTGATGTGAATGAGTCAGTGACTACAATCCTTGTTCCACATTCTTAGCCTGCCTTGCAGCGAGGAGTGGCCACGTGCCCCAGTTCTAGCCGCTGAAATATAAGGGGAGAGTTTGCTTGGGGAAGGAGGATTTGAGGCAAGTTTTGCTTTCTAGACAAAAAGGAAATATGTGCCTGACACTATATTTCTTCTTCCTACTGTGAACATGGGCCTGCTCTCTGGAGCAGTAGCAGCCATCTTGCAATGCCAAGTTTGGTTTGATTTTTTGAGGGCAAATCAATCAATCAATCAATCAATCAATCAATCAGAGTCAGCAAAATCCCAATTTGTTTTAGTTACTGTAAGTTAGATTTTCTAGCACTCGCAGCTGAAAACATTCCTCATTGATAAAGGAGAGGAGATGAGAATAACAAACAGCTGTAAGGAAAAACAGTATTTAAGGGCTGAAATAGGTAGTGCTGCATGGTTCAGAAGAGGGTGAGAAGGCAGGCTTCATGACAGGTTCAATTTGGGATTTGGGTTGGGCTTTGAGGAACAGGTAGGATTTGCATTGGAGGATGTGAGGAGGGAGGAATTATAGGCAGAGAGAGTGGCATAAAGAAGAGCATGGGAGTGGCAAAGCTGGGGTCTGTCTGGGGATTTGTGAAGAGCCGAGGTAGCTTGTGTACAACATGTAGGGAGTGAAAATGGTAGATGGTAAATCTGGAGAGTTTGGTTAATGCCACTGTAGAGGGCCTTAAAGACCAAAGTGGGGTTTCGCCTTAGCCGGGGGAGCATTAAGGAGGCAAGAAAGAAAGTGATATAATCAGAGATGCTGTTCAGAAAGATTGTCTTGGGCCAGGCACGGTGGCTTACGCCTATAATCCCAGCACTTTGGGAGCCCGACGCAGGTGGATCACTTGAGGTCAAGTGTTCGAGACCAGTCTGGCCAACATCATGAAACCCCATCTCTACTAAAAATGCAAAAAATTACCCAGGCATGGTGGCAGGCACCTGTAATCCCAGCTACTCGGAAGGCTGAGGCAGGAGAATTGCTTGAACCCAGGAGGTGGAGGTTGCAGTGAGCCAAGATCACGCCATTGCACTCCAGCCTAGGCGACAGAGTGAGACTCCATTTCAAAAAAAAAAAATAAATAAATAAAGATTGTCTTTGTGGCCATGTTTATGAGAGACTGTTGGAGACGGAGATCAGAGATTGAGAAACTATCAGTTTAGTTTTCTCCAGCCGTCTAAGTAAGAGACAAAAAGACATGAACTAGATGCGGTTATGAAAGAGAACAGATTGAAAGGCACAGCAAAGGTGGAGTACTTGGTGGAGGTGGGGCCTGGATAAGGTTTGGCTATGTCTCCACCCAAATCTCATCTCAAATTGTAATTTGAATTGTAATCCCCACCTGTCGAGGGAGGGACCTGGTGGGAGGTGATTGGATTGTGGAGGTGGTTTCCTCCATGCTGTTCTCATGATAGGGAGCAAGTTCTCACAAGATCTGGTGGTTTTATAAGGGGCTCTTCCCCTTTTGCTCTCTTCTCTCTTGCCTGTGCCATGTAAGACATGCCTGCTTCCTCTTCTGCCATGATTATAAGTTTCCTGAAGCCTTCCAAACCATGCAGAACTGTAAGTCAGTTAAACCTCTTTTCTGGCCGGGCACGGTGGCTCACGCCTGTAATCCCAGCACTTTGGGAGGCCGAGGCAGGTGGATCATGAGGTCAGGAAATCGAGACCATCCTGGCTAACATGGTGAAACCCCGTCTCTACTAAAAATACAAAAAAAATTAGCCTGGCATGGTGGCGGGCACCTGTAGTCCCAGCTACTTGGGAGGCTGAGGCAGGAGAATGGCGTGAACCTGGGAGGCAGAGCTTGCAGTGAGCTGAGATCGCGCCACTGCGCTCCAGGCTGGGTGACAGAGCAACACTCCAACTCAAAACAAACAAACAAAAAAACAAACAAAAACAAAAAAAACACTATTTTCTTTATAAGTTACCAAGTCTCAGGCAGTTGTTCATAGCAGTGTGAAAACGGACTAATATAGGCCTAATAACAACTCACCCACCCTTGCTAAGGGCTTGTCCTGGGTTTTAGAATCTGGAGATGAAGTTTCTTCATGGCTTTCCCTCTGCCTGGAATATGTATTTGTTCTTGTCCTGACCCTTAGTCATTGCTTTTCTAGCCTCTTCAAGGCCAGTCTTGAGTCCCACCTTAAAATCAAGAGAAGAATGGATAAACTGGCACATCTGTACAATGGAATATTACCGTTAGAATAAGAGAAAATGGGGACCAGGACTGTAAATCTCTTCAGCAGACAAAGCCAGTTAAGCCTTGGACACAAACTTGACCTTGATAAGCTAAACTTAACTTGGACTATTTTTTTTTTTTGTAAATACCTGCATTAAAGCAAAATGAAGTTTAAGTTCAATCAGTAGCCACCAACTGACTTATATAACAAGGGACTTGGCGGGGGGGAGACCAAATAAGGCAACTACACAGTCATAACCAAGCCATTATTTTCTTTGCCTTGCTTCCAAGTTACAAAAGCCTTTTCCTTGCATTCTCTTGGTAGAGCCCTGAACCACTCTTGGTTTGGAGCTGCCCAATTTGTGAATTGCTGTTTGCTCAAACCCTTTAAAACATTTAATAGGACTTGACTTATCTTTTAACACTACGTAGTAATAAAAAGGAACAAACCACTGATACATGGAACAACTTGGGTGAAACTCAAATCATGCTGCAATAAGCCAGATCAAAAGAGTGCATCCTATATGATTCTATTCATATGAAGTTCAGAAACAGGAAAAACTAATCTATAATGAGAAAAAAAAAATAGTGGTTACCTCTGGGGGTTGGGGTTGAGGACTGACTGGAAAGGGGTAAGAGGGAGTTTTCTAGGGTGATAAGAGATTGGGTTATAGAAAGGTATATGCCATTATCAAAACCTGTAGGATGTTATCCTTAAGATCTGCATTTCATTATGTAAATTTTACCAAAAAAGTGAACTACAGTTAATAGGCAAGCTGAAGAATGTAGGCATGAAGAATAGTGATATCTGTAACTTTAAAATGCGTCAAAATATAGGATGGATAGATGGATGGCTCCATATGTGATAAAGCAGAGATAGCAGTGTTAATGATAGGATCTAGGTGATAGGTAAATGGGTGCTTACTGTACAATTCTGTCAACCTTTCCGTGTGCTTGAATTAGTCATTATAAAATGTTGAGGGGTATGGCATGGTGGGGGAGGGGGAGGAATCCCTAGTCTAAGTTTTGCCAATTCACATATCAAAAGTAAAGACAACTGGCAGTGAGAAGTCAACCTGTGGACAGTGAATCAGGTCAACTAGAAGCCTCCTAACTCCTTGTCTCTGGCCTTTTGGAGGGGAACATGACTAGGCACTGAAAAAGAGGCAGTCTAATTCAGGATCCCTTTCCCTAATTACTTTAGCTGGTAGGTGCTGAAAAAAATCTCTCTTCCCCCCAGGTTTTCCTGACCTCCAGCACCATGAAGTCTTTTCCTCCTTGCAGACAAAACTCTATCCCTTTAGGCTTTGTCTTGTGTTTGTCTTTGTTAGGGCTCCTAGGCAAAGTAGAGACCATCTAATTTTTTCTTCTGATTAGATTTCACATTTGATTATCTACTACAAAGCTATTTGAAATATCACACACCAATGTGTTTTGTCTTTTTTTTTTTTTTTAAGAAAAAGTTTCAACAGAAATGTCACTGTATTTACAGAGTAACTTCCTGGTACACATGAGGTCAGCTGGGGAACAGAAAGGACAGGAGCAGATGATTAGAAACGGTCATTAAAGTAATTCCCCCGGGTAACAGGAACAGCACTTCATGTGGTTTATAGGCCTTCTTTCTTCTGTTTGGCCAGGGGCTTTATTCCCCTTTATCCCTGTGACGGCGGGGGCCTGTAATAATATCTTGGGCCAGGTGCAGTAGCTCATGCCTGTAATTCCAACACTTTGGGAGGCAGAGGCAGGCAGATCACTTGAGGCCAGGAGTTGATCATTTGAGACCAGCAGTTGATCATTTGAGACCAGCCTGGCCAACATGGTGAAACCCTGTCTCTACTAAAAATACAAAAATTGGCCAAGCGTGGTGGCTCAGGCCTGTAACCCCAGCACTTTGGGAGGCCGAGGTGGGTGGATCACTTGAGGTCAGGAGTTTGAGACCAGCTTGGCCAACATGGCAAAAACCTGTCTCTACTAAAAATACAAAAATTAGCTGGGGGTGGTGGTACACACCTGTAATCCCAACTATTGGGGAGGCTGAGGGTGAACTGCTTGAACCCGGGAGGCAGAGGTTGCAGTGGGCCAAGATTGTGCCACTGCACTGCAGCCTGGGTGACACTTGAGGACCAGCCTGGGCAACATGGTGAAACCTTGTCTCTACTAAAAATACAAAAATTAGCCCGGCGTGGTGGTGGGGGCCTGTAATCCCAGCTAATTGGGGGCTGAGGCAGGAGAATCGCTTGAACCCTGGAGTCGGAGGTTGCCGTGAGCCAAGATTGCGCCACTGCACGCCAGCCTGGGCGACAGAGGGAGACTGTCTCAAAAAAAAAACAAAAAACAAAAAAAATTAGCTAGGCTTGATGGCACACACCTGTAATCCCAACTACAGGGAGGCTGAGGCAGAATTGCTTGAACCTAGGAGGCAGAGGTTGCAGTGAGTCGAGACTGCCATCACTACATTCCAGGCTGGGCGACAGAGTGAGACTCTCAAAAACAAAAAGTATTCTCCTTATAGAGTCTCTAATTCTATTCCCATTAGTCATTTAATCATGCACTTCTTTTCTTTCTCCCCGCTGGAACATTTTTAATTACAAGGTTCAATCTTTCATAGATAACTGTTTGTCTGAATCCTTTCAACGGCTGGCCAGCCAATCTTTTCCTCACAGTCATGTTGCCTAATTAGGCCATTAACTTTACAGTTTTTAGTTTACTACCTGTGTAAGAAAAGCATCTTGCTAAGGGAAATCTAGTTTGTTTACTCGTTCTCTTGGAGTTACTGATATTAAATAGTTTTATATGTATTTGCATTACACATTTAAGAACGTCTTGTTCTTAAAACAGATCAGCAACAAGGAAATCTTTTTGTGACAGGGTTTTGGTCTGTCACCCAGGCTGCTGGAGTGATGACACGATTTTGGTTTACTGCAGCCTCCACCTCCTGGGCTCAAGTGATCCTCCTACCTCAGCCTCCCAAGTAGCTGGGCCTACAGGCACACACCACCATACGCAGCTAATTTTTTTGGTATTTTTTGTAGAGACGTGGTTTTGCCATGTTCCCAGGCTAAGGAAATCTAATCTTTACAACTTTGCCTTCTGAAATCTTACATATACTAACTTATAATTTGCTTTCCTGTTTTGCTTCACTGAGATGTTCTAGAGACGGGAATTAAAACTTGTTTTTTTCTTCCTTAGAGTGCAAAAGCAGTGCCTTACAAACTTAAGCAGGCTTCAGATTATCTGAGATGTTTAAAAGGCAGATTCTGGGACCCATCCCTGATTCAGGAATAGCAGGTACAACATTTTCAGAAACATTGCCTTTAAGGAAGCGGGTATGTCACACACAATTTTAATCTCACAGAAACATAAAATGTGCTAACCTGAATATTTAAAACATATGTTTTATTATTTACATGTTTGCCCCAAGTTATCACCTTACAGTGCTGTTCCATAAGCCAATCTGGAAAAAGTGAGACTTGATTTTGATTGTTTCCTAACAAACAACTGATCTTTGTTTTGTGTGACTCTTGGCTAATTCTATGTTTTCCTTTCTCTATTTTTAAGCTGACCATGGAGATATATTGCCATCAAAGTTTCTTTGAAATTTTGTGTGGGGTGTACAAAGAACAACAGGAGGCCAGCACTTATTAACAAGTGTAACTCTTTATTAAGATGGAATTGTTCTTATTAAAGAAATAGATGAAAATGGTTAAGTACAATTAAATGGCTCCAAAAGTCTTACAATGAAAACAACAGTCCTGCCAGTTGTTCTTTCCAGAGGCAAATACTTTTCATTCTCTTAGTTTTTCCTTCCGTTAGTTACCTTCATGGGTTTTTCCAAATTATTGTTTTTTTTTAGTTTTTCAAGTGAATGCATATATTAATACATAAAATTTTAAAAAGGCTTTTCAGTTTATAATGCATCCTAACAGTCCCCTGCCCCATCCCTCCTAATTCTCCAGAGCAATGACTTTTAACTCTTTTAGCAATGTCTTCTGTTTTTTTCCTCACATAACTTAGTCATTTCATTATTATATATTATATAGTGATTTCTGGATATGACAGATGAGGATTTAGCTCTTACACCATCACAATCTTCACTTTTCCTCCCATATTGTCCCAGAGTAGTTACCATATTTAGGGGCTAAGCAGTCACATCATTATGACTGTGTACATACTGCTCCTTGTTGAGAAAAACAGTGTATTATGCTCTTCCTATCCTGTACTTCTTTCTGCCCTAGAATGATTGCCTAACCAACCCTTTCCCCTTGTTTTTTTTTTTTTTTTTTTTACTTTTGCTTTATCTTCAATGAACTTCTTTCCAAATGCCCCAAATCTGGCAATAAGTTATTATTTTTAAGAGAAGGGATCTCACTAAGGTGGCCAGGCTGGTCTGGAACTCTTGGGCTCAAGTCGTCCTGCTGCTGAGCCTCCTGAGTAGCTGGGACTACAGGCATGGGCCATTCCAC
Source organism: Homo sapiens (assembly GCF_000001405.40). Lineage (NCBI taxonomy): Eukaryota > Metazoa > Chordata > Mammalia > Primates > Hominidae > Homo > Homo sapiens. Next base: position 80,627,053 of record NC_000005.10, read on the forward strand.
CCAGCTAACCGATTAATATTTTTACTGTTCCTTTTTAAAGCTAGCTCCATAGCTGGAATATTGCCTGTGTTGGATCCTATTTGCTGGATTCATGTCATTCTCTGGTTTGTGTACTCCTTCATTTTGCTGGAGTATTTTCTCCAACAGCTTCCCTAAAAAGGGCACATGGAGGTAACCCCTGAGTCTTTGCTTGTCTAAAAATGTATTATTTTACCTTCACCCTTGATTATTTGGGTGAATATAGATTTATCAGTTGAAAATAACTTTCTAGAATTATGAAGGCATGGTTCCATTGTTTTCAGATTCCTTTTCGAGACAAGGTCTCTTCTGTCACCCCGGCTGGAGTGCAGTGGCACAATCACGACTCACTGCAGCCTTGAACTCGTGGGCTCAATTAATTCTTCCATCTCAGCTTCCTGACTAGATGGGAATACAGGTGTGCGCCACAATGCCCAGCTAATTTTTGTGTTTTTTGTAGAGATGGGGCTTTGCCATGTTGCCCAAGCTGGTCTCAAGTGATCTGCCTGCCTTAGCCTCCCAAAGCGCTGGGATTACAGGTGTGAGCCACTGTGCCTGGCTGGTTTTTCTTTTATTTTCTCTCTACTTCATTCATTTCTCAAAGGCATCTGAAACTCCCTGGGCCCAAAACCAAAGTCAAACTCCATCAGAATATCCTGCTACTTATAACTTTAAAATATATCTTAAATCACAATTTCTTACTACATGCAACCCTTTGGTTCAAGCAACCATCATCCCTCACTTGAACTTATAATTGGTTTTCCTGCTTCTGTATTTTTTTAAATTATAAAATACTTCAAATAAACCATGTGTGGCCTTATACTTTTTACTACATAAAAAGAATGAAGATGTGCCGGGTGTGGTGGCTCAAGCCGGTAATCCCAGCACTTTGGGAGGCTGAGGTGGGTGAATCGCTTGCGGTCACGAGTTCGAGACTAGCCTGACCAACATGGTGAAACCCCATCTCTACTAAAAATACAAAATACAAAAATTAGCCGGGCGTGGTGGCGCGCACCTGGTCCTAGCTACTTGGGAGCCTGAGGCAGGAGAATCGCTTGAATCTGGGAAGGCGGAGGTTGCAGTAAGCCGAGGTCACACCATTGCATGCTAGCCTGGGCAACAAGAGCGAAACGCTGTCTAAAAAAAAAAGAACTTACATACTTAAACATCGAATTGCTTTAAGTGTTTGGCATTCACTGTTCCCGTGCATGCCAGCAGCTTCTTACTGCAAACACCTGAGACTTGCTATAGAGCAGCTGGACTATGTTCCGCCCACACACAGGACAGGGAGCTGACAACCAAGGAGGGGGGCGGGATCAATACTCCAGCTTTCCCCCCTCCATTTCCCTGTATCTCAGCAGTATGGAGCTTGTTATCAATGAGAACCTGCTCGCTGACTTTAAATTGCTTTTCTTACCTTCTCAGTTCAGTTTCTCCGTACCTCAATTGATGATTTCTGGTATGACCTAGCAAATACACTGCTTTCACTGAAATTTCAGTCTTGCAATCTGCTTTGGGTTCCCCAATCTAAGACAGAAACATACTCATTTTCCCATCACTGGACTTCCAGGTTGTTTTCAATTTTTCACTGTTACAAACAAGGTGGCAACATTTATCTACAAACCTCTGGATATACACGTAGGAAGCTTTTGGTATTTCCACTAGTGAAACTGCTCAGTTGAAGGGTATGTGGATCTTCATCTTTAATAAATATTACCAACATGTGAAAAGCCCGACAATGTCAAGGACTGGCAAGAGTGCCACATGTGATGGGTGTGGAATGGCAGCTCACTGTAGCAGGTGCTGGGGACTCAGTTGGGGTCTTGGAGAAGCACTTAGTTATAGCAAGAATGTCTCATAAATGGTATCTGATAGAGACAAGAGTAGTGGGGAATAAAAACTAGTTGCTTAGAAATAATTATAGATCTAAAGTCAACAAAAAACCTTTTCTAATGTAAAAATACATACTTTTTTCAGAGGGAGGGGGAACAACTTAAACTAGAAAACACCTTCATATTAATCATTCTTCTCATATACTTCAAATTTGTACTTAATGCCTTTCTCCTCCTGGACATCAGAGAGAACACCTGGGTATCTGTAAGAAAAAATATATAATTAAATTATGTGTCCATTAAAAACACAGCTTCCCTGATTCTCAGTTTAAATGCATCAATAGTGCATAAAGCAAATAAAAGGTTTCCCTTTTTTCTTCACAATGGTAAGCCACTGTCAAGTTGGATAAATATCATGCTAGTATACTACATATGCAAATGGTAAGAAAAAAACTGTAAACTATATAGAAAGTTAGAAAACAAAAAGTGTAATTTCTCCTTTTTTGTTTCCTTTGGATTCCTCATTCTCTCAAAAACCAGTCAGCAGTTTCCCTTGTATCTTTCCACTCTATCACCCAGCTAACAGGAAATTTCTTAAGAATTTTTTGCAAGACTTACATTTGGTATCACATTTCTTGTGTAAGCAAAAGACAAAAATACAATCTGAAGCTGTTTAGAACATAACTGAAATTATGTGCCCTGGACAGTGACAGGTTCTCTGCTTCTGTTTGATTGATGGAGACTATACTGCCCTAATTCCACAATGTGTGGCAGATTGTAATTCCTTTATTAGGATCTGCTATTCCTGTTCCCTAACTCTCACTTAAGCCTGTGTTCTCTCCAGCTCCCCTTCCAAACCCAGCTTCTCCACTGAGGAATCTTCTGACCCTTCCAGCCTCCAATGAACCCCAATCTTTGGTTACTTCTTCAGTACTATGCAGGCTGCACCCCAGTATGCTCCAGGTGGTCAGGAACGCCTGCTTGAATCAGACTGTGCTTCACTCTGGTTCTGCTGTGTGACATGCCTCCGAGCCTGGCTGTCAATAAAGTCTTCATCCTTGTAAAAAATGTAGCATTGTTGGCCAGGTGCAGTGGCTCACGCCTGTAATCCCAGCACTTTGGAAGGCCAAGGTGAGTGGATCACTTGAGGTCAGGAGTTCGAAACCAGCCTGGCCAACATGGGGAAACCTTGTCTCTAATAAAAATACAAAAATTACCCGGGCATGGTGGCGGGTGCCTGTAATCCCAGCTACTCAGGAGGCTGAGGCAGGATAATTGCTTGAACCTGGGAGGCAGAGGTTGCAGTGAGCCAAGATGGCGCCACTGCACTCCAGCTTCAGTGACAGAGCAGGACTCCGCCCCCATCCCCCAAAACCAAAAAAGAATGTAGCATTGTGCCTAACACATCAAGTGTTCTATAAATGGTGCCTACTAGTATTATTGGTTTGTTTCATTTCTCTTTTTTTTTTTTTTTTTTTGAGACGGAGTCTCGCTCTGTAGCCCAGGCTAGAGTTCAGTGGTGCAATCTTGGCTCACTGCAAGCTCCGCCTCCTGGGTTCATGCCATTCTCCTGCCTCAGCCTCCCGAGTAGCTGGGACTACAGGTACCCGCCACCACATCCAGCTAATTTTTTGTATTTTTAGTAGAGACGGGGTTTCACTGTGTTAGCCAGGATGTTCTCGATCTCCTGACCTCGTGATCCGCCCGCCTCGTTTCTCTATTTTTTAAACTCATTGTAGGCAGGGACAACACAGTAAACTTTTAAGTCTCATGATATTCAATACATTGCTGAGTAATAATAGACATTAACCTTTGCTGACTAATTAGAGATTATGCATTTTTGGTAAAAAAAAAAACAAAAACAGAGATACAATGTAACAAAATTATAGGGAAAAGAAAAAGATACTTTCTGGAATAATTTATATTTCAGGGGAAGAAGCAATGTTTCTATTAACCATTTTCTATTATAATTTTAGTCTCTCTGGAATGAGTCATGAAAAGTAACATCTACATACATTTTTTGTGCAAAATTCTCAAGTGTCAAGATTGTCAGTTCATAAGACAAAAGCAACATATCAAGAAGTTTTTGGGCCATGTGCGGTGGCTCATGCCTCCAATCCCAGCACTCTGGGAGGCTGAGGCCGAGGCGGGCGGATCATCTGAGGTCAGGAGTTCGAGACAAGCCTGGCCAACATGATGAAACCCTGTCTCTACTAAAAATACAAAAATTAGCTGGGCATGGCGGCACGTGCCTGTAATCCCAGCTACTTGGGAGGCTGAGGCAGGAGAATCGCTGAACCTGGGAGGTGGAGGTTGCAATGAGCCAAGATCGTGCCACTGCACTCCAGCCTGGGCAACGGAGCAAGACTCCATCTCAAAAACAAAAAATAAACCAAAAAACCAAAATACAATTAAAATCAAGACTCTACAGGAAGCACAGGCTCAGGAGCAAAGGGATATCCGAGTCATGTGGACGAGTATGCCAGCATCCTGACAGGAAGTTTTAGGGTCAGAAGAAGAAACATCAGCCCATCCAAAACCTACTTCAAGGTGTCCACTGATAAGGGGCATCTGTCCCAGCTCTGGAGCCAACTACTGCCTCCACAGGCCTCTTTTAATCTGTCTTCTCTTTGACTATGTGGTCACACAGAAGATTGTTAACTAGAAGTAAAAGCCTGTTTGGGGCTCATTAAGTAGAAAACTGCCAATATAAAATATCTGGGCCTGCTGGTTTGGTTGGGGTCTAGTGTGAAATAGTCTGAGAAAGATTTCTTCCAGGCAAGATGAATGAGAGCAGAGCCCTAGAGGATAGGCTGGCACAGTGCTGTTGAAAAATCGACTGCACAATGACGTACAGAGCTGACGGCAGACACAAAGTAAAACCACCTTACTTTATTAATATGACCGTCTGCTCTGGCTCCCATCACTTGTGGCTCCTTCCACATTCTAATTTTATTCTCTTCTTGTCTCACAAGTTCTCTCTTTCATCTGTATTTCACTATATTAGTCTGTTTATTTTTTAAATCGGGAAGAATGGTGTTAATAAAAGACTTTATGTTTGAACAGAAACCTATATAACCACAAGAGGTTAACTGATAGAGACAACGGGACTTAAACTAAGTGAGTAGCTGTGGGGAAAGGGATAGGGGAGGTGGAGAATGACCAAAGTTTATATTTGGACAGTAGAAAGCAAATCTAAGTTCCCCAGCGCACAGAGATCTGGAGAGAAAGCCGCTCCAGAACTGAGCAATGTGTTTTCCAGGGACAAAGTATATTCACTTTATCTTCACAGGTTTCCTTTTTCTCCATAGAATGAAGGACTGACTTACTCTAGGTCTCCCGTTAGAGAATTCCCTCCATTCCATTAAAGAGGCTGTTATGATGTTATGTTAGTACATGCCTGAAAGTACAAATGACCATCAAATGTTGCAATGGAAGAGTTTTTTGCTTTCTCCCATAGCCTTGTTTAGAATCTCCACTTTGGAGCAATTTCCGTATTCCTCTCTCAATCGATTCACTATTAAAATTTTCTAAGACATTTAAGAAGTACTAACAATCTGTCACAAACTCTTTCAAAAAAACAGAAGGGAAGAGAACATCTCCTAACTCACTCTATGAGGTCACTTTTATCCTGATAACAAAACCAGGGGAAGGCATTAAAACAAAAAAAACTATAAATCATCCCTTCTGAATATAAATGCAAAAATCTTCAACAAAATACTAGCAACCTAAGCCCAGTAACATATAAAAAGGATTATATACCATTACCAAGTAGAATTTATCCCAGAAACATTAGTTTAACATGAAAATCAATGTGATATACCATATTAATAGTACATTAAAATATTAGTATAAAAGACAAAAACCACATGATCATCTCAATAGACTCAGAAAAAGCATGTCACAAAATGTATAATACTCTCATGATAAAAAATACTAAATAAACTGGAAACAGAAGGGATCTTCCTCAATGTGATAAAGGCACTCACAGCTTAAATCGCACTTGATGAGAGAGAAAAGCTTCCCCTCTAAGATTAGGAGCAAGATAAGTAAGTCTGCTCTTGCTATCTTTTAGTCAACACTGTACTGGCAGGTCTAGCCACGGCAATTAGGCAAAGAAAAAATCCAGATTAAAAAGGAAGAAGTAAACCTATATTTGCAGATGACATTATACTGTATAGAGAAAATCCTAAGGAATCTATTGACAGAATTACAAATGAGTTCAGCAAGGTTGCAAGATACAAGATCAATAAACAAAAATCATTTGCATTTCTGTAACTAGCAATAAACAGTCTGAAACTAAAGAAAATACCATTTACAATAGCATCAAAAGGAATAGAATACATAAGTATGAAATTAACACTGAAAGGTATAAAACATCGCTGAACGAAATAGGACCTAAACAAGGGGAAAGACATCACATGCTCAGGTGTTAAAATACTTAATATTTTTTTTTGTTTGTTTTTGAGACGGTCTTGCTCTGTCGCCCAGGCTGGAGTGCAATGGCGTGATCTTGGCTTACTACGACCTCTGCCTCCCAGGAACAAGCAGTTCTCCTGCCTGAGCCTCCCAAGTAGCTGGGATTACAGGCATGCACCACCATGCCCAGCTAATTTGTTGTATTTTTAGTAGAGACGGGGTTTCACCATGTTGGCCAGGCTGGTCTTGAACTCCTGACCTCAGGTGATCTGCCCCTGCCTCGACCTCCCAAAGTGCTGGGATTACAGGCATGAGTCACTGTGCCAAGCTTTTTTTTTTTTTTTTTAATTTATTATTTCCATAGGTTTTTGGGGAACAGGTTGTATTTGGTTACATGAGTAAGTTCTTTAGTAGTGATCTGTGAGATTTTGGTGCACCCATCATCCTAGCAGTACACAGTGAACCCAATTTGTAGTCTGAAAAGACATGTTATTTTCTATAGTCTTAAGCAGGAAATCCAAAGTGCTTCAGACTAATTAATAACCTTATACTTACTCTGGCAGAAGTTTATATTTCTCCAAATCAATTTCTGGAAAAAACGTGTCACTTTCAAAGTCTTGCATGATCCTTGTCACAAATAGTTTAAGATGGCCTGGGTGATTCATGGCTTCCTTTGAAATAAAACAACATCAGTTTTCTTAATGTGTGTCAAAAGACAAAGAAACTCTAAGATTTATGTTTAGTTAAGTTTATACTAGGTATTAAAAATATGCTTGGTGCTGCCAAAGCATATTATTAAAATATACTATTCTTTCATCTGGGGTGCTGCAAAGTATGCCTTAGTTATATTGAGAATGACACTAACCATTATCAATAATTATGAGAGACTGAGTTTAAATATAGTCTGGCCTCCAGTTTGCTTACAAGAACTTTTTAATTTAAGCATTCTCTTTTATTGTTTTCCCTTTGGCTGTTTAGAGTTAAGAGCCCCAAATTATCTAGTTGCTCTCCATAGAAAAATTTACATAAACTTGTATGAATAAGATAGTACAATTTAATGAGACCTTGACTATGGAAAACCCCAAGAGCATACTTAATACATATACATAAAATTTTGTAATGCTTCCAATTCTCAGAAGATAATTACAATGCTAGTAGATAGGTAATTTTTCTGCTTCTTGGTGCTAACAATTGTATTAACATTTGGCTTTATATTGTACATGACTTTTCTAACTACTGCCTAAAATATGGTTGATAATTTCTACAGAAAAAGTTGCCCTAGAATGAGTGTATTAAAATTCTCATTCATAAAAAGTATGTCTTAATTGCAATTCTAACAAAGCAGTAATTCTTGATCTCAAATAGTTTATAGAAAAGAAAAATACACACACACACACACACACACAACAAATCCAAGTGTTTATTTTTAAAATTCCAAATAAGGGTACAGAACAAATTTCACTTTTTATTTTCAATATATCATTTTATATTAAATCATTTATTATCTTTGCTACAACCAAATAGATGCTCTACTAATTCTTACTGTACCAAAAATTTAAAAAGTGGAATGCAGACTCCCCCCTTATCTGCAGTTTCACTTTCCAGTTTGTTATCTATGGTCAACTGTGGTCTGAAAATATTAACTGGAAAATTCCAGAAATAATTCATAAGATTTAAATGACATGCTGTTCTAAGTAGTGTGAAGAAATCTTGAGCCATTCTGCTCTGTCCTGCCTAGGGCGTGAATTATCCCTTTGTCCTGCACATGCTGTCTATGTTACCTGCCCCTTAGTCACTTAGGAGCTGTCTGGATTATTAGATTGACTGTGGTGGTGAAGTTCTGCATTAAAGTTGATTATAAGTCGGCTGCAGTGGCTTACGTCTGTAATCCCAGCACTTTGGGAGGCCGAGGCAGGTGGATCACCTGAAGTCAGGAGTTTGAGACCAGCCCGACCAACATGGAGAAACTCCATCTCTACTTAAAATACAAAATTAGCTGGGCGTGGTGGCGCATGCCTGTAATCCCAGCTACTTGGGAGGCTGAGGCAGGAGAATCACTTGAACCCGGGAGGCGGAGGTTGCGGTGAGCCAAGACTGCACCATTGCGCTCCAGCCTGGGCAAAAAGAGCGAAACTCCGTCTCAAAAAAAAAGAAAAAAAAAGTTGATTATACAAGGCAAACCTTCTGTAAAAGGAGTGATGGTAAATATTTTAGGCTCTGAGGGCCATAGGGTTTCCTACCTTTGCAGGCCACAGACAGAACTGAATGAATGGGTGGGTCTGTGTTCCACTGAAACTTTCTTTACAAAAACAGGCTGGGAGGTCCGATTTGGCCCATAGGAAGATAAGCCTGAATGATATCTACAAGCTGTTGTGATGTGAGGCAGGTGTAAAAATACCATTCGAAGGTTCTACTTCCTATTTATCTATATGTAGATTTATCATATTATATAAAGGCATTTACGTACTTATATTGCTTAAAGAATACATTTTCAAGTGACTATGGTAATGAATCATTCAAAGTGTGGTAGGCACTGAACAAAATAAATAACTTGTTTTCTTAGAAGAAATTCATACTTGGATAAAAATATCAAGAAAAAATGTCCCTTTTCTTCTATTACAAATGGGGAACATAAGAGGTTCTAGAAACAGGAGCCCAAGAAACTGAGAGTTTTTTTTTTTTTTTTTTTTTTTTTTGAGACAGAGTCTCACTCTGTTACCCAGGCTGGAGTGCAGTGGCACGATCTCAGCTTACTGCAACCTCTGCCCCCCATGTTCAAGTGATTTTCCCACCTCAGCCTCCCAAGTAGCTGGGACTACAGGGGCCCGCGCCCACACACAACTAATTTTTGTATTTTTAGGAGAGATGGAGTTTCACCATCTTGGCCCAGCTGGTTTTTAGATCCTGACCTCAAGCAATCCACCCGCCTTGGCCTCCCAAAGTGCTGGGATTACAGGCGTCGGCCTACCTCTTCTTTCTAAAATAATTTCACTGTATATATCTTACCACAAGACCACCCACATGGCAGAAACTAGATTTTTCTTCCTCCTCATAAATGTTAATTTTTCATTGGTGTTTTAAAAGGCAAAGAATTCTATTTGTTATCCTCAAAAATTTTAAAGCTGGAAGTCATTTGGTATTAAAAAAGAGGTATATTGGCCGGGCGCAGTGGGTCACGCCTGTAATCCCAACACTTTGGGAGGCCGAGGTGCGTGGATCAGCAGGTCAGGAGATTGAGACCATCCTGGCTAACACAGTGAAACCCCGTCTCTACTAAAAATACAAAAAAATTAGCCAGGTGTGGTGGCATGCGCCTGTAGTCCCAGCTACTCAGGAGGCTGAGGCAGGAGAATGGCGTCAATCTGGCAGGTGGAGCTTGCAGTGAGCCGAAGATCGTGTCACTGCACTCCAGCCTGGGCGACTGAGTCTTGACAGAGTGAGACTCCATCTCAAAAAAACAAAAACAAAACAAAAAAAAATTGGTTGAAGAAGTTTTCTACTTGTAATAAATTCATATACATCTAGTTAGTGTATATCAACTGAGAGCCCCAACCCTTTCTCAGTAAGAGATATATTCATCCTGAAAGACAAAGGCATAACTCAGTGTATCTAGGGTACATTCAGGGAGTAGAAACCAGTGCAATGCAAGTACAATTCTCAGGAAAAGATTTAGAATGGATTTTAAATTGGAAACATCAATTATTCTTTGATTTGAAAGTAGATTGGTATTGGGGAGATGTTGGTCACAGGATACAAAATTTCAGTTACATAGGAGGAGTAAGTTCAAGAGATCTATTGTACAACATCTATTATTTTAGTTAATAACAAATGTATTCTTGAAAATTGCTAAGAGAGTAGACTTTAAGTGTTCTTACCACACAAAATAAGTGGGTAATACATGTTAATTAGCTCCATTTAGCCATTCTACAATGTATACACATTTCAAAACAACATGTTGTACATAATATATATATATATATATATATATATATATGCAATTATTTGCCAATTAAAAAGATAAATAGGCTGGGTGTGGTGGTTCACACCTGTAATCCCAGCACATTGGGAGGTGAATTGCCTGAACCCAGGAGTTCAAGACCGGCCTGGGCAACATGGCAAAATCCTGACTCTACAAAATATACAAAAATTAGCCGGGCACGATGGTGTGTGCCTATAATCCCAGCTACTTGGGAGGAAAGGTGGGAGGATTGCTTGGGCCTTGGAGCTCGAGGCTACAGTGAGACAGTGCCACTGCACACTAGCCTGGGTGACAAAGCAAGACCCTGTCTCAAAAATAAATGAATAAATAAAAAAGGCTGATACAGACTAAAATATTTATTTTTGCATTTCTATTTAGTTTGTATAGTATCAAACAACAAATAATTTCAACTAACAACAAATAATTTACAGTACAGATAATGTGCTGCTTCCTATACGCATGGCTTAATTTTTTAAAGGTTCAGACAATGAGTTATACCTGTTTCTTCCACTTCCTTTAAATGGCAAGGAAGCTGAAAGTAGAACAGAACATTTGTTTTTATTTACCAACAACTACACTTACCTTATAAACAGAACTGCCACCAACTATCCAGACCATGTCTACTTTATTTGCTAATTCTGGTTGTTCAGTAAGTTTTAAGGCATCATCTAGACTTCTGGAAAGAAAATGAGCTCCTTGTGGAGGTTCCCTAAGGTTAAAAAAAGAATTCCACAAAATGTTTGTAAAATCCATCCATACTAGTCAAATAATCTGACTAAGATGCAGTGACTATAGAACTAAAATCATCATAAATATGAATCCTTTCAACAAAAAGCACTTAACATCAGTATGGCCTCTGACCAATAATTTAACCTATATTTGTACATCTGTGGTTCACAATGAATCATAAAACCATGTGATATCTTGTGATATCTCTGGTGGAAAAACATCAGAATAGTAGTTATTTCTGGAGGGGTGGGATAAAGATTAACTTGGACAGGGCAGGAGAGAACTTTCTGGGGGTGATAGGTAATATTCTGTATCTTTGATAGGGCTGGGGTTACACAGGTGTATACATTTATCAAAACTTAGCAAATGTACATTTAAGACGTGTGTCTCATGTAATATTTACTTCAGAAAAAAACTGTAAAGAAAGACTGAATCATTTTATTTATTTATTTATTTATGAATGAGACGGAGTCTTGCTCTGTAGCCCAGGCTGGAGTACAGTGGCGCGATCTCAGCTCACTGCAAGCTCCGCCTCCCAGGTTCATGCCATTCTCCTGCCTTAGCTTCCTGAGTAGCTGGGACTACAGGTGCCTGCCACCACGCCCGGCTAATTTTTTGTATTTTTAGAAGAGACGTGGTTTCACCGTGTTAGCCATGATGGTCTCAATCTCCTAACCTGCTGATCTGCCCGCCTTGGCCTCCCAGAGTTCTGGGATTACAGGCGTGAGCCACCGCACCCGGCCAAGACTGAATCATTAATGGTATGAATGATGAAGTATTTAGGTGGAAATATACTAATGTCTGCAGTTTATTATGAAATGCAAAAATGAACAAGACCAATTGATGGATGAAATGTGATGAAACTAGTAGAGTAAAATGTTAATGGTAGATCTAGGTGGTGAGTTTACTGTAAAGTTCTTTCTGTATGTGTGAAGATTTTCCTAATATTAGAAAAAGAGTGATATGTTTGAATGACTGCAGAAAAGCTTGGAATGACATTCAGACTGTTAATATGTTGTTACCTTTGGGAATGGGGAAAGGATTTATGTTTCAAACAATACAGGAATGGGTGAAGTATTAAAAAATGAGCTTATTATTACTTATGTAATTAAAATCCAAAAGGGAAGAAGTTAATTAATTTCAGTGTTTACTCAGGGGTGGTCCAATATTTTGGCTTCTCTTGGCCACATTGGAAGAAGAATTGTCTTGGGCCACACATACAATACACAAACATTAACAATAGCTGATGAGCTTTAAAAAAAAAAAGATCTGTGCATGTTTTAAGGAAATTTACTAATTTGTGTTGGGCAGCATTCAAAGCCATCCTGGGCCACACTGAGGCCTGCGGGCCATGGGCTGGACAAGCTTGGTTTACATTGACTAGCTTAGTCCCTCCCAATCTCTGAAACTACTTTGTTGGTCGTGGTGGGGGTTGCAATTCCCTTTATAAATGATGAAACAGGTAGAACTAGGCTTTCATAGTAATTAGATACACAACAGAAATTACAATTCCATGTCAAGTTTTTAGCCTGGTGCTTTAACAAGATTATATAATTGCCCTTGAACTCATAGTTATAATAAGGATTAATCAAGAATAGGGACTATTCATTCTCTTGATTGCCTCCTCCCTCTCCCTCCTCATATAAATTTTACTTATTTTACTCTGTCATTCTTAAAAGAATTAGGTTAGAGCAAAGAATATACTTTGACTCAGGCTGGAAAAAGACATGGTGGCCAGAGAGAAGTTAAATAAGCCCAGGTATCTCCTAAGGTATCAGGGCAGTTACAGGGACCAGGTTGGATTAGGCTCTTCAGGGAGAGAACTCAATCTAGAAGAAACAAAGATTTGGAGTTGGGAGAGAAGAGAGTTTAGTTAATAAACAGATGATGGCCAAAACAGAGCCGTGACGGTGTTAGTAAGTGCAGCTGTGAAGACTTCCTTGCCCTTTTTTGTAGTGAGTATAGAAAAGAAAGTGAAGAACAGATTAGCCAGGTGTGGTGGCTCACGCCTGTAATCCCAGCACTTTGGGAGGCTGAGATGGGCGGATCACGGGAGGTCAGGAGTTCCAGACCAGCCTGGCCAACAAAGTGAAACCCCGTCTCTATTAAAAATAGAAAAATTAGCTGGGTGTGGTGGCACGTGCCTGTAATCTCAGGTACTTGGGAGGCTCAGACAGGAGAATCGCTTGAATCCAGGAGACAGAGTTTGCAGTGAGCTGAGATTGTGCCACTGCACTCCAGCCTGGGCGAGACAGCGAGACTCTGTCTCAAAAAAAACCAACTCCACTCCCCCCTTCCCCCCAAAAAACCCATATTAAATATAGTGCAAAGTTAGAGATTTAAGTTAGAGCAAAGGTATGAAGAATATGCTTCCGTAAAATGTGGCTATTTAGCAGTTTAGAGGTAAGTATCACAGGAAACACTGGACCTCTAGGTGGGTAAAAAAGAGCATGCAAAAAGCTGAGCTACGGTTTGAGTTCATCAGCCCTTACATGGCACAAGCGCTAGAAATACAGTAAATGACAAATAGCAAGCATCCAATATAGTCACATATTTCACTGCTGAATTTCTTTCCTATAATTATTTTAAACCAATCTAGATTGGATTCCCTGACAAAGGAGAGTTGGTATGTAGTAGCATATGTATTCTTTGTTAAGAAATGTGTGGACATTTCTTTGTGATTGAGTCTTGAAGGTTTGCATGAAGACTAAATGAGATAATGTACACACTGCATTTAACTGGCAATTGTACGTGGTACTATCATTCCTTTTTATAGATGAGGAAACTGAGGCTGAATGGTTAAGAAACTACTGGTCACACAGCCGGGAAATGATGGACCTCCGAGTTGAACTCCAACAGATTTGACTTTGAAACTTGAGCTGCAATTTGTTACATGGACAAAAGACTTCAGTTGGTGCCTGTGGCAGGGTCCTCCGATTCAGGGGCCCTTAAACATCAGGATGGTGGGGCTTAGATTAGGCAGAACCCTCTGACTCTTGTCTTCTGGCCTTATCTGATTATCTCGGGTGCCATATAAACATTATCCTTTTTCACTGTTCCTGATGTGAGGACTGCCGATGGAATTCTTGCTCAATTTCCCTGAGGAGTGTTGGGAAACCACTTAAAAACAAAAAACCCTGAAATGGAATAGTGTCTTAACCAGAACGCAAAAATACATCTTCAATTTAAGACCCTTCATACTGAGCCTTTAAAAATGGGGTTCCCTACTAAGCCATACCTCATTTTACTGTGCTTCACAGATATAAAGGTGTTTTTCTTTTTTACAAATTGAAGGTTTGTGCCAACCCTGCACTGAGCAGGTCTACTGGTGAAGTTTTTCCAACAGCATGTGTTCACTTTCTATCTCTGTTACCTTTTGGTAATTTCCACAATATTTCAGGCTTTTTCATTATTAAAATACGTTTTGGGGATCTTGCTGTTACTGTTGCAAGTAACTGTTATGGGGTGCCATAAATCATGCCCTTTTAAGATGGTGAATCGATACATGTTATGTGTTCTGACAGCTCCACTAACTGGCTATTCCTGTTTCTCTCCCCCTCTTCTGGCCTCCCAATTCCCTGAGACACAACAATATTGAAATGAGGCCAATTAATAACCCTACAATGGCCTCTAAGCGTACAAGTGAAAGGAAGAGTCGCATATTTCTCATGTAAAATCAAAAGCTAGAAATGATTATGCTTAGTGAAGGAGGCACATCAAAGCCAAGACAGGCCAAAAGCCATGCCTCTTGCATCTAACAGCCAAGTTGTAAATACAAAAGAAAAGCTCTTGAAGGAAATTGGAAGTGCTATTCCAGTGAAAATGTGAATGGTAAGAAAGCAAACAGCTTGGCCAGGCGCGGTGGGTCACGCCTGTAATCCCAGCACTTTGGGAGGCCGAGGTGGGCGGATCACGAGGTCAGGAGATCGAGACCATCCTGGCTAACACAGTGAAACCCTGTCTCTACTAAAAATACAAAAAAGTGTATGCCTGGCTAGGCATGGTGGCAGGTGCCTGTAGTCCCAGCTACTTGGGGGGCTGAGGCAGGAAAATGGCGTGAACCCAGGAGGTGGAGCTTGCAGTGAGCTGAGATCACGCCACTGCACTCTCCAGCCTGGGCGAAAGAGCGAGACTCCGTCTCAAACAAAAACAAAAACAAAAAAGCAAACAGCCTTATTGCTGATGTAGAGGAAGCTGAGTGGTCTGGATAGATCAAACCAGCCACAGTACCTTATGCCAAAGCCCAATCTAGAACAAGGCTTTAACCCTCTTTAATTCTGTAAAGGCTGAGAGAGGTGAGAAAGCTATAGAAGAAAAGTTTGAAACTAGCAAGGGTTTGGTTCATGACGTTTAAGGAAAAAGCTGTCTCCATAAGAAAAAAGTGCAAGGTGAAGCAGCAAGTGCTAATGTAGAAGCTGCAGCAAGTTTATCCAGAAGATCTGGCTAAGATCATTGATGAAGGTGGCTACACTAAGAACAGATTTTCAGTGGAGACAAAATAGCCTGCTATTCAAGGAAGATGCCATCTAGGACTTCATAGCTATAAAGGAGAAGTCAATGCCTAGTTTCAAAGTTTCAAAGAACAGGCTGATTCTCTTGTTAGGAGCTAATGCAAGCTGATGACTTTCAGTGGAAGCCAATGCTCATTTACCATTCTGAAAATCCCAGGGCCTTTAAGAATTACGCTAAATATACTCTGCCTGTGTATTAGAAATGGAACAACGAAGTTTGGATGACAGCACGTCTGTTTATAGCATGGTTCACTAAATATTTAAAGCCTCCTGTTGAGACCTACTTCTCAGGAAGGAAGATTCCTTTCAAAATATTCCTGCTCATTCTGCAGCCCATGGATCAAGGAGTAATTTTGACTTTCAAGTCTTACTATTTAAGAAATACATTTTGTAAGGCCGTAGCTGCAATAGCCTCTGATGGATCTGGGCAAAGTCAATGGAAAACCTTCTAAAAAGGATTCACTATTCTAGATGGCATTAACAACATTCATGATTCATAGGAGATCAAAATATCAACATTAACAGGAGTTTGGAGTTAGTTGATTCCAACCCTCATGATGGCTTTGAGGGGTTTAAGACTTTGGGGGTGGAAATAACTGCAGATGTGGTGGAAATGGCAAGAGAACTAGAATTAGAAGTGGAACCTGGGCTGGGTGTGGTGGCTAATGCCTGTAATCCCAGCACTTTGGGAGGCCAAGGTGGACGGATCACGAGGTCAGGAGATGGAGACCATCCTGGCTAACACAGTGAGACCCTGTCTCTACTAAAAAATACAGAAAACTAGCAGGCGTGGTGGCGGGCACCTGTAGTCCCAGCTACTAGGGAGGCTGAGGCAGGAGAACGGTGTGAACCCGGGAGGCGGAGCTTGCAGTGAGCTGAGATCGGGCCACTGCACTCCAGCCTGGGCCACAGGCAAGACTCCGTCTCAAAAAAAAAAAAAAAAAAAGTGGGGCCTGAAGATGGGATGGAATTGCTGGAATCTCATGATAAAATGTCAATGGATAAGGAATTACTTCTTATGGATGAGCAAAGAAACTGGCTTCTTGAGATGAAATCTACTCCCAGTGAAGATGCTGTGAACATTGTTGATCACGAAAGATTTAGAATACTATGCAAACTAAGTTAATAAAGCAACAGCAAGGTTTGAGAGGACTGATTCCCATTTTGAAAGAAATTCTGTTGTGGGTAAAATCCTATAAAATAGCATCACATGCTCCAGAAAAATCTTTCTTCAAAGGAAGAGTCTATCAATGTGGCAAACTTCATTCTTGTTTTAAGAAATTGCCACAGCCACCCCAGCCTTCAGCAATCATCACCTTTATCAGTCAGCAACCATCAATATCAAGGCAAGACACTCCATAGTGAGAAGATTATGACCCACTGAAGGCTCGGATGATTGTTAGCATTTTCCAGTCATATTTTAACTAAGGTACATACATTTTTTAAAGATATACTATTGCACATCTATTAGACTATCAGTATAGTGTAAATATAACTTTTATATGCACTGAGAAAAAATTTATGTGACTACCTATATTGTGATATGCTTTATTTATTGCAGTGGTCTGGAACTGAACCTGCAGTGTCTCTGAGGTATGCTCATATTAAAAATTGGGTATGATCCAGCCTCATAATGGAATACTATGCAGCCACTAAAAATATTTACAGGACTTTATTTTCTAATATATTGAGGGAAAAAGAGGTGGGTTACAAAGTGGTACTATGTGGGATGGTTCTATTTTTATAAATCACCTATGTACTATTCATTCTGTGATTTTTGAATTCCTACTTTGCTAGGGGTTATGCTAGATTCTGGGGATAGAGATAAAATATGCAGTCCCTGAACTCAAAGAGATTGTGATAGCAGTCAGAAATATCTCAGCAGTGACTATAATGTATGAAAGGACATACAACGAAGACATGCAGAGGACGCTATACAGGAACGCAGGGCCGGGGTGATGAGGGAGAATACTCCTCAGGGCATGACTCCTTAACTGAGTGTCAAAGGAGATAAAAACATGTGCAAAGGCACAGGCATGACAGACTACAACCAAAGTGTAGTATAGAATTTTATTTTAATCATACTAAAGTTATTTAATACAAGAAAGCTCTGAGAAAGTTGAGGGTAGAAGAAAAGTAAACTATGGTGAGGTTTAAAACAGGGTAGGCCGAACACGGTGGCTCACGCCTGTAATCCCAGCACTTTGGGAGGCTGAGGTGGGCAGATCACCTGAGGTCAGGAGTTTGAGACCAGCCTGGCCAACATGGAGAAACCCCATTTCTACTAAAAAACACAAAAATTAGCTGGGCATGGTGGCACATGCCTGTTATCCCAGCTACTTGGGAGGCTGAGGCAGGAGAATTGCTTGAGCCAGGGAGGTGGAGGCTGCAGTGAGCCGCGATCACACCACTGCCCTCTGGCCTGGGTGACAGTGGGTCATTCTTGTCATACCCAACTAAATCAGAGTTGAGGGGCCAGGGGAAAAAAGCACTCAGGGTATAAAACATTGCTCCAAGAATGTAATTCTCTGTAAGCCTGACTGCTGGAACTGCTTGTTGTAACCTGAAACCAGTTTTATCTATAGCTTCTGAGATAACTTGCTGCAACTCTAGAACTGATTTTGCCCACCACTCACTGCTCGCCAGTCGGAGCTTGCTAGCTCCCCCAAACCTTAGTAGTGCCAATGAACTTTCTCAAAGAGCAGTAACATTTCTCCTTTTAAATAAAACCTCTAACCTTCCCTTTGTTCTTCAGACATATGGAAGGTCACTTGTCTGCATGTATGCCCTAAACTGCAATTTTTTCTTCCCAAACACAATGTTAAATTTAGAGAATTCATCGCAAAATTTTTATTTTGCCTTTGATAATACTAAAAGGTTGGGACAGCAGAGCAAGGTGAAGATAGAAAAAAAGGAATCCAGAATCAAGTCAGGGGAGATGAGAGAGTTGATTTAGGTGGCAGTGGATTTTTGTCTCAAGATGGAGGGAAACAAGAACAAAGTAATATGTTAAGGTGAAAATGAGATCATGAGTCTGTTCACTGTGATTTCATTAATATTAATATTAATGTGTATGTTCTATAAGATATAAAGTAGCAAGTTTATGGGGGTGGGGGTAGGAACTGATATCTATACCCTTCTGTGTGCCAGAAACTTTACATACAAAATTTCAGTGAGTCTTCAAAATCACCCAAAAAAGTTGTCATTATTCATCTCATTTAATAGGTAAGGAAAGAGGTTCAACAAGGCTTACTTGTAACCTGCCTAAAGTCACAAAGTTATTAGGTGCCATAGTAGACATCAGAAACCAGGTCAGTGTTTGCTACTCCAAGTGTGTGAGTGGTAGGGGGAGAGAGAACTGCACCTTCAAGAAGTTTTAATCACTGTGGAGATTCTGATAGTGAGATCGTAAAAAATTATAACATGAAATTAAGTTAACTTTCGTGGATGGGAGACTATTTAAATCTTACATAATGGAGGCAATTTTGGATTTTCTAAAGATGGTGTCCAGGCTACTATAGCATTACAGTAAAACTTGTTTATTTAATTTTTGGTTCCAACGAGGTTTTTTTTTTTTTTTTGAGACGGAGTCTTGCTCTGTTGCCCAGGCTGGAGTGCAGTGGTATAGTCTTGGCTCACTGCAACTTCTGCCTCCTGGTTCAAGAGCTTCTCCTGCCTCAGCTTCCCGAGTAGCTGGGATTACAGGTGCTTGCCACCACGCCTGGCTAATTTTTGTATTTTCAGTAGAGACGGGGTTTTGCTATGTTGGCCAGGCTGGTCTCGAACACCTGACCTCGTGATCTGCCCACCTCGGCCTCCCAAAGTGCTGGGATTACAGATGTGAGCCACTGTGCCCGGCTGGTTCCAAAGACTTTTAAAAGCCACTTTATTGATATAAATCACACACCATAACATTTACCCTTTTAAAGTGTATAGTTCAGTGACGTTTAGTAGATTCAGAGTCGAGCAAGCATCACTCCTATCTACTTTTAGAACAGTTCCATCACACCAAAAAAGAAAACATTCTGTACTCATCAGTGGCCATTCCCACCCTTCTCACCTCAAGTTCTTTTAAAGCCACAACTTGACTGTCTAGACAACTTTGGAAAAGCATTTTCCCTCAATACCTTACTTAAGAAATATTTACCCTAAATTACTATAGTGTTTGGTAGAAAATTTTGTGATCACTTTGAGGATTCAGTTTCTTCTTACATTGGGGGAGAGGGGTGAAAAATGAAGTATCTTTAGAGTTGGCATAAGCAAGTGATTTCCATGTATAAATCTCTGCCCTCTTATTCAGGACCCTGCAGTGCCTGGCACTCAGCAGCTGTTCACTATATGTGTGGGACTGACCAACAAGTAAGGAAGTGGAAGGAAGAACAACAACAAAAAAGAGCTCTAACATTTTTTACTAACTGGTATCACTATTTCCCTGGCATGCTTGATAACAAAGACTTTAAATTTTCTCAGCCTTAAAAAAAAAAGCACAAGACACCAACATATGTTATATATAAATACAGAAGAAGCAACCAAACCCAATTACATGCATCACAGGAAGGTCGTAAAAAAAAATTACACTCATCATATTCGAGGAGAAATGCTGGCTCAAGTGAACATCTCCCCCACTGAGATTTCTTTCTGTTTGAGCTTAAGCTAGCCATAAACAAACTTGAGTAGTATTCAAAAATATCATTAAAGAGTTTCTTGGAATGGCGATATAGTCTGTGAATTTGAAATCTACCAAGGAAAGAGATAATCAGAGCATCCTAGCAACCAGAAGAAAGAACAGCATGAAGATGGAAGCAGGCAGCAAGATGCACATCAACAAATCTGCCCCGTCGCCCAGAGGCAATCAATGCAAATATTCTATACACTTTCTTCTCGGTTTTTACCTATGCCATTCTAGGAAGAACTTGGGAGAAAATCTATGTAAGCCTGAATCCCCTTAGCCTATATAGCTGTGTAGTTCTTTCCTTCCCATAGTGTTAAACTTGACTAGGATATAGTCCTTGGTTATTCAGATACTGTATCTAGGTGTTGCTTTGAAGGCATTTTGTAGATGTGATTACAATTCAGTTTTTTTTTTAAATTTTTTTGAGACAGGATCTCACTCTGTTGCCTAGGCTGGAGCGCAGTGGTACTATCTTGGCTCACTGCAACCTCTGCCTCCTGGAAACTACAGGTACATGCCACCACGCCTGGCTAATTTGTTTGTAGAGACGGGGTTTCATTATGTTGCACGGTTGGTCTCAAACTCCTGAGCTCAAGTGATCCACCTGCCTTGGCCTTCCAAAGTGCTGGGATTGCAGGGGTTAGCCACTGTGCCCGGTCAGACTTTAATCTGAGTGGGCTGAATCAATCAGTTTAAAGGCTTTAAGAGTAGAGTTGAGGCTTTCCTGAAGAAATTTCACCTGTACCACTTCAGCCCCTGCTGGAGAATTCCAGCTTGTCCTTTCTGATGGCCCGTTTTACAGATTTTTGGACTCACGTACCCAGCCCCCATAATTGTGTAAGCCAATTCCTCGCAATAAAACTCTTTAATATACCTGTATCTATCTACTACTGGTTCTGCTTCTTTGGTTGAATCTTCACCAATACACATGGGAAAAGAATACTATGACTACTGTTCCCAAGAAAGTAGTGCCCTAGGATACTGCATTCTTTTTGGTGATTATATTATTAGACTAAGAATGATTAACATGCCAGATCCCAGACCTTCCCCTTAGATCCTGATATGGTTTGGCTGTGTCTCCGCCAAAATCTCACCTTGAATTGTAATAATCCCCACATGTCAAGGGTGATACCAGGTGGAGATAAATGAATTATGGGGGGTGGTACCCCCCATGATGTTCTCGTGATAGTTAAGTTCTCATGAGATCTGATGGTTTTATAAGGGGCCTTTCCCCCTTTGCTCGGCACTTCTCCTTCCTGCCACCATGTGAAGAAGGATGCGTTTGCTTCCCCTTCCACCATGATTTTAAATTTCCTGTGGCCTCCCCAGCCATGAGGAACTGTGAGTCAATTAAACCTCTTTCCTGTACAAATTGCCCAGTCTTGGGCAGTTCTTTATAAGAACATGAGAATGGATTAACACAGGTCCAATTCTGGCCACCCCTCAACCTCCCAAGCCATTGGAGTTGACTTCCTGGGCAGTCTTAATATGATTACCCCTCCCACTCTCCAGTCACCAGGGCATATCCAGGCTTCATGAACTACTGACTCCAACCCTGGGTTGGAGGACAGGAAAATTCTTAGCAGAGGCTAACTGGAGATACCCGCTTCTCTCCAGGATCTCTAGAACCATTTCAATACTTTGAAATGTTTTACCTTCAGACACTGGGTAATGAATGTTAAGTACAAAATATTATTGGGTATTGTGGTTAACTAGGAATAACAGAGTAGAAGATTATGACCCATTTCAGCCCATCCTAAAATTCACATTTTATTGCATTTAGGGTTGGGTCCAGAAAGGGGATCATCACTTAATTTTAGCAAGTCCCAAAAAATAGTTGTTTTGACTTTATGTGAAACTACAGGTTATTGATTACACTGTATAATTTATATTTGGGCCTACTGAATGATGGTTCAAGATAACTTGCAAATCTGATACCACAGTGAGCTATTTAATGTTTAATGTAACTTTTCAAGGTGATGAAATCAATTACTCAGGTAGTAGAATAAGTTATTGTCATGTAGTATAAATAACTGCTTATTAATTTTCTATAATCACCTTTGTGATATTAAGCAGCTTCATCAATAGCTCCTTTTATACAATTTCATTTTATCATATACTGATCTCCACTATGAGACATGATTTTCTTGTGGTGAATTTATGTTAAGGTACTTACTTGAGTTCTCTGCTGAGAACTAAATTAATTCTACCCTTTAAAGGTCGATTCTTCTCAGGAATGGAGAACCAGGTCTTCTTACCCATAATCACCAGATTCTGTTTACCTATAAAATCACAAAGAAAGCCTAAGTATATTTTGGGAATATACATATATTTTCATGTATTTATATACAACATGTCCTTGAATAACATCGTTTTCTTCTAACGTTGATGAGAAAAATAATCAATTCCTGGCCAGGGCCACCGTCTGTGTGGAGTCTGCATGCTTTTCCCATGTCTGCATGGGGTTTCTCCAGGTATTCCAGTTTCCTTCCACATCCCAAAGACATGCACATTATTCTTCTTAAATGTATGTATAGCTCATATTTACTTCAGTGTTTTCTATTAGAAGTGTTTTTGGCCTTCATTTAGAAGTTTGGTGATGTTTTTGTGACCAGCAATATGCCCTAGGAACTTAACTCTTGTGTACATCCAGTAGCCTATGGTAAAATTGGTTTTGCTCTACATTGTTTCACTTAAAGTCACAGTTTCCAAGAACTCACAGATGACATTGAGGACTTATCTATGTGCATAGATATGATGGACATCCTGACATTTAGTGGATCTCCTTTAAAAAACTGAACTTAAAAGTCTCTTCACGGGCAGGTCAATTTCACTGGTTGAAAGTAAGAGACAGCTGAACCCTCGTGGAGCCATTCATACAAGTCCCTATTTAAGGAACAAGTGATTATGCTACCTTTGCACGGTTAGGGTACCGCGGCCGTTAAACATATGTCACCGGGCAGGGGTGCCTCTAATACTGATAATGCTAGAGGTGATGTTTTTGGTAAACAGGTGGGGTAAGGTTTGCCGAGTTCCTTTTACTTTTTTTAACCTTTCCTTGTGGGCATGCCTGTGTTGGGTTAACAGTGGGGGTAATAATGGCTTGTTGGTTGGTTGTAGATATTAGGCTGTTAATTGTCAGTTTAATATTTTGGTCTGATGTAGGCTTATGTGGAGGAGAATGCTTTCATGTTACTTATACCAACGTTAGTTCTTCTATAAGGTAATAGATTGGTCCAATTGGGTGCAAGGAGTTCAGTCATATGTTTGGGATTTTTCGGATGATAGGTGTTGAGCTTGAACGCTTTCTTAATTGGTGGCTGCTTTTAGGCCTACTATGGGTATTAAATTTTTTACTCTCTTTACAAGGTTTTTTCCTAGTGTCCAAAGAGCTGTTCCTCTTTGGACTAACAGTTAAATTTACAGGGGGATTTGGAGGGTTCTGTGGGTAAATTTAAAGTTGAACTAAGATTCTATCTTGGACAACCAGCTATCACCAGACTCGGTAGGTTTGTCGCCTCTACCTATGAATCTTCCCACTATTTTGCTACATAGACGGGTATGCTCTTTTAGCTGTTCTTAGGTAGCTCGTCTGGTTTCGGGGGTCTTAGCTTTGGTTCTCTTTGCAAAGTTATTTCTAGTTAATTCATTATGCAGAAGGTACAGGGGTTAGTCCTTGCTATATTATGCTTGGTTATAATTTTTCATCTTTCCCTTGCGGTACTATATCTATTGCGCCGGTTTACAATTTCTATCGCCTATACTTTATTTGAGTAAATGGTTTGGTTAAGGTTGTTTGGTAGTAAGGTGGAATGGGTTTGGGGCTAGGTTTAGCTCAGAGTGGTCAAGTTGAGTTGAAATCTCCTAAGTGTAAGTTGGGTGCTTTATGTTAAGCTACACTCTGGTTCGTCCAAGTGCACTTTCCAGTACACTTACCATGTTACGACTTATCTCCTCTATATAAATGCGCAGGGGTTTTAGTTAAATGTCCTTTGAAGTATACTTGAGGAGGGTGACGGGCGGTGTGTACGCGCTTCAGGGCCCTGTTCAACTACGCACTCTACTCTTAGTTTACTGCTAAATCCACCTTCGACCCTTAAATTTCATAAGGGTTATCGTAGTTTTCTGAAGTAGAAAATGTAGCCCATTTCTTGCCAGCTCATGGGCTACACCTTGACCTAACATCTTTACGTGGGTACTTGCGCTTACTTTGCAGCCTTCGTCAGGGTTTGCTGAAGATGGCGGTATATAGGCTGAGCAAGAGGTGGTGAGGTTGATCGGGGTTTATCGATTACAGAACAGGCTCCTCTAGAGGGATATGAAGCACCGCCAGGTCCTTTGAGTTTTAAGCTGTGGCTCGTAGTGTTCTGGCGAGCAGTTTTGTTAATTTAACTGTTGAAGTTTAGGGCTAAGCATAGTGGGGTATCTAATCCCAGTTTGGGTCTTAGCTATTGTGTGTTCAGATGCGTTAAAGCCACTTTCGTAGTTTATTTTGTATCAACTGGAGTTTTTTACAACTCAGGTGAATTTTAGCTTTATTGAGGGGAATTGATCTAAAACACTCTTTACGCCGGTTTCTATTGACTTGGGTTAATCGTGTGACCGCGGTGGCTGGCACGAACTTGACGAACCCTAGGGTTAGTATAGCTTAGTTAAACTTTCGTTTATTGCTAAAGGTTTATCACTGCTGTCTCCCGTGGGGGTGTGGCTAGGCTAAGCGTTTTGAGCTGCGTTGCTGCGTGCTTGATACTTGTTCCTTTTGATCGTGGTGATTTAGAGGGTGACTCACCGGGGCAGGGATGCTTGCATGTGTAATCTTACTAAGAGCTAATAGGCTACGACCAAACCTATTTGTTTATGGGGTGGTATGAGCCTGTCGAAACATTTTCAGTGTATTGCTTTGAGGAAGTAAGCTACATAAACCGTATGGGGTGTCTTTGGGGTTTGGTTGGTTCGGGGTATGGGGCTAGCAGCGGTGTATATGTTGAGTAAGGTGGGCAGGGAGTTGCATTGATGGGGTTAGTAGAATGTGAGTTGAGGGAGGATGATGTGTTAGTTGAGGGGTGACTGTTAAAAATGCATACCGCCAAAAGATGAAATTTGAAATCTGGTTAGGCTGATGTTAGGGCTCTTTGTTTTTGGGGTTTGGCAGAGATCTCCTTTAAAAAACTGAACTTAAAAGTCTTACCAAAATTCATACTTATCACTCATTACCTAAATCTAACTATTTTTCCCTTTGGCATTATCCAATTTATATCCAATATTTAGTTTTAATCATTTGCAATTGTGTATGACATAGTAAAGATTCTGGGGAGGCCAAGATGGGCAGATCACGAGGTCAGGAGATCGAGACCATCCTGGCTAACACGGTGAAACCCCGTCTCTACTAAAAATACAAAAAATTAGCCAGGTGTGGTGGCAGGCGTCTGTAGTCCCAGCTACTCAGGAGGCTGAGGCAGAAGAATGGTGTGAACCCGGGAGGCGGAGCTTGCAGTGAGCGGAGATCGCGCCACTGCACTCCAGCCTGGGCGACAGAGCAAGACTCCCTCTTAAAAAAAAAAAAAAAAAAGATTCTGAGTCAAAGTGCTCAAGTTGAATGCATTTTGTCACCCACAAGACAAAACGTGTTAACCCCTTGTGGTTTACTTTATCTATAAAATAGAGATAACAATAGTTCCTGCTTCTAGGGTTGTTGTGGGAATTAAAGACTTAGAATAATGTTCAGCCTCTAATCAGTGCTGTCACAACTGTCTGATACAATTGTATTATATTTGTGTACTTTGTAGATTGATATTAAATCATACTTTTAAAAATAGGTGCTTAATGTTCCACTCAATTACCTTAAAACATGTTTAATTATGTCTCTATCCTACTCTTATAACACTTCTATAAAAACTTTTTACATATAGCGTCCACTTTTGGTTCAGTTTCTTAGGAAAATAACTTTGAGAGTCAGCTATCTGAACCAAAGAAACATTAACATTACCAGACTATATTGGGATTTTTGAGACTGGCTTTTATCAATTCTTTAGCTACGGGCTCTTGTCATCATCTCTACCAGTGACCTAAGTGTCAAACCCAAATGCCTTGTATCTGTCCCATTAAAGAGATGCAGCATCTGCTCCTTTCTTACTGTTTCCATTTCCTCTGCCATGCCTCCTCTTACAACCATAAATATCCAGGTCTCTT
This sequence comes from Homo sapiens, assembly GCF_000001405.40. Classification (NCBI taxonomy): domain Eukaryota; kingdom Metazoa; phylum Chordata; class Mammalia; order Primates; family Hominidae; genus Homo; species Homo sapiens. The sequence continues at coordinate 80,653,402 of NC_000005.10, forward strand.
AGGTTTTAAACGGGGCATCTCTCAACCCCCACATTCTTTTCCTTGGTTATTCCCTTCCCTCCAACAGTTCAATTCACCTAGATCCCCACGCCTGAAATTATCCTAGATGTCCTAGAGGCGCCTCATCATTACAATGGTACATTATTCTCCACTCCTTTACATGTCACGCCAGCTTTCAAACTGAAAATCTGAGCGTTCATCCCTGGTGCATCACCTTTAAATTCGAGATCTCCAAAATCCAGGGTCATGTAACCTTAAAAAATTTTTACCCTCTCTTCTCCACTGCCCTTGTTCAGGCCTTATCTCTTCCAGCAGCTGTTCCAAAGGCCTACTCTGTTTTCCTTTCGGAGTGCTCACCTCCACCGAAGCCTCCACCCAGCTGCCAATTCTGCCCCATGCCTGATAATTTGCTCGTGCGTTGACATACATAAAATTTCTAAGACAAAAATTTTTTAATAATGGTAAATGAACCTTGGGAACTGCATACAGATCATACAGATCCATAATAAGAGAAAAGGTCCCAGATTAACACGGAAAACTTTCCATTTAACTAACATTTGCACTGGTAAACTTCATCAAGCAAGACCCTACTTAATCCCACATTACCTTCTACTGAAGAGGTTGTGGTCATTCTCTGGAAATATCTGAATTCATTCCTACAAGTTAGAGAAACAGCGTTACTCGAAACATTATCCCTTGGGCTCGAGCTCTAAGGCACCTGACAAACGGAGCGCTGTGGGTAGGGGTGAGGTGTTTTCTCCAGGGCTGGGACTTTGCCCTGGGCGAGGGCGCCGCAGGGCAAAGACCTCACCGGGCAGCAGAATCCGGGCAGAAATCAGCAACTGGGCCTCCCGCGCAGCAGAAAAGGGGAATCCAGTCGGGCCCACCCTTCCTGCCAGCGCAGACCGCAAGTCTGGCCCCATCCTCTCGCCGGGAGTCGGCCACCCCGACCGTGGGCAGCCTGCGCCCGTTTGGGTCCCATCGCCCCGGCCCGGCAGATACCTGAGCGGTGGCCAGGGCAGGTCCCCGTTCTTGCCGATGCCCATGTTCTGGGACACAGCGACGATGCAGTTTAGCGAACCAACCATGACAGCAGCGGGAGGACCTCCGAGCCCGCTCGTTACAGCAGAACGCGCGGTCAAGTTTGGCGCGAAATTGTGGCCGCCCCGCCCCCCTCGTCCCCATTTGTGCAGGCGAGGCCCCGCCCCCCCGCCCCGGCGCACGCAGGGTCGCGGCGTGCTCGCGCCCGCAGACGCCTGGGAACTGCGGCCGCGGGCTCGCGCTCCTCGCCAGGCCCTGCCGCCGGGCTGCCATCCTTGCCCTGCCATGTCTCGCCGGAAGCCTGCGTCGGGCGGCCTCGCTGCCTCCAGCTCAGCCCCTGCGAGGCAAGCGGTTTTGAGCCGATTCTTCCAGTCTACGGGAAGCCTGAAATCCACCTCCTCCTCCACAGGTGCAGCCGACCAGGTGGACCCTGGCGCTGCAGCGGCTGCAGCGGCCGCAGCGGCCGCAGCGCCCCCAGCGCCCCCAGCTCCCGCCTTCCCGCCCCAGCTGCCGCCGCACATAGTAGGTTCTGTCTGGGACTGGGCAGGGCCATCGGGGCTGGGGGGGCGGGGCTTGTGGGTAAGGCGGGCGGAGGCGGGGACCCTCCGCCCGATGATAGGGCTGGAGGAGGAAGGGGCGGGCTGAAGAAGGGGAAGGTGGGAAGAGCCCAGCCGGGGCTACAAATTGGGTGAAGCGCTGAGGTTTTAGTACTTCCGTTTGAGGAGATAGGCAAAGGTTATGCAGGTTTTTAATGGCAGGCCTGAGACAGGAACTCAGGTCTCCTGACTCCCATTCTGATGAGGGGGCTTGTGGGCAAGGGGTGCGTCTTTTAACCTCCATCCTTTTTTTTTTTCCTTGGTGGTCGAAGAGTTTTACTGATTTTTTAAAAAAGTGCTGGATTGGGTGACTAGAAGAAAGCTGCCCTTAGGTCTCCAGTTTTTAAGACTGCAACAGCATGGCTCAATATTTGAAATCACTACGGTTAAAAGCAGTCATATTGTGCAGTTCCCCAGTGAACTCTTTTTGTAGTTTAGATTATAAAGTCTGAAATACAGTTTGGGTGGATAAAGTTTCTTAGGATGGTATAGATGTGACTAATCATGGAGTCCTTCCTGTTGCCATCCTTCAACGCAATAAGTACGTTTGTTTGTTTTTAAACCAGAGATACTGCCACAGGAAAAGCCCAAGGGTGACCCCTCACTTGGGTCACCTGCACAGTATTTTTCAGATTGAGGCTGTGGAAGGGCATTGAAGACTGGTGTTTAGCCACCTACCGTGTTTTAATGTAGGTGGCAGCTTGGGTGCTTCAAAATCTTGTTCCTTTCGTATATATTTCTCCCTTAAAATGATTACTCCTCTTCTGTTTTTTTTGAGGACGAGCTACGTTTTCATGAATTCACCAAAATTTTGCACCCACCATTTAAAGGGTAGCTGGTGAAGGACTTATGTATGCTTTTGGCAAGTTTTCTGCCAAGAAAAAATTCATAATCTTGTCACATCTTTAGTGATGAACATAAACCTTTTAAACAGGAAACACTTAAATTGCAGTGAACATGTCAAAAATGATACTGTTCTTTTATTACCTATCTTTTCCCCTCTGTGCCTTTGCTACATAACTGTTTATTTCTTAGAGGTATTTTATTTAGCATATGTAAGTAGGGTGATTCAAGTTTTATAATTAGAGAAAGCTGAAGGCTCATTGAATCAAGACCGGTAGCAGCCTTGGTTTCAATTAATTCTAAACACGGCTTGAGTTGCTGAGGCTCCTGACTATCAGACTCTACCTTGTCTTTTATGGTGTTAAAAACAGTTCACCCATAGGGTTTTCCAGAGCTAAAAGTAGAGGATTCTTTGAAGAGTGGATGGCAAGGAACCTTGTCATTCAGTTGTAAGGTTTAAATTGCTTCACATACGTCAGGCCTTCTCAGAGTAGAGATAACACATCATTTTCTAACCTTCCCGATATAGGCTACAGAAATTGACAGAAGAAAGAAGAGACCATTGGAAAATGATGGGCCTGTTAAAAAGAAAGTAAAGAAAGTCCAACAAAAGGAAGGAGGAAGTGATCTGGGAATGTCTGGCAACTCTGGTGAGTTGTGGGGGATTCTTTTTTCTCCTCAGTCATGGCTCTGGTATTCTGGAATTCTCCAGAGGGCAGAAGAGCGTATTAGAATTGTGTCTTTTTTCTTTGTGGAGAAAGGTCCCTTTTGTTCCTGAGCAGAGTGGCCCCCTATAGGTGATGGTGATGTGTATAGGAGGTTAAGGGGATGGTAGAGCTACAATTCTGCAATTTAGCTGTAGTTCTCCCAACTTTCTCCTTTATTCCTTCTAGCTATTTTTGTCCTGGTTATAAAATTAAAACATTCTTGCTACAGAAATTTCAAACAGTACAGAAATGTGGAAGGTAGGCAGTGATAGACCCCATAATCCCTCCCTTTGAGTGAGGCCCACTGCTATTGGTGTTCTGTATATACTTCCAGATTTTAAAAATTTGTACATGTGTATATGTGCATAGTCATAAGCTCAAAAATTAGTTTAAATATATTTTACAGATTATATTATATTCTATACTAATTTGCTACTATCTTTTTCTACTTAATAGAAAATTTTGAACAATTTTCAGTATCAGGACCTGCAGATCTACTCTCCCCGCTTTTTTTTGCTTAGAGCTGCTCTTTGTGTATGTAAAAGGCATTGAATAAAAACAGCATGCCTAGGCTGGGCGCAGGGGCTCACACCTGTAATCTCAGCACTTTGGGAGGCCAAGGCAGGTGGATCACCTGAGGTCAGGAGTTTAAGACCAGCCTGGCCAACATGGTGAAATCCCATCTCCACTAAAAATACAAAAATTAGTTGGGCGTGCTGGTAGTTGCCTGTAATCCCAGCTACTTGGGAGGTTGAGGCAGGAGAATCACTTGAGCCCAGGAGGCGGAGGTTGCAGTGAGCCAAGATTGTGCCACTGCACTCCACCCTGGGCAACAAAGCGAGACTCTGTCTCAAAACAAAAAACAAACAAAAAACAGCACAAAAATAAATAAAAACCCAGCCTGCCTGAGTGCCTGAGTTCCTGGATTTCTAGAGGTGGTGTTGCATATAGACAGTTGAGCAGATTTTTCTCTAGTTTTATGGTACCAGAGAATTTGTGATAAGGGAAGACAGGAAATCCATCTTTATTCATTATCCTCAGGAAATTAGGTAAAGAGAATGAGAAAAAAAAAAAGTTCCAATTCAGATAGAGGTATCTGTCCAATGGAGATATATGTAAAATATTAATCCTTCCATAAAAGGTAAAATTTGAATTTTAGGGTCAACATGAAAGTGTTAGTATGAAATAACTACAGGAATGGAGATGTGTGGCTAAGGAGAAAAGTAAATCTAAAACTTCACCTTTCTGGAGGGGTCATGCAAGGAGGCGTGACTTGAGAGAATTTGCCACGGTTAATGTTACAATTCTGGGGCAGCCTACCTTTCATTGCTTGATTATTCTGCATAGACCCATTTTTTAGGTCTACAAACACTGAATGAGCACCTATGATTTTTATTCTAGAGGCTTTTTGTAGCTCATTTATTTTTCCTAAGAATGCTTTTTGCCCTCTTTTTTTTTTTTTGAGATAGGGTCTCTCGCTCTGTCACCCAGGCTGGAGTGCACTTGTGCAATCTCAGCTCACTGTAACCTCCTGGGTTCAATCTCTGCTCACTGTAACCTCCTGGGTTCAAGCAATTCTCCTGCCTCAGCCTCCCGAATAGCTGGGATTACAGGTGCGTGCCACCACACCTGGCTAATTTTTGTATTTTTAGTAGAGTCAGAGTTTTGCCATGTTGGCTAGGCTGGTCTCAAACTCCTGGCCTCAAGTGATCTGCCCGCCTTGGCCTCCCAAAGTGCTGGGATTACAGGCGTGAGCCACTGCACCCGGCCTGTTGTTCTCTTTTTATAGAGGAAGAAGTGGGTGATAGATGAAGAGAATTGATGATTATCACAGTTAAGTAACTTAACTAAGACCACATGGGGACAGTTGAGATGGAATGTTGTTGAAATAAGACAACACACTTGGCATATTTTAAAATAGGACCTTTGCCACTTGTTAAAAATGGCACTAAGGAAGAAGGGGGAGGATCATTCACTAGTCAGAAGCTGGGTGACTGTTCCACTTCAGTTTATTTTATTTTTTAGAGACAGGTCTTACTCTGTCATCCAGGCTGGAGTGTAGTGGCAGGGTCATTGCTCATGTAGCCTCAAACTCCTGGGCTCAAGCCATCCTCCTGCCTTAGCTTCCTAGTAGCAAGGACCACAGGTGCATGCCACCATGCCTGGCTAATTAAAAATATATATATTTTTTTAGAGACAGGGTTTTGCTGTGTTGACCAGATTGGTCTTGAATTCCTGGTCCCAAGCCATCCTCCTGCCTCAGCCCTTCAGTAGCTGGGACTGTGCTCCTGAGCCATCATACCTGGCAAGTTTTTTGTTTTTGTTTTTTTCTAATAACAGAATTATTAAGATATAGTTCTTGGGGCCAGGCACGGTGGCTCACGCCTGTAATCCCAGCACTTTGGGAGGCCAAGGCAGGTGTATCACCTGAGGTCAGGAGTTCGAGACCAGCCTGGCCCACATGGTGAAACCCTGTCTCTGCTAAAAATACAAAAATTAGCCGGATGTGGTGGCGGGCGCCAGTGGTCCCAGCTACTCAGGAGGCTGAGGCGGGAGAATCCCTTGAGTCTGGAAGGTGGAGGTTGTAGTGAGCCGAGATCGTGCCACTGCACTCCAAGCTGGGTGACAGAGTGAGATTCTGTCTCAAAAAAAAAAAAAAAGATACAGTTATGCAATATGATTCACCCATTTAGCATGCACAATTCGGTGGCTTTTAGGATATTCCCAGAGTTGTGCAACCATCATCAAAGTCAATTTTAGAACATTTTCATCACCCCAAAAGAAACCCTGTGCCCATTAACAGCCACCTCCTGTTCTGCCCCAGCACTCCCCAGCCCTAGGTAACCACTAATCTACTTTCTGTGTATAGATTTGCCTATTCTGAACATTTCATATAAATGGAATCATACAATATGTGGCCTTTGGTGTCTGGTTTCTTGCAGTTACTGTAATGTTTTCAAGGCTCATCCGTGTTGTAGCATGTATCAGTACTTCATTCCCTTTTCTAAAAATATTCATTTTCTTTATTGTGGTAAAATATACATAACATAAAATTTATCATCCTAGACATTTTTAAGTATACAGCCCAGGGGTATTTAGTACATTTATATTGTTATGCACCCACCACCACCATCCATCTCCAGAACTCATTTTATCTTGCATTCCTATAACTCTGTACCCATTAAACACTGACTCACTGTAACCCCCTTCCCCCAGCCCCTGGCGCCTACCATTCAGCTTTCTGTCTCTATCATTTTGGCTACTCTATAATGCATTCATTCCTTTTTATTTCCAGGCAGTATTCCATTGTATATATCCACCTCAGTTCTTAACTCTTCAATTAACAAGTTATTTTTTATACCTGGGATCCACGGGGGAAGGAAACTTTTATACTCACAAGCAAACTTAGATACATTTGAAAAGCCAGTTAAGTACGTATTTTTGAAAACCAAGGGAATAATAATAAAGTAAGAGATGCATAGTCCATTTTCACACTGCTGATAAAGACATACCAGAGACTGGGAAGAAAAAGAGGTTTAATTGGACTTACAGTTCCACATGGCTGGGGAGGCCTCAGAAACATTGTGGGAGTTGAAAGGCACTTCTTTTTTTTTTTTTTCTTAATTTAAGTTCTGGGATACATGTGTAGAACATGCAGGTTTGTTGAAAGGCACTTCTTACATGGCGGTGGCAAGAGAAAATGAGGAAGAAGGAAAGGTGGGAACCCCTGATAAACCCATCAGATTTCATGAGACTTATTCACTATCATGGGAATAGCATGGGAAAGACTGGCTCCCATGATTCCTCCCACTGGGTCCTCCCACTGGGTTACCTCTCACTGGGTCCCTACCACAACACGTGGGAATTCTGGGAGATAAAATTCAAGTTGATATTTGGGTCGGGGCACAGTCAAACTATATCACATTGGAAAAGATTCAAAAATATATTTTTAGCATAAAGGAAGTCATGGTAAACAAGGTAACTGTATATTGGAAAAGTCATATTTAGAAGAAAAGAGTCACTGTATTTCTTCGGAGATTCTTAGCCTTTAGCATATAAGACATCAAAGGTTTTTTATTTTTAATTATAGAGGGTTGTCTTTTTCTCTGGTTGCTTTTAAGATTTTCTCTTAATCACTGATTTTCATGTTTGATTTTCTTTCTGCCCCATATAATCTGCAGGAACCCATATTTGATTTTGGTGGACCTTGTCTCTTTCCCCCACACCCGAGACAGCCTGTGCTGTCTAGCACAGGCTGGAGTGCAGTGGCACAATCTCAGCTGACTGCAACCTCTGCCCCGCCAAGTTTAAGCAATTCTCCTGCCTCAGCCTCTGGAGTAGCTGGGATTACAGGCACTCGCCACCACGCCTGGTTAATTTTTGTATTTTTAATAGAGATGGGGTTTCACCATGTTGGCCATGTTGGTCTTGAACTCCTGACCTCGTGATCTACCCGCCTCGGCCTCCCAAAGTGCTAGGATTACAGGCATGAGCCACCGTGCCCAGCTGCCTTTGTCTGGTTTTTAATTTTTATTTCTTCATTTATTTTTATCCTGTTTAGAGCTCATTTAAAGCTTCTCGAGTCTGTGGGTTTATAGGTCTTATTAAATGTGGGAAACTTTTTTGGTTGTTATTGTTTCACATTTTTTCTGTCTTCCTGTCTCTTGTGTCTCCTTCTGAGAGTTTATTACGGGGATGTTAACTATTTGGTGTTATCTGTTAAGTCATTGAGGCTCTTTCCATTTGTTTTCCAGGCTTATTTCTCTTTGTACTTCATTGTGGATAGATTCTACTGCTCTGTTTTCAAGTTCAGTGGTCTTTTTTTCTGCTATGTCTAATCTGCTGTAAATCTCGTTTAATAAAATGTTCGTTTTCCATATTGTATGTTTCATCTCCAGAAGTTCCATTTTGTTCTTTTAAAATATTTTCCAGTTCTCTATATGAATTATATCTCAGTAAAGCTAAAAAAAATTCCTTTTGCTCCTCTTTTTGCTCATGTTTTCCTTTACATTCTTAATTATATGGAGCATATTTATAAATTGTATTTTCTTGTTCTTATATGCTAATTGCATCATATCTGTCATTTCTGGGGCTGCATCCCTTGACAGATTTTTCCTATTTTTTGCATGTCTAGTAACTAATTATTTGGATCATGGATATGTTGAATCTGTGTTGTCTCCTGCTGGAGTTTGTATTTCTTTAGAGTGTTGGACTCTGTTCTGGCAAGCAATTAAATTCCTTTGGATCACTTTGGTCTTTTTAAGGATTGTTTTTAAACTTCGGTAGAGAATAATAGCCCTTACTCTAGAGCAACTTTAGTCACATTCTACGGCTTGACCTTTTTAGAGTTAGAAAGGGGGTGCATAGTAGCAGTAGCACACCATTATATCGTATTTCCACAATACAGAGACAGTAGACATTAGTAACATTAAGAATGTAAACACAGCCATATGCTACCTAATGACAGTCAGTGAGGGACCACCTATACAACATTAATCTCATAAGATTATAATAGGTATTTTTGCTGTACCATTTCTATGTTTAAATATGTTTAGATACACAGATACTTACCATTGTGTTACAGTTGTCTCTAGTATTCAGTACAGTAACATGCTATACAGGTTTATAACCCGGGAGCAATAAACTATACCATATAGCCTAGGTGTGTAGGAGGCTATACCATCATCTAGGTTTGTGTAAGTACACTCTCTGATGTGCACACAATGATGAAATCACCTAATGACACATTCTTCATAACATATCCCCATCATTAAATGATGCAAGACTGTCAACACCTGTAGTAAGTTTTAGGCAGTGAGTATTTATTATTCATCTAGTAGCATCTGCCAGACATAAGAGTCCCTGATTATTTCATCTCTGTTTTTAACACTTTGGTTTTAAATACTGTCAAAGTCAAATAAAATATAGGGACAAATCTCTAAAACATTTTATTTGGGGCGGGGCACGGTGGCTCACGCCTTTAATCACAGCACTTTGGGAGGCGGAGGCAGGCGGATCACCTGAGTTCAGGAGTTCGAGACCAGCCTGGCCAACATGATGAAACCCCGTCTCTACTAAAAATACAAAAATTAGCCAGATATGGTGGCACACACCTGTAATCCCAGCTATTCAGGAGGCTGAAGTAGGAGAATTACTTGAATCCAGGAGGCAGAGGTTGCAGTGAGCCGAGATCGCGCCATTGCACTCCAGCCTGGGTGACAGAGTGAGACTCTGTCTCAAAAAAAAAAAAAATTTTATTTGGGAAGCAAGAATTGCAATTTGGGACATACACACAGACCAGGTGGTCTTTGGTATGTTTGAAGCACAAAGAGAAAATTGGAGGTTTTATTAAAAAGGAGAAATAAGCCAGGAGCAGTGGCTCACATCTGTATTCCTAACGCTTTGAGAGGCCAAAGCAGGAAGATTATTTGAGCCCAGGAGTCAGAGACCAGCCTAGGCAACATAGGGAGACCCTGTCTATACAAAAAATTAAAAAAAAATTAGTTGGCCATGGTGGCACTTGCCTGTAGTTCCAGCTACTCAGGAGGCTGAGGTGGGAGGATCTCTTGAGCCTGGGAGGTCAAGGTTGGAAAAAGAAAATGTATTGTTTTGAACGAAGGTTCATTGGTACTTGGAAAATTTGGAGTAACTGGCAAGCTCTGATTAGTGAATGACTGCAATGGGTAAAACTAGCCATAGAGTCACAGCAGGTTGTTTTAGCAGCTATCAGGTAAAATTGGTTTCAGGTTACAGTAGGCAGTTTCAGCAGCTAGGCTTGCAGAGAATTACATTTTTGGAGCAATGATATGTGCTCTCAGTGCTTTTTCCCCTGGCCTCTCTACTCCATTTCAATTGAGTATGACAAGAATGACCCAATTTATATGATCAACTTTCACAATACTTTTTTTTTTTTTCCCAGCAAATACAACTCCAAGATCTTCATCCCACTTTCATTCCAGGCAGTTTTTTTTTATGTCTATAGGAGGGAAACTCTTTGTATAACATACACACTTATAGTATATTTTTGAAGAGCGATACAAATATACATTTCAAAAAAGAGAGTAATAGTAAACAAGGTGAATATACATTTGAGAAAAGAGTCAAATTTAAATTTTTGTGGCTAGAAAATTCACAGGAGATCTAATGAAAGCCTGTGAAGAGGTTTAAATATAAATAGGGAAAATTTTAAACTATTTTTTTTGAAGCAACAAAAGCAGAGATTTATTGGAAACAAAAAGTACACTCCACAGGGTGGGAGTGGGCCCTAGCAAGCAGCTTGGGAGCAATTTTAAACTTTTAGAAATGAACAAAACACAACTCTTGCCCTCAGAGTGTTTTTGCTTTAATAGGGAAGGTAAGAGGTGATAAATGTGTGCAGTCCCAGTTCCTTTACATTTAATAGCACCAACCTAATAGTAGTGCTCTAAACGGTGAAATACTGTGTTCTAGTACATGGTAGGGATCCAGAAAATGATAGTTTCCCTTCTTTTATGGATTGCTTGTTTATGAAAAACTGCCAATTGGCAGACTGTGATGAGTGCCACAGGGAGATGTGATCTTGTTAGAGGAACACAGAGAAAGAAAAGATGATTTTAAGCTGTGAAAATTAGCAGAAGGTTTTATGGGAAAGGTAGATTTGAGATGGGTCTTGAAGAATGAATACAATTTTGACATGCAGAAAGCATATCATGGGCAAAGTGATGGTGTTTCTGAGTATGGTGATTTGGTTTTCTTGGTAAACCCCTGATGTCAATATCAAGTCTTTCCGCTTGAGCTAGTAAGATTTCCCAGTCAAGAGTCCTCCCAGCTTCTGCCTGGAGGGGAGTAGGAGTGCTCTGGCTTCCTGGGTTCTGGAGAGGCCGTGGATCTCAGCATACATTGTGTCTGTGTTCCTAATCGTCCTTCTGGGTTAGGTACAGTACTCCATCAACTGTGCTTGTTTTGCCTTTCCAGGGAAGAAATCTCCAGTTGGCTGCTGATGTGGAGGAAGGACAGTTGTCTTTGAGCTTGGAGTATGGTAGGGGTTTAGGGAACAAATTGCTTTGAACCAATCCTCTTTATTTTAGAACCTCCCTTTATTCCTTTCCAGAGCTACTGGTACTCTAATTCCTGAGTCTTTTGAGCATTTTGTGTTGTAATTAGAGTTGGCTCTTGGTTTTCCTAATTACTGACTTAGTATTTAGCTCTCAGGTGTGCTGAATTGGTTACTGTTCATTTGTTTTCCTTTCTAGCTTTAGATATCTCATTTGCAGTTGTTACCTCTCCTCTCTGTCCTTATGGGCTTATGTCTTCAAAAAAAAACAAAAACAAAAAAGAAAAAAAACCTCTACTATAGTAATGAGGTTTCAGGAATGAGTGAAATTGCATCTGTGTTTAATATGCCATCTTTACCCTGAACCCAGTGTTTCTTTCTTTTTTTAAAAAAATCACATTATAGTTAGATTCATTGCTTTATTGGGAATCTACCTCTTTAAAAAATTCTATGCTGGTTATGAATTGACATAATGAGACCAAAATTACTATTGTTCTGTTTTCTTCTTATTTGCTGCCTAAGAGCCAAAGAAATGTCTGAGGACCAGGAATGTTTCAAAGTCTCTGGAAAAATTGAAAGAATTCTGCTGCGATTCTGCCCTTCCTCAAAGTAGAGTCCAGACAGAATCTCTGCAGGAGAGATTTGCAGTTCTGCCAAAATGTACTGATTTTGATGATATCAGTCTTCTACACGCAAAGAATGCAGTTTCTTCTGAAGATTCGAAACGTCAAATTAATCAAAAGGTATGTAACTGCTATAGATGAGTATCCAGTTACCTAGAATAGTGGGTTCTGAAGTACTGTCAGGTTCTCTGAGGTCATTCATGGCAATGGTTCCTAAACTTGGATGGTCTTCTGAATCATCTGAGGGAGCTTTTGTGTTTTAGTTTAGTTTTCTTACATCCCTGGAGATTCGATTTACTGTGTTTTGGGAGGGATTAATTGGTTTGTATGGGAACAAAACAAAAGCCTTCCAGGTAATTCTGAGGTATTGCCTGGATCAGGAGCCCTTGACTTGGAGGGATTCTTTATTGAGAATTAATACAAGCACAGTTTCTTACAGTCTTCCTTAGAGTTTCCATGATTACCGTGGAAAATCATGATGGGCAACTTAGATATTTTGAGGTTTCAGTTGAAAGCTTGATAGATAGAAAGTAAATTCAAATGTAAGCCAAATGAACATGGGCTTTTTACTTTATCCACTATTTGTTTTGAGACTTTTAATGGTTTTCATAACTGCAGAATCAGGGAATTTAACTCATGCTCCATCATTGAAATCTGTAATTCAGAATAGTGATTGGTTCGCAACCTTAGCTTTACATTGGAATCACCTGGAGAACTTCAAACAAAAATTGCCATTAAGAACCTTCCCTCAGAATCTTATCTAATTGGTTTTCACTGACAAATGGGCATGGATATTTTTTAAAAGTTTACATTTTATTTTGTATTTTATTTTTATTGATGGAGTCTTGCTCTGTTGTCCAGGCTAGAGTACAGTTGTGCGATTATAGTTCACTGTAGTCTCAAACTTCTGGTCTCAAGCAATCCTCCCACCTTAGCCTGCAGATGAGGTGAGACTAAAGGAAAAGCAGTCATTTTAATCTGTAGCTGTGATTGACAACCATTGAATTAGAGAAATGGTTCTATATATGTATATGTATGTGTGTATGTATATATATGAGTCATTGAAATTCTAATGAAAGCTGTTGGCCTTTTTCTTCAGAAAAATTCTCAAGCCAACAAAATTTTGCCTATAATTTTCAAGATTTCACACCTTTCCCACAAAGCCCAGATCCATGAACTCCTCCCTCAGCCAGGCTAATATTGATTGACTTATCTTAGATCATCAAGAAAAAAAAGGTGTTTTTGTTTTTAGTCTCTTTTAATACTTAGAAGCAGTTCACCTAAGTATAGTGGTTATTAAGCATAGAAGTCATAAAGTTTATCCATTAAAGCTCACTTTATTGATAGGAGCATTTACTCCAAGGTCTCAGAAGAGCGTATACATTATTGCTTTATACATAGAATGACCAACTTGGCATGTCCACATCACAGGAAATTAGAAGTAAGTAGACAGAGGGGGCACGTAGAAGCAGTGCCATTATTACAGGTGATAAGCTGTTTGATGGCATGGATAGACGTGGATGAATGGCAAAAAGCTACTGAGTGAACATAAATGCCCCATGGTCCAGGACCATTAGGGTGGGGTCAGCAATGCCATAACTCTCAATAGGTTTCGAAATATATTCTGATCACTCTGAATTGTCCAGACAAGGTTAAATTGAGTTCAGCATACTGTCTCTGGGAATATGAAATAGAATGTAATGTATCTGATGAGTATTTCTATCCAAATCATTTTTTTTAAAGTTGCTTATTTTGTTACCCAGGTATTAATATGTACAACAAACCCTCATGACACAAGTTTTCCTATATAACAAACCTGCACATGTACCCCTGAACTTAAAATGAAAGTTAAAAAAAAGTTGCTTAATATTCAAGTATTTAGATTGATTTAATTGTTAGCATCCCATAAGGATAAAACTTTTTTTTCCTGGAAGCTTATCTCATTTCCTAAAAGAATAAAGTATAAAGTAAGAATAAGTTTTTACAATGTAAGAAATATATTTTCTGTGTTGATTAACTTTTATACTACATAGTATATACCTGCATTTAATATAGAATACATACTATATTCCATGACATAAAAGTCATGGAAACAAAATAGGAAACTCATCAAAATTAAAAGCAAAGGCATTCTTAGGTATAGGAAAATTGTTATGCAATCCTTGGGGTGTTGCTTCGCCAGCTGTAAACCTCTGTGGCTGGTGGTGCCTTTGCCCGAGTTTTTACTTGGGCCTGCTGGGCTCATTCCTCCCACTCGGCCTGGCAGGCTGTGCTTGGCTTTTGCTTTTGGCCTGAATCTCGCAGCTGCCAAGGGTGAGCCAGGAGTGGAGTGGTGAGGGTGAGGGGTGTGTGAGCAGGTGACCATGGGGTCTGGCCCCTGTGCACTGCCAGGCATGCTGGCTTCGGCAGGGTGGGCAGCTCCAGGTGCCAGCGTGAGTGAGGGCTGGACCAGGCGTACCACAAACAGCTTCCACAGCTGGCACCAGGGAACACAGTGGCGCCCAGAAGCTTGGAGATTCCAGGAACTGCAGAGCCCCAGAGAGGGTGTCATAGACCTGGCTTAGGAGCCCCTAGGTCTGAGCTCCCCAGAGGTCCACAGCTCTTCTCTCCTGTCTTCTCTCCTTCTTGTTGCTGCAATGTGGCAAGCAAGAGATGGGTTTCAGGCCTGTTTGTGTTACAGCTCTTTTAGCCCTGCCATTCGGTGGGTCCCAGGTTCTTGTCCTGCTTCCAGGAAGAATGAAGTATGTGGACGAGTGGAGGGTGAGCAAGGCAAAGAGGGGCTTCCTTGAGTGACAGAACATTGAGGGGAGACCCGCAGTGGGTGCTTCTTTCTGCAGGCAGGGCATCCCATCAAGTGAGAAGTGATGAGCCTTCAGCCGAGAGGGGACCCTGGAGTGGGTAGCTCCTCTCCGCAGGCAGGTTGTCTGCTTGTCTCTTCAAGTTTGGCCGAGTCTGGGGATTTGTATGGGCTTGAGAGGAGGAAGTGTGTGCTGATTGGTTCATGGGCTGCCATGGGCGGGCTCAGAAAACACCGTAAGTTCTAATTCTGGTTCGTCAGCCTGGCCCCCAGGCTTCAGGCTGTTCCTGGCTTGAAGGTGGGGCTTCACCCGGACCTGACCCTTTCTGCTCAGGAGCCTGTCTGCCTCCTGCCGTCATCCATGGCACCCAGGCTGTTTGTGCCATGGGGCACCTGCAGGACAGCTCTGAGCTGCCCTCAGCCCTCTCCTTGGCCTCCTTCCCATGTTCATCAGTGTCCAAAGTCCAGAGGGGGCCGAGGCAGCAGGGGGCTGGCATGTTAGCACTGCCCTGAGCATGTGCACACCCAGCCAGGTTGCAACAGTTCCTAGGCTTGGCCTTAACTTTGAGATCAGAGTGGGTGCTGGGAGCTGGGAGAGGCCAGGCAGTCGGAGCAGGTACTTCTGAGCCTGCAGAGGGAGGGGGAATTCCCTTTCTGGGCCCTTGAGATTGCAGAGATGCCCGGGTCCACAGCCACAGCTTGGGTGGCTGTGGCTGCAGCTGCACCCAGGAGGGTGGGGCTCCTGCCTGCTCCCAGCCCCCAAGAGCACAGGGATGCCCAGGTTTGCAGCCACAACTGGGCAGCCACAGCTGTGCCCAGGGAGCGTGAGGCTCTCACCCTGCCAACTCAGAAGGGGGCGAGGCTTCTTCCACCCATTTCTGGCTCCTGTCGGTTCTGTGGAGCATGCAGCCCTGGCTGCGCCTCTCCTACTGCAGCTGGCGTTACGGCAGTGGCTGCTCCAGATGGGCTGCCATTGCCATCATAATGACCTGGATTTCTCTTGCCAACCTCTCCATGCCTCACCGTCTTCTTATTGCTGATCTTTGGAGGTTTGCTGGACTGCACTGTTCAAATAAATTGAGTTTTTTTTGAAAAGTTAGTATCTTTACCTGATGTCCCGGTGAAGCTGAATTGTTTTAAACATTTGGGAACTACAAAGTGTACATGTTTCTGGGTTTTCTTTTGGATTGGGGTTCCCATTTCTGGGCCATTTTGCTTCTCTCTCACTCTCCCCTCTTCTTTTTGGTCACTAGATTTTTAGGCCATATTTTTCATTGTAGGGGGAGCTGGGTAAATTTTTAGA
This sequence comes from Homo sapiens, assembly GCF_000001405.40. NCBI lineage: Eukaryota > Metazoa > Chordata > Mammalia > Primates > Hominidae > Homo > Homo sapiens. The sequence goes on from NC_000005.10 coordinate 80,669,344, forward strand.
AGTTGGCAGTGACAGAGTGGCAATTAATTAGAAGTTGGATTTAGCCAACTATAAATTTGTCTCATTTACATTTTTCTAAATTAAGTCTAATAAGCGAGGAATTTTCCCTAAGCTGTGAATTGGAATTAATTATGGTTCCTCACAGAAAGGTAAGAATAGTAGGAGTACTAATGTTGAAAATGTGGCCTTGTGCTGTAAATTTTTTAACAGCTCTTTCTCATGTTTCTTTACCAAGAGAATCATGGTTCTTTCTTTCTATAAGAATTTATAGAATGTGCTGTCTTTTACAGTGTGCTTGGAAGTATAAAACATTAAGTGCAGCTTTATCTGTTGGCATGCTTTGCTCAAAGTGGTTTTGCCCTACTCCTGAGAGAGAGCCAGATTTGTCCCCATTGGCCTTTTGTGCATTACACACCTTAGAATAAATAATAAAAAGAAAATAAGTGTTAATAATAATAGATTTAATGAAATCAAATTTAAAAACAAGTATGTAAAACATTAAGATATTTAGACTTTCAAAATTTGCATAAAAATTCTATGATAGCTTACTTGGTTCATAATTTTTTTTAACCTTCTACTTTGAAAATATTTGTAACCTATGGATAGTTTGCCGGAATGCTACAATGTGCTTCTATAAACTTTTCATCTAGATTCACTAAGTGTTAGCTTTTTGCCAGATTTGCATTTTCCGTCTCTGGGAACTTATTATTGTGGTTAATATTTTTAAAACTTTATACATCTTTTGGTTGCCAGGACACAACACTTTTTGATCTCAGTCAGTTTGGATCATCAAATACAAGTCATGAAAATTTACAGAAAACTGCTTCCAAATCAGCTAACAAACGGTCCAAAAGCATCTATACGCCGCTAGAATTACAATACATAGAAATGAAGCAGCAGCACAAAGATGCAGTTTTGTGTGTGGAATGTGGATATAAGTATAGATTCTTTGGGGAAGATGCAGAGGTAAGTCGTCTTTTCAGGCACTATTTTATATTTTTCTTGTCTAGCCTTAGATATTTTTCAGTATTTTTGTTTCATTTTCTGACCTTATATAAAAGCTGATTTGATCAATCACCTTTTAAAAAATACTGTTATGTAAAGTAAAAACTAAAAATGAACACAAGAAACTTGGTGGGAACCAGACTTGGTGGGAAAAAGTGAGGGGTCTCTATTGGAATGTTAGCGCTTATTCTCCGTGGTACTAGGCCAGTACTTTTTATCCATCCAAAGTTAATTGGATGAGTCAATTAGTGAATAAACCGTAATCATGTAAATATGTTTTCTAATGAAGACTCAAGCAAGAAAACATTTTTGAGATGTATAGAAGTTCCTCTGTTTACTCTTAATTTATGAATTTTCATAGCCAGGAACAAAGTTAAGTCTCAATGGAAGAACACGTGAACTTTACCAGCTACCACCAGAAGTTGTTTGAAGTTTTACAGATCTCTTTGGGTGTCAGTCAACTTGGTGTCTTAGTCTAAATTGGGATTGTGCCAGGTGTGGTGGCTCATGCTTATAATCCCAGCACTTCGGGAAGCTGAGGTGGGTGGATCACTTGAGGTCAGGAGTTTGAGACCAGCCTGGCCAACATGGTGAAACCGCATCTCTACTAAAAATATTAAAAAAATTAGCCCGGTGTGGTGGTGCATGCCTTTAGTCCCAGCTCCTCAGGAGGCTGAGGCAGGAGAGTCGCTTGAACCCGGGAGATGGAGGTTGCAGTGAGCCGAGATCCTGCCATTGCACTCTAGCCTGGGCGGCACAGCAAGACTCTGTCTCAAAAAAAAAAAAAAATTGGGATTGTATTTAATGTTGAAATATTTATTATAGGCCCTAGTCAAGAAGGTTGAAAGTGAAATTTGAACATTTCATAGGCAAACTTAGGGAAAGTATTGCAGATGACACCTTTGTTGGAAGTCATGAATGCTTGTGATGATTCTATAGTTTGGGACCTGGTTGGATTGTACACTAGAGAGTGATGAGGTAGCATGTCTGTGCTTCTTGGATGGGAAGTAAAGACTTGGCCAACTTTTTTTCTTCAAGTTTCCTAAATCCTCTGTGGCAGGCAAGCAGCGTTCTCAAAGTCAGATGCATTATGCAATGTTCTGTGATATTAAATTAGGCTCTGAGATAATGTCACCATGTTTTCTGAGGGCAGGAACAAATATGTAGTTGTCATCCCCTAGGCGAAGGAGAGAAACTGTCTAGGTTAAACGGTAAATTCAGACCTGACCACGGTAAAGGCTGATGTTTTTCTGCCCTTCTGTGAGGGACTAATAGAGTTCAGAGAAGGGGTGAGGTTGGGGAGCGAGAGTGTTAGAATTAGAGTTCCATGGCTTCAGTGGGCAATATCTAAGCCATGGTGCTTTCTAGAGGAAATCAGGGAATCACATGGTGCTTCATGGTTCTATATTTCTATCAGTCGTGCATCATTAATTAGTTAGCCAGCCTGGGGTTTCTCTTTTTACTTTTTCAATGATTTCTCTGTCCGGATGGGTTCATCATTTCTGCATACTCTGTAGTGTCTTCTAAATGTCAGTCATTTGCACATGCCATGTAGCAAATTCTTACTCTTTTACAGTCTCATGATCTCTGTATTGGATAGTCTTTGTGTAGGGAAAGCTCTAAGGATGTAGAAGACCTGTCATATTTTTCTGAGTCTTTTATAGATACAGATGTTGATACTGAAGTTAGGTCACTGGAACTGCCCAAAATACATTAAACCATAGGCTTCTATACAGGGAACATTTTTTTAAACTTTTTATTGACATAGTACACATTTAGATTAAGTGTACAAATCCTAAATGTATACCTTGATTAATTTTTAATAAAGTGAACCAACATCACATAGGGAATCTTAAAATATAAATTTATTGATATTTTCTTTTTTCATTTTTTAGATTGCAGCCCGAGAGCTCAATATTTATTGCCATTTAGATCACAACTTTATGACAGCAAGTATACCTACTCACAGACTGTTTGTTCATGTACGCCGCCTGGTGGCAAAAGGATATAAGGTCAGCTTTGGCTTTAACTTGTGGGGAAAGGAAATTGGGATTCTCCTCCAGAGAGTGCAAACGTGTTTTGTAAGGTGGTAGGTAGGCTTCAATTGGTTTAGAATTTTGCATTTTACAGAACTGAAAGTGTTTCATAATTATTAGTATTATGTATTTATGAGTTTTTAACATATTGTTAGATATTTAGGGTAAATTTTTAAACTCTATGATAGTGTTTCTTAGCAAATTATCCACCCTTGTCAACTCCTTTAAACCCTACATCTGAACGTTGTGGACTGATTATTTTAACCATTTCAGAATTGACGTTTAAACATTTCGAAATGAGTTTTTACAAGTCATTTTTTATCCTTTGATAGCAATATTTCTTATTTTTGTTGAAGGTGGGAGTTGTGAAGCAAACTGAAACTGCAGCATTAAAGGCCATTGGAGACAACAGAAGTTCACTCTTTTCCCGGAAATTGACTGCCCTTTATACAAAATCTACACTTATTGGAGAAGATATCCTTTTTGGACGGGAGTTTTTCTCTTAAATGATACAAGGGCTTTGTTGGCAGGTTTTGTTTGTTTGTTTGTTTGTTTTTTAGTTGCTCTTTGGGAACTTTTTAGATGAGCTGAGAGGCATTAAGGTGAACCCTTGATTAGGTGTGCTATTCAAGAGGGAAGTAGTGGCTGGAAACAAGCATCTTTTCACATGTCATAGTAGAAGGCAAGTTCATCATACTTCAAGAGCAAGAAAAAAAGCAACCCTAATAAAAGACGATGTCAGGTTAGTATCTGATTTGAAATTATATCTTCCTTAGCCCATTTGTGGGAAGTAGTTAGGTGCTTAGGGCCTACAAGCTCCTCAGGGTCTTTCCAAAGTGAGACCTAAAAAGTAACTTATTGAAGCCAGGCGCTGTGGCTCATGCCTTTAATCCCAGCACTTTGGGAGACTGAAGTGGGCAGATTGCTTGAGCCCAGGAGTTTGAGACCAGCCTGGACAACATGGCAAAACCCCATCTCCACAAAAATACAAAAAATTAGCTGGGCATGTTGGCACTTGCCCGTAGTCCCAGCTACTTGGGTGGCTGAGGTGGGACAATCACGTCAGCCTAGGAAGTAGAGGCTGCAGTGAGCCGTGATCATGCCACTGCATTCCAGCCTGGGTGACAGGAGTGAGACCCTGTCTCAAACAAACAAACAAACAAACAAACCAAAAATTCAAAATGTGAAAAGAGAACTGGCTGAAGTCAGAATTAAGACAGAGTTAAATGCCTATAAAATATAGTGGTAGCCCGTCTTCATTAATTGTTAACTTTATAAAAATTTTATTACTTTTGAAAATGGGCTGTGGGTGAAGTTTTCTCACTTGGTAAGAATTTTCAATGTGCATAATGATTGCCCCTAAATTTACGGTCATTTATAAATGCAGTGTGTTATTTGATGCCAAATAATTTCAAAAGCAAAATTGTCAGTTTCAAAAGCCAAATAATTATATGTAAAATTAGACCAGGGTGCATTTAAAAAAAATTACTATGGGGGTGGAATCAGTTCTCTGATAATGGAAGAATGGAGAGATAAGAAGGCCTTAAATGATACTGTGTGAAAGTATTATTTCTGTTATGGTTTATTACAGATCTGCTTATTTCTCAGCTCATCTAATTCTAAGGACTGTTTTGTTCCATGAATACTATAAATAGGGAACAGCTATCACTCAAAATGGGCTCCAAACTATTAACAGCCTTGTGTTGTTCTAAGCTGATCAGGCTGTAAGAACCTGGTATTTTTATTTTTTCTTTTGCTAAAGCTTGAGTCTGTTATTTGAAGCCCATTTCTAGTACAGTCCCCCTCCCTGCTTTTCCTTTGCTGCTTTTATGGGTCCTATGTCCTGATGTCCAAAGATATGTCCAGACTTTGCCCCAAATCAGCTTTCATCCCTGAGATTTAGTTAATGGACTCATTTTATACACACATACACAGACATACATGCACATATAATGTATATATGTTTCTGTTTTCTCATGTCTTTAAAAAATTGTCTTGCTATATCTGGGAGCTTTTAGGTACATTAAAAAAGGAAAATAATTTACACCCTTTTAGTGTATTTATACTTTGAATTGTGGAATTAAACATTATGGGATTGTTAAGGATTCAAGTCTCAGCATCATCCAAGTGATGAAGTGGGTTGATATTTGGGCCTCCATGGGGTCTGGTGTACTCCACTAAGCCCTTTGGAAGTAAGATACTGGTTATCTGTCTTTATGCTCTTTATATCTTAGGAAAGATAAGGCATGCAACTATGATCCAAATAAATCAGAAGAATGAATACTGGGCAGAAGATTTTTGCAAAGGGCAGAAGTACTGTGTGAAATGAACCATCATTTTATTATTTTTTTCTTTATTTTTATTTTTTTATTTTGTAGAGACAGCATCTTGCTTTGTTGCCCAGGGTGGTCTCTCAAACTCCTAGCCTTAAGTAATCCTACCACCTTGGCCTCCTAAAGTGCTGGGATTACAGGTGTGAGCCACTGCGCCTGGCTGTGAACCATTATTTTAAAGGAGAAAATAGTTAATATTATTGGAAATTTAGCATATTAGGATTTAGAATTTAGCATATAATTATTTTTCTTTAATTATTATTAAATGTGAATCCCCTAATCAAGCTGGATGATGCTGTAAATGTTGATGAGATAATGACTGATACTTCTACCAGCTATCTTCTGTGCATCTCTGAAAATAAGGAAAATGTTAGGGACAAAAAAAAGGGCAACATTTTTATTGGCATTGTGGTAAGTACTTTGCAGGTGAGGAACAAATGTTAGATGTTCATGGTATCTCTAAATATGATCTATCATGTATGGTTTATAATAAGGATATCTGATGAAGTGTACCTTCAGATAATTATACAAGAAAAACATTTTTCTCACAATATTATATGTTAAATCGCTAGTTACAATTTTCTCATGGCTACTTGGTACTTGTAGCAGTCCATTCTCACGTTGCTATAAAGAACCACTTGAGACTGGGTAATTTATAAAGAAAAGAGGTTTAATTGGCTCATGGTTCCACAGGCTGTACAGGAAGCATGGCTGAGGAGGCCTCAGGAAACTTACAATCATGGCGAAAGGCGAAGGGGAAGCAGTGACATCTTCACAAGCACAAGGCTAGCAGGAGAGAGAGTGAAGGGGGAAGTGCTACACACTTTTAAACAACCAGATATTGTGAGAACTGTCATGAGAACAGCAAGGAGGAAATCTGGCCTCACAATCTAATCACCTCCCACCAGGTCTCCCCCTCAGCATTGGGGATTACAATTCAACATGAGGTTTGGGTGGGGACACAGCCAAACCATATCAATACTCTATGCTATGGAGAGATCCAGATGGTCTTGGTCCATGTGCCCTGAGATTTTAAGGTTGAAGATAGACACAATGGCAGACATATGTGTGGACAATGTACAGATAGCAGAATAAAACACTAAGCCAACACAAGCATGGTGGCAAAGTGTTCTATAAATTTCCTCTAGGGATTTGAAATTAAACATGAATGACTATGGTATTATATCTAGATTTGGAGGAGGGGATAGTTAAAGAGAAATGATAATTGGCTGATATAAAATACCATACTAAATTAATATTAGGATTATTTACAGTCAGTTTTCTAGATAAATGTAATTTGTGAATTATAGTTTTATTTATTTATTTCTTTGAGACGGAGTTTCACCCTTGTCACCCAGGCTGGAGTGCAATGGCGTGATCTTGGCTCACTGCAACCTCTGCCTCCTAGGTTCAAGCAATTCTCCTGCCTCAGCCTCCCGAGTAGCTGGGACTACAGTCACCCACCATCATACCAGGCTAATTTTTGTATTTTTAGTAGAAATGGGGTTTCACCACGTTGGACAGGCTGGTCTTGAACTCCTGACCTCAGGTGATCAGCCCACCTCGGCCTCCCAAAATGTTAGGATTACAGGCGTGAGCCACCACGCCTGGCCAACTCATAGTTTTATTGATTTTCTGGCAGTTTATGAATAAATTTGCTCATTTACAGACTTACGTGGACTCTGCTAAAGGTCTTAGACTTTTTAAGGCCCTTCAGAACAATCAGACACCCCTTTTCTGTTGTAAGTTAAGCACAAATGGAACTCTGTCCAAGTGAAAACTAATTCTCTTTGCTTTTTCTAATTTCTACGGTCAGTGGCAATATCAACAAAAATTCTTACCATCTGAATGTCTCCAATGTGCCTTTTAATACCTTATTTTGACTGCATAACTCTGTGTTAACTTGACATTTGCTTAACCAATAAGCCCTTCTTTCAGAGAGTTAGCATTCCTGTTGGTGTTAGACAGCTCTAAATGATATTTTTATCCTTGAGAAGCACGTTTTATCTAGCTACAGGCATTTGGACCTATATACAAATAGTAAAGTTATTTACTTTTAAGCTTTAACATATGTAATGTGCTATTTTATATTTACCTAAAACTCCTTCTAAAGAACAGAGTTGATAGTATATAATTCCTACTTAGTGCATTTAGAAATACCATCTGGCTTACCGCCAGAGTTAACCATGTGTGCGAACTGGGACTCGGAAAAATGAAAACAGCCGTTTGCCCTTCAAGCATTTTCTTTGGGGCTGTCCTTTACTTCAGCAACCACTTTTGGGCTGATGACATCCTGAGCTCTGGGTCCAGGCTGCACCTCTCTCGAGCTCCAGGCTCCTGCATCCAAATTTTTATTGAACAGAGATACTTAGAATTTACTCTGGCTCCTCAAACTCAGTGTGGCCAAAATTGATCTTATCTTCTTTTACCCTCGACACTGTTTTCCCTGTCACAATGGGTGTCACTCATTGCCTGGTCAGTACCTGGGAGTCACCTTTTGAGTATTGGTAATTAGTCTGAAATTCAAAGGGCTTTGCTGTTGTAGTATCACTGCAGTCAGGCTCTGTGCCTTCAGTCTGGGCAGTGCAGTTTTATACACACTGATTTTAGGTTTCTCAGTGTGATACATATCACACAGGGTGATAGATATTGTGGGTATTACAGTGTAGACCATTTCTCTGATTAAAGAAAAAGGGAATTTGGCTGACTGAAAAATTTGTTACTTTAACATCTGTACCTGGTTTTTGTAAATGCTTGGTTTGTAGATTGGTATATAAATTTACATGTGTATCCTTATGTACTGATAGTCCATCTCTCTAGGCTCTAGAGAAAGCCTCTGGGCTAGAATTAAGGATGTTCCTTAATTACAGTTAGAGGAGCTATAACACTGCCTCCAACCCATAAGATCCCTGGGTGTCCATTCCCTCCAGAGGTGTCTGTAATCCAGACTTTGAAGATGATAATTTCCTTGCTTTTAGTTGGAGCTTCTAGTTCCAGCCTTGCCACCTTAAACGTTATATACAAATGTAAATATAGTGTGTGTATTCTTTTGGGTTTTGCTCCTTTTGTTTACCATTTTGTATGTGAGATTTATTTACATGTGTCGCTGTAGTTCTCTCATTGCCTTTTCCTATTTCATTTTATGATCTACAGTTTATTCATTCCTGTTGATGGACATGTGCATTCTTTCTAGTTTACAGTTGTACAGAGAATGCTGCTGTAAATATTTTTGTATGTCTTGTATCGTATACAAATGCCTGAGTTTCTCCAGAGTATATCCTTGGGGGAGGAATTGCTGAATTATAGGGTGTGGATACTTCAACATTCCTAGATAATGCCTTGCTGTTGTCAGAAGTGGCTTTCCATCAGTAGTATATGAACATAGGGATTGGTGATTTTTCCTCTTTTTAGCTAATGCAGCCTGTAACTAGCCCCCATGGCTTTCATAAGCATCCGTAGTGGCTAACAGTGTGGATTGGGGAGTAGTCAGATTTCCTGGGTTTGAATCTTGACTCTACTCCATTGTCACTCTGGGACCTTGGCTAGAAACTTCCTATCACTTCTCCAAACCATGATCTTTTCCAGTTTATCTTTGCTATTATTGGCTTAGGATGTTAGGGAGCAGGTTCAAGTTGGCATGATTATTCTACTGGATAGACTGTCTACTTGGGCTTCATTCAGAGTTTGATAAAGTATACATTTTATGTGTTACTTTGATGTATGAAGTAGTAATTTACTACAGTACTGGTGGTCTGGTTACTAGGACCATGTCACTTGTTACTTTGAGTGATAACTACTATTTGTACAGTGCTTTATAGTTTACAAATAATTCCTGTTTATTTTATAATTTGATCCTTACAATAACCTTATGAGAGAAGTAGGCTGGTTTGGTTCCATTTACAGAGGAAGAAACTGAGGCCTGGCAGTGTTTGGTAACTTGCCATAGTCACTCCGTTAGGTATATTAACTCCAGGCCTTGTATTCAGGGCGGCTCTCGGAAATCTGATTTATAGTATCATTTAGATATCTGTGAGTCTGACTCTTCGTGTAAGAGTCCTGAAAAGCAGACAGGTTTCTAACACTTTAGAAATAGAGTACATACATACTCCTGAGTGTATCATCTTTACTTTTTCCATGTTTATGCTGTGTTATAGCCATAACTGGGGAAATACATTTTTTCTGTAACATTATATTTGTATTTGTTTTTAGGGAGTGCAGCCTGCCACAGGCGAGGTTGTGTTTGATAGTTTCCAGGACTCTGCTTCTCGTTCAGAGCTAGAAACCCGGATGTCAAGCCTGCAGCCAGTAGAGCTGCTGCTTCCTTCGGCCTTGTCCGAGCAAACAGAGGCGCTCATCCACAGAGCCACATCTGTTAGGTAAGTTGGCACATCACTGGAATATAATACCGATTCTGAAACTTAGGTTTAGTTCCAAAACTGATACTTATTAAAGTTGCTAAAAATAGTTTTTACTTACAAAAATTATATTTCCACTGTAGTAGTGGAAATTTAAAAAAAAAAGTAAAACAACAAAGCTGGGCATGGTGGCACATGCATGTAATCTCAGCCACTTGGGAGGCTGAGGAGGAAGGATTGCTTGAGCCCCGGAATCTGAGACCAGCCTGGGCAACTAAGGTGAGATCTCATATCTAAAAAACAAATAGAAGAAACACCACCTACCCCTACTATCACCTTAATGTAGAACTTTAGAAGGCAGTCTTTTTGAAGAGGTTTCTGATATTTAATGATATTATTTGATAATTATGGGGTTTATGATATTTAATTATTGGTAATCTTCAGTTTCTAGAGATAATTTAGAGTTCACTTCTTACAAAGTTTATGTAACTTTGGAGATGCTTTGTCTGTGCTGCAAGTTTCAATTCATGGCTGTGTCCAGTGGTTTTGTTTACTGGATCTAAGATCAGACCACTTACGTATGAAGCAGTGTGCTAGGCGCTGTGCGTACAGAGGAAGAAGATGTGGTTATGATATATGTCTGGCAGAGTTTACAACCTCACATGAGAGTCAGATGTGTGCATACCTAACTGGACTTAAAGGCATGATGTATTAAGTGCTAAACGTGAAGGTGCCTTGTTGGAAAGACTCCGTACTGCCACCTGGAGTGTGGTGGGAAAGAGACCAGAAAGGTGTGCTGGGGCTTCAGCGAAGTAGACTGTATATTGACGAATTTGGACTTTGGACTAGGCAGAGAAGCCCATGAGGATTTTCATGTAGTAGGTAGACAAATCATTTAGAAAATCGAGGCCAGGCACGGTGGCTCACGCCTGTAATCCTAGCACTTTGGGAGGCTGAGGCGGGTGGATCACCTGAGGTCAGCAGTTCAAGACAGCTTGGCCAAAACCCCGTTTCTACTAAAAAAAAAAAATACAAAAATTAGCTGGGTGTGGTGGCAGACACCTGTATTCCCAGCTACCCCGGAGGCTGAGGCAGGATAATCGCTTGAACTTGGGAAGCAGAGGTTGCAATGAGCCAAGATCACACCACTTCACTCCAGCCTGGGCGAAAGAGCAAGACTCTTATCTCAAAAAAAAAAAAAGAAAATCAAACTGATTGATTAAGTGAAGTTCCATATGTTTCTTTGTCCTTAGTGTTGTGTTCATTTTCATTTGAATTTAATTTCTTTCGAAGTAGCTTTCATAATTTGTTTTTCTGATTATAAAACTAATATATGTTCATTCAGAAGACAAAAAAAAAAGGATAAATTCATAAGTTGAATTCTGTAACCCAGAGAAAATGACTGTTAAACATTTTGGCACATTATTTCCGTGTGTGTATATCACTTTTTTCCATTTGTGAACTTGCATTCCTGCTGCAAAATCACTTTTCTATTCTGTGGTTTTTTTTTTTTTAACTTTACAATTCCCCATTTTTAAAAACTTTATTGCAGAACATTTCAAACATACACAAAATTATACAGAATAGTGTCATGAACTCCTGTCACTCTATTAGCCAGCTTCAGCATTTCTCAGGACCATTCTCATTTTTCTACACTCCCTCCCCTTTTCTCTCTCCCTTGATTATTGGCTTTGAAGCAAATCCTAGGGAGCATCAGTTTATCCTCTAATATTTCAGTAGGTACCCTTAAAAACAAAATAAGTACATGACATTGTCATATAAGTGTATCATAATTTATCCATTCCATTTTTATTATATTCATTTTTCCAGTATTATAAATACTGTTATGATGAATATCCATATACAGAAATACTCATGTGCGTTTCTGATGATTTCCTTAAGATAAATTCCTGAAAATGGAATTAACTGGATCAGAAGGTATGAATGTTTATAAAGCTCTTGATTGCTTGCTAGAAATGGTAATATCAATTTATACTTCTACCAGTATAGTCTAGGAGGGTTCTTTGAACCTTTGCTCACATTGAGGGTGATCATTTAAATAATCTTTGCCAGTCACATAGATGAAAAATTTTGCATCAAATCTCTTCATTTTGATCTTAATCCTTTTCTGACCATGTGTTCAAACTTGAATAATTAAAAGTCAAACAGTAAACTTGTAAGGAGAGCTGCTTTTACAGAACTAAAAAAATTAATAAAATCTGGAAAAAAATTTTTAAAGGTAGGCTTCTATATTGTATTTTCAATATTTCCTATCATTTCCTTGCTAGAAATGGTAATATGAGAAATGGTGATCAAGAGCTTTATAAACATTCATACCCTCTGATCCAGTTAATTCCATTTTCAGGAATTTATCTTAAGGAAATCATCAGAAATGCACATGAATATTTCTATATATGGATATTCATCATAACAGTATTTGTAATACTGAAAAAATGAATATAGAAATGGAATGGATAAATTATGATAAATTATGATAAATGGATAAATTATGATTTCCTGTCTTTGATTTAGTTCATTTTTCTTTATATTTTATTAACTTAGTATATATTTTATTAACTTAGTATATATTTTATTAATTTAGATTGAGTAAAGTCAATCAATTTTATCAACACATTCATTTTTTTGTTTTCTGCTTAATTTTATAAAATAACAATGGCGAAATTCAATAAAATATCAAAATATTTCATAATGACATTGTCAAAAGTGAATTTTTGTTTGTCAAGCAGCATTCATTGACTGGTGATATTCCTAAATGTTTGTTCATCACATGAGATTTAAAAGCTTGAATTTGGCATATCAAAGATAATTTAGGTGTCTTATGTGGGTTTTACCAAATTTAATGCCTGCTTTTGTCTTATTTTAATTTGAATTTCTCTAGTTAGCATTGTAAATAATTTTCTCTATGTTTACTGACCGTGTGTAATTTTTCAATCTTTGCACTTTTTTTTGTATCCTTTGATCATTTTCACTTTATTTGCATATTGGACTAAGCGAAGTCAAAAGTTAAATCTGCATTTCTGTGGAGTTCCTACAGCTAATTTATATCTATGGACAGAATGAAGTAGAGGAAATTCAAAAGTTAGCAGGGGTCAAACAGTGTGGACTCTTGTGACTCAGGGTTTGAGTTGGAAAACTAGCTCTTCCCTTTAGTGACTTTGAGTAAGTTATCTACTGTATTGTCCTTCAGTGTCCTTTATATTGGGGGTATTAAGAGTGCTTACCTCATGGGGTTGTTGTGAGGATTAAATAAGTTAATATAGGTAAAGCGCCTGAAATAGTACCTGCTGTAGAAGGCTCTCTGTAAGAGGAAGTTTTTTTTTTTATATTTTAATTAAATTTTCTGTGGCTGGGCGCAGTGGCTTATGCTTGTAATCCCAGCAGTTTGGGAGGCCAAGTCAGGCGGATCACAAGATCAGGAGTTCGAGACCAGCCTGACCAACATGGTGAAACCCCATCTCTACTAAAAATACAAAAATTAGCCAGGCATGGCTAAAGTTTTTTGTAGGTACATAATAGATGTATATATTTATGGGTTACATGAGATACTTTCATACAGGCATACAATGCATAATAATTACATCAGGGTAAATGGGGTATCCATCTCCTCAAGCATTTATCCTTTGTGTTACAAACAACCCAATTATACTCTTTTAGTTATTTTAAAATGTACAATTAAATGATTTTTGACTGTAGTCATTCTGTTGCACTATCAAATGCTAGGTCTTATTCTTTCTATTTTTTTTGTACCCATTAACCATCCCCAGTTCCCTTCTCAGCCTCTGGTAGCCATCTTTCTACTCTCTATCTCCATGAGTTCAGTTGTTTTAATTTTTAGCTCCCACAAGTAGGTGAGAACATGCAAAGTTTATCTTTCTGTGCCTGGCTTATTTCATGTAAAATAATGACCTCCAGTTCCATCCATGTTGTTGCAAATGACAGGATCTCATTCCTTTTCATGGCAGAATGCTACTCCATTGTATATATGTACTACATTTTCTTTACCCATTTGTCTGCTGACAGACACCTGGGTGCTCGCAAATCTTAGCTCTTGTGAATAGTGCTGTAGTAAACATGGGAGTGCACATATCTCTTCTATATACTGATTTCCCTTCTTTTGAGTATATATCTAGCAGTGGGATTGCTGGATCATGTGGTAGTTCTATTTTTAGTTTTTTGGTAGTTTTTTTTCAAACTACTCTCCATAGTGGTTGTACTAATTTACATTCCCACCAACAGTCTGTGAGGGTTCCCTTTTCTCCACATCCTCACCAGCATTTATTATTGCATGTCTTTGGATAAAAGCCATTTTAACTGAGGTGAGATGGTATCTCATTGTAGTTTTGATTTGGATTTCTGTAATGAACGATGGTGTTGAGAGCTTTTCACATACCAGGCTGCCATTGTATGTCTTCTTTTGAGAAATGTCTATTCAATTTGTCTATTTTTAAATTGGATAATTAGATTTTTCCTGTAGAGTTGTTTGAGCTCCTTATATATTGTGGTTATTAATCCCTTGTCACATGGGTGGTCTACATACATTTTCTTCCATTCCATGGGTTGTCTCTTCACTTTGTTGATTGTTTCTGTTGCTGTGCAGAAGCTTTTTAACTTCATGTGATCCCATTTGTCCATCTTTGCTTTGGTTGCCCTATTAAGAAATCTTTGCCCAGTTCAGTGTTCTGGAGAGTTTCCCCAATGTTTTATTTTAGTCATTTCATAGTGTGACATTTTAGATTTAAGTCTTTAATCCATTTTTGATTTGATTTTTGTATATGGTGAGAGATAGGGTCTAGTTTCATTGTTCTGCATATGGATGTCCAGTTTTCCCAGCACCATTTGTTGAAAAGATTCTTTCCTCAGTGTATGTTCTTGGCACCATTGTCAAAAATGAGTTCACTGTAGATGTATGGATTTATTTCTGGGTTTTCTGTTCTGTTCCAGTGGTCTGTGTGTCTGTTTTTATGCCAGTACCATGCCATTTTGGTTACTATAGCTCTGTAGTATAATTTGAAGTCAGGTAATGTGATACCTCCAATTTTGTCCTTTTTGCTTAGGATATATTTGGCTATTCTGAGTCTTTCGTTGCTCATATACATTTTAGGCTAATTTTTTCCATTTCTGTGAAAAATGTCACTGATATTTTGATAGGGATTGCGTTGAATCTGTAGATTGCTTTGGGTAGTATGGATGTTTGAACTATTCTTCCAATTCATGAACATGTAATATCTTTCCCTTTTTTGTGTGTTCTCTTCAATGTTTTACATCAGTGTTTTATAGTTTTCATTGTAGAGATCTTTCACTTCTTTGGTTAACTCCTAGATATTTTATTTTATTTGTAGCTATTGTAAATGGGATTACTTTTTTGATTTCTTTTTCATATTGTTCACTGTTAGCATATAGAAATGCTGCTGGTTTTTTGTATGTTGATTTTGTGTCCTGCAACTTTACTGAATTTGTTTGATCAGTTCTGACAGTTTTTTGGTAGTCTTTAGGTTTTTCCAAATGTAAGTTCATCTCATCTGCAAACAAGAATAATTAGACGTCCTCCTTTCCAATTTGGATGCCCTTTATTTCTTTGTCTTGTCTGATTGCCCTAGTTAGGACTATTATGTTGAATAGCAGTGGTGGTAGTGGGCATCATTATCGTACTTAGAGGAAAGGCTTGCAATATTTCTCAATTCAGTATGATAATAGCTGTGGGTCTGTTTTATATGTTGCTTTTGTTATGTTGAGGTATGTTCCTTCTATACCCAGTTGTTTGAGAGTTTTTATTATGAAGCGTTGTTGAATTTTATCAAATCCTTTTTCAGCATCAAATGAAATGATTATGTGTTTTTTTTTCTTCATTCTGTTAATATGATGTATCATAGTGACTGATTTGCATATGTTGAACCGTCTTTGCATCTCTGTGATAAATTCTACTTGGTCATGATAAATGATATTTTTAATGTGTTGTTGAATTCAGTTTGCTAGTATTTTGCTGAGGATTTTCGCATCAATATTCATCAAGAGATATTGGCCTCTAATTTTCTTTATTTGATATGAATTTGTCTCATTCTGGTATCAGGGTAATACTGGCCTCGTAGAATGAGTTTGGAAGTATTCTCCTTTTTTTTTTTTTTTTTTTTTTCCCAGAATAGTTTGAGGAAAATGGGTCTAGTTCTTTAAATGTTTGGTAGGATTCAGCAGTGAAGCTATTGGGTCCTGGGCTTTTCTTTGCTGGGAGACTTTATTATGGCTTCAATCTCGTTACTTGTTATTGGTCTGTTCAGGTTTTGGATTTCTTCGTGGTTCAATCTTGGTGGATTGTGTGTGTTTAGGAATTTATCCATTTCTTCTAGATTTTCGGATTTATTGGCATATGGTTGCTCATAGTAACCACTAATGATCCTTTGAATTCCTGTAGTATCAGTAGTAATGTCTTCTTTCTCATCTCTAATTTTGTTTATTTGGGGTTTCTCTCTTTTTTCACAGTCTGGGAAAGTCTTACCAATTTTATCTTTTCAAAAAACTAACTTTTGGTTTGTTGATCTTTTGTATTTTCTTTGTTTCAGTTTCATTTATTTCTGCTCTGATTTTTATTTTTATTTTATATTAATTTTGGGTTTGGTTTGCTCTTGCTTTTCTAGTTCTTCAAGGTTTATCATTTGGTTATTTATTTGAAATGTTTCCTCTTTTTTCATGTAGGTGCTTTTAGCTATAAACTTCCCTCTTAGTACAGCCGTCACTGTATCACATAGGTTTTGGTATGTGTTTTCATTATCATTTGTTTCAAGAAATTTTTAAATTTCCTTGTTGATCTCTTCATTGACCCACTGGCCATTCAGGAGCATATTGTTTAATTTCCATGTGTTTGTATAGTTTCCAAAATTATTCTTGTTTTCGATTTCTAGTTTTATTTCATTGTGGTCAGAGAAGATTCTTGATATTATTTCAGTTTTTTGAATGTTTTAAGACTTGTTTTGTGACCTAACATATGATCTAATCTCGAGAATGTTTAGATCATTCATGCTATAATGATCAGATCCTCTACATGCTGAGGAAAAGAAAGTGTATTCTGCAACCATTGAATGAAATGTTCTCTAAATATCTATTAGGATCATTTGGTCTGTAGTAAAGATTAAGTCTGACGTTTCTTTATTGATTTTCTGTCTGGAAGATCTGTCCAATGATGAAAGTGGGGTGTTGAAGTATCCAGCTGCTATTTTTTTTCTCTCTCTTTTTTTTGAGACAGAGTCTTGCTCTGTCACCCAGGGGGCAGTGCAGTGGCATGATCTCAGTACACTGCAACCTCTGCCTCCCGGGTTTAAGCGATTCTCGTGCCTCAGCCTCCCGAGTAGCTGGGATTACAGGCGTGCACCACCACGCCTGGCTAATTTTTTTTGTATTTTAGTAGAGACAGGATACGGGGTTTCACCATGTTGTCCAGGCTGGTCTCGAACTCCTGACCTCAAGTGATCCGCCTGCCTCAGGCATGTATATTTACAATTATCGTATCCTTTTGCTGAATTGACCCCTTTGTCATTATATAATGACCTTCTTTGTTTCCATATTTACAACCAGTAAACAATACAGTATTAAATTTGCAAGTACAAAATTTGTTTTGTTTTTGGTGATATCTTCTTGTCTGTTTTAAACACTGGTAAGTAGTTTCTTGTATCTCAGACTAAGTACCCCATTTTTTTCTTATGCTATATACCTAAAGGTAAAAACAGCAGTTTTTGTCAGTTACTGGTTAATAATATTTTATTAATTTTGAAGACATAATATGTTAAAGCTGTGTGAGGAAAGGCAAAAGAATGGCTTGGAATTGTGGAGTGTCTATCTTAAAATATTAGGGTTTTTGGTATTCTTAACTTTAACCACAAGAGGTCTCCAAAGGATTTGATATTTTGTGAATTACTGTTTAATGGTTACTAAAATCTTCACATTTCTTTTTATATCTGAAAGTACAGGTTTATTTACTTTGTATCATATTGTGACTTAGAACAAATATTAGAGATGATAGTAATCTAAAATTATTACTCCTAAATAATGATACACTATCAATTTTTCTTAGATTATTTATTTTTATTTATGTAAAGTATGTTTGTAAGATTTCAGCCTGTGTCTTAGGGAATCAGTCTTACTATCTTGTTACACTTTCTTTTGTTGTAAAAATGTAGAGAAAGAAACAAATGGAAAGCAATAGTCTCGAGCCCTTTATCAATTGCAGTTAAGGTTGCTTTAGCTTAGAAATGTTGTATGTTTATAGAAATGGTTGAGAGGAAAGCTTTAGAAAGCGATAAACAAATAATATTTACTAGTTCTCAAGGAAACTGACTTTTCAGGTGAATCAGGTGAACATCACAAATGACACTCAATTTTGCGTTCAAAGAAATGAGAGCTTCCTGAGCACTGGCATAGCCAAGGAAGGCTGTATGAAGGAGGTGGGGTAGGCTGGTACATTTGCAGAATAGAAGGCTTTGAGTTGGTAATGGGGAGGGGGGAAGGGTATGTTGTGTGTGTATGGAAATGATATGAGGTCTGAGGCACACAGGCTGGAAATATTAGAGAAGTGTGAAGACAGAAGGGAGATTTCTCTGATTAGAGGGAACTTTCATGTTGAGAATTGAGAAAGAAAGGGTGAAGGCCTATGAAATCCAGCAAACTGGTATGGATTCCTGTAGAAGGCAGTAAGGTTTCTGGGAAAAGGAATGGCATGATAGAAGGGAAGAGATGAGTGTACTGCCTAGATGGGACAGTTGAATTTTAAAAATAAATATTTCCCTAAAGGAAAAAGCGGATACAGAGAAAAGAATCAGATCAAGGAGCTTAGAGAATGCCAATAGTTGGGAATAGGAGCAAGAATACAAACAGAAGGGGAGGAATTAAAGAGCTAGGTGGAGAACCAGGACAAGGTAGGGATGTGTAGTTATAATTTGTCACACGTGGTATAACCAATGATGTGAGCTAATTTTTTACATTATTGACTCTGTTATAGTTTACTGAAACTGTATGACATTCAGAAAGATACTTGGTTAAAAACTAGCCTTAGCTCATTGATATCATTTGAAAAAGACATGTGGAAGAATGTCCTGTGGTACCACAGTGACTTTAGCTATCTGACCTTTGAAATAAATGCTTGAACACATAAGTGCTTCCTCAAAGATAGATGTGTATGCTGCAGATTTAAAGAAAACATTGAAATCTTAATGTTGGGGAATAAGAATAACCTCTACTATGTTTACTTTCAGTGTTAGAAATACCTTATTATTATGTCTTTTTGGCCACAGAGAGCCTTACATCATCTGAGGTTTAACCAAAAGTATTATCTAACATGATTCTTTATGCGGAGGCATAGTACCACCTGAATGTCACTTATGGTGACACGTGTTTGAAATTACCATAGTAGCATTTTCATTTTGTGTTCATCTCTTATTAAATTAATTTATATAGTAGAAATCACTTATTACTTTATGTTATTGTACTTTGACTTTCAAGTTTTTAATGGAAAATATTTAGCAGAGTTTTGGTGCCAAAATGAAGTGATAACTGTGAGACTATATAATTATCAGAGGAATTGTTATGCAAATTAGGTATCTGTGTTATGACTGAAGTCCAACTTCTTTCTAATGTCATTTGAATTAAACATTAGTATAAAGGTTTCAATTTTTTTTTTTTTAAAGAATGAGAGTAAAAGAAACAACAGGTCTTACTCATTAATTTGGTTAAGAGGAAGTGCTTCACACATACGAAATGTTATTAAGTGGTCGGTACTTGATGGTACCAATTTCGTGATTGCAGTGTTACAGTTCTATCAAAGTTTAATAAGCTCAATTCTGTGGGTTCATATGAAGTCATTTCAATATAATTCTTAGATATTTAGAGCCAAGTAAATGTGGAATGGCATACCAAACAGTGGGTAGCATATAGATATGAATAACATGGTGCCTAAATTAGGTGGGAAGGTGGGACTGGGTAGAAAGAGGGCATTCCAGGAAGTGTGGTCACAGGATGAGAAAAGGGAATTGGGAACATCGAGTTGACTGGAGTGTTAGGAAAATATGGGTCAAGAGTAGCCTGCAACAGAATGTAGTGCAGAAGAGCTGTTCAGTGAGTATTTGCTGAATGATTATGTTTAAGGCCAGAGAGGAAGACTGGAGCTGTTTCATTGAGGATGCTGGCTGGGCACTAGTGGGAGGAGCTTATACTTTATTTAGATGTTTCTCAAATTTGGCCTACCAACCTTTTAATTTACTACTTTGTGTTAGAATTTTCTTATTTAAATTTGTTAAATTATAATTTTAAAATTTACAAAGTTAATACATGTTTGTTGTAAAAGTGAAAAAAGTCTATTTTAAAGGAAAAAATAATTCTTGCTAACCTCCTCACCCATTTCACTTAAATTAGTTTTATTATAATGTGACTTAAATATTTATAAACTGAAAACTTAGTGCTCTAGGTTTTATACCTATTTTAACAGGAATAAAGTCCAAGCAAAATTTGAGATTAAAGTAAATGTATGAAACAAATAAAATATAAATGAATGATTGTTTGGTATGAAGGGTGATGTTCTGCTGCTAAAAATAAACTGTTCCTACCAGTTCAAGGGGATATATCCCCAACGGAAGACCGAGTTCTTTTTTTTTTTTTTTGATCTTTATTTTATTTTATTTTATTTTGAGCAGTTTGAGGCTCACAGCAAAGTTGAGAGTAAGGTACAGAATAAAAGTGTCATATCATCAGTATTCTCCACCAGATCCTGTGCTATGATATTGCTGTAATATGCTGTGTAAAGGCTCAAACCTTTCCTGCATGATTTTTTTAAAGAGTAGGGGTCTCGCTCTGCTGTCCAAGCTGGATTGCAGTGGTGCGGTCATAGCTCATTGCAGCCTTGAACTCCTGGGCTCAAGAGATCCTCTCACTTCAGCCTCCTGAGCAGCATACTAATCAGGCACATACCTGTAGTCCTGGCTACTCAGGCATGCACCACCCCTTACAGCTAATTTTTTAAAAAAAATTTTGTAGAGATGGGTTCTGGCTATTTTGCCCAGGCTGGTCTCGAACTTCTGGCCTGAAGTGATGCTCTCACCTCAGCCTTGCGAGTTCTTGGAATTATAGGCATGAGCGACTGCATTTAGCATCTTCCAGTCTTTTTCTTTCTTCAAACCACAGTATGACTTAAGTGGTTTGCCCTCCGTTGGGTACCAGTGTACCAGTTCCATTTTTGTTGTTGTTGTTGTTGTTTTTGAGAGGAAGTCTTGCTCTGTCACCCAGACTGGAGTGCAGTGGCACAATCTTGGCTCACTGCAACCTCTGCCTCCTGGGTTCAAGCGATTCTTCTGCCTCAGACTCCCCAGTAGCTGGGATTACAGGCGCCCGCCACCACACCCGGCTAATTTTTGTATTTTTGTAGAGACGTATTTTCGTAGGGGTTTCGCTGTGTAGGTCAAACTGGTCTCGAACTCCTGACCTCAAATGATCCGTCCGCCTTGGCCTCCAAATTGCTGGGATTACAGACGTGAGCCACTGCACCTAGCCATCCAGTTCAATTTTAAAACTACTGTTTTATTTTTCTCATTAAACTTTAACCGTTAAGTGCTCCTTATTACTAATGTGATCTTAAACATAAACAGAAATGCAGAAACTGAAGCACGTAGCAATATTCATTTTAAAAGCTGATAATCCAGTTGATCTAAGACCTTAACCTAAGATCATGAAATCAGTTCGGTAGGTTGTGACTAACATTTTAAAAAAATACAGTAGAAGTTACCAGAGTATATCACGTGTAGTAAGGGTAAGTATTTCATGAAATTCCTTTTTTTCAGTTTTATCTGTTTATAGATAATCTGTCTGTATATGCCTTCTAATCCTCTCTCCAATTCCTATCATGTTTGTAATTGTCCATGAAAATAATTAAACTCATAATTTAATATATTAATATGATTAATAAATGTTATTCATAGATTATTTTATATATACATTCTTATTACCTGAAACTGATCAGATACTGCCCAGAAATATATTTTTGAATAGCACAACTGAAAAGTAGTTAATATTTAGACTACGTATTTAAAATCCTAAAGCTGACATGATTCACAGACCAGATATTGCCTACATAGAAAATCTAGAAGTGACAAATTATCAGAAGTAATAAGAATTCAGCAATGCCATTAAATATAAGATCAGTTTATAAAAATGAATAGTGTTTCAGTACAGCAGCAACAAATAGAAAATGAAAAAAATTTTAAAAGATACTATTTAAAATAGCAACCACAATAATATTATCTAAGACTCTATTTACCAAAAAGAAAATAAGGTCTTAACGAAAATTTGGAAACTTTACTGAAAGATATTAAAGAACTAAATAAATACTGGAAAGATGCAACACGTTCATGAATGGAAAGATTCAGCATAAAGATATCAGTTCTCCTTAATATAAATTCAATGCAATTCTTTTTTTTTTTTAAATAACAATTTTGTGAGTACATAGTAGGGTACAAGAGATGTTTTTCAGTGCAATTCTAATCAAAAGGGCAATGAGGTTTTTCACAGAAACTGACAAGCTGCTTTTAAAAAGATAGATCAAAGGGCCAATAATAAGTAAGACAGCACTGAAAGACTTAGAGCTATTTGCCCTATCAAAACTCAAAACTTACATATATATGTGTGTGTATATATATATTTATATATGTACATATATATGTTTATATATTTATATAAATATATCTAAATATATATGTATGTTTATATAGATAAATAAACATGTATATATTTATATAGCTAAACATGTATGTTTATATAGATAAACGTGTATATGTTTATATAGATAAACATGTATATGTTTATATAGATAAACATGTATATGTTTATATAGATAAACATGTATATGTTTATATAGATAAACATGTATATGTTTAGATAGATAAACATGTATATGTTTAGATAGATAAACAGTATGTTTAGATAGATAAACATGTATATGTTTAGATAGATAGATAAACATGTATATGTTTAGATAGATAGATAAACATGTATATGTTTAGATAGATAGATAAACATGTATATGTTTAGATAGATAGATAAACATGTATATGTTTAGATAGATAAACATGTATATGTTTAGATAGATAAACATGTATATGTTTAGATAGATAAACATGTATATGTTTAGATAGATAGATAAACATGTATATGTTAGATAGATAGATAAACATGTATATGTTAGATAGATAAACATGTATATGTTTAGATAGATAGATAAACATGTATATGTTTAGATAGATAAACATGTATATGTTTAGATAGATAAACATGTATATGTTTAGATAGATAAACATGTATATGTTTAGATAGATAAACATGTATATGTTTAGATAGATAAACATGTATATGTTTAGATAGATAAACATGTATATGTTTAGATAGATAAACATGTATATGTTTAGATAGATAAACATGTATATGTTTATATAGAGAGATAAACATGTATATGTTTATATAGAGAGATAAACATGTATATGTTTATATAGATGAATATATATAAACATGTATATGTTTATATATGTTTATATAGATATATATATACACATGTATATGTTTATGTTTATATAGATAAATATACATACACATGTATATGTTTATATAGATAAATATACATACACATGTATATGTTTAGATAAATATACATACACATGTATATGTTTGATAAATATACATACACATGTATATGTTTAGATAAATATACATACACATGTATATGTTTAGATAAATATACATGCACATGTATATGTTTAGATAAATATACATGCACATGTATATGTTTAGATAAATATACATGCACATGTATATGTTTAGATAAATATACATGCACATGTATATGTTTAGATAAATATACATGCACATGTATATGTTTAGATAAATATACATGCACATGTATATGTTTAGATAAATATACATGCACATGTATATGTTTATATAGATAAATATACATGCACATGTATATGTTTATATAGATAAATATACATGCACATGTATGTTTATATAGATAAATATACATGCACATGTATATGTTTATATAGATAAATATACATGCACATGTATATGTTTATATAGATAAATATACATGCACATGTATATGTTTATATAGATAAATATACATGCACATGTATATGTTTATATAGATAAATATACATGCACATGTATATGTTTATATAGATAAATATACATGCACATGTATATGTTTATATAGATAAATATACATGCACATGTATATGTTTATATAGATATACATGCACATGTATATGTTTATATAGATATACATGCACATGTATATGTTTATATAGATATACATGCACATGTATATGTTTATATAGATAAATATACATGCACATGTATATGTTTATATAAATATGCACATGTATATGTTTATATAAATATGCACATGTATATGTTTATATAAATATATATGCACATGTATGTGTTTATATAAATATATATGCACATGTATATAAATATATATAAACATACATATATACACACACACATATACACACACACACACACACACACACAAACACATATATATATATGTTTTTTGGAGATGGGAGTCTCACTCTGTCACCCAGGCTGGAGTGCAGTAGCACAATCTTGGCCCACTGCAACCTCCATCTCCTGGGTTCAAGTAATTCTCCTGCCTCAGCCTCCCGAGTAGCTGGGACTACAGGCATGTGTCACCACGCCTGGCTAATTTTTGCATATTTTTAGTAGAGATGGGGTTTCACCATAGTGTCCAGGCTGATCTCGAACTCCTGACCTCAAATGATCCTCCTGCCTTGGCCTCCCAAAGTGCTGGGATTGCAGGCATGAGCCACCATGCCTGGCCAAAACTCGAAACTTATAAAGCAATGGTAAGTTAGTATGGAATTGGCATATGGAGAGAGTAGCAAATGAAGCAATGGAGCAGAAGAAAGATGGAGAAAACAAATTCATGCATACATAGGAAGTTCATATGGCAGAGATGGCATTAGACATCCTGGGAGGGAGGGATTATTCAACTGATGCTGCAGGGACAAACAGCTTTCCATACTGTAAAATTAAACCCTACTTCAGACCATACAGAAAATTTCAGTTGGAAAATATATATGTATTCATTACCTCAGGATCTGAAAAGATATCCTATAAATGACATACACAAAAAGCACAAATCAAAGGAAGTAATTAGTAAGTCATGTAGCTTTTTTACAGGTTGCTCTAGGTATTACATTATATATACATAACTTATCACAGTGTACTTGTGTCATTGTTTTACCAGTTTGAGTGAAATATAAAAACTTTACCTCTGTCTATGCTTCTTTATCCTCCCCCATTTATAATATAATTACCTTAAATATTATAATTGTCTTAAATATTTAGAAAGCGTTATAATTTTTCCTTGAACCATCACACATAATTTAGGAAACTCAGGAGGGGTTCCTATTGCTTACCTTGCTGTTTCTTTCCTGATGTTCTAAGGTTTCTTTTTTTTTATTTTTTCCTTTTTGTTTAGAGAACTTCCTTTAACCATTCTTTTAGAGTAGCTCTGCTTGTGTCAGAGTCTGTTAGTTTTTCATCATCTGAGAATGCCTTGATTTGCCTTTCATTTTTTGGAAGATATTTTTTGCCAGGCATGGGATTCTGGGTTGACAATTATTTTTTCAGCACTTGAAAAATATTTTGCCACTTCCTTCTAACCTTTATGGTTTCAGATGAGAAATCTACTATCATTCAAATTGTTTTACCCTATAGCTAAGGTATGATTTCTTTCTTGCTGCTGTCAAGAATTTTTTTTTTTTTTTTTTTAGTTTTTAGAAGTTTAATTATGTGTCATGGAACATATATCTTTGGCTTTATCCTTTTTGGGGTTCACTCAGCTTCTTGAATCTGAAAGTTGATGTCTCTTGCCAAATTTGTGAATATTTCATCTATTATTTCTTCAAGGTTTTTGTTGTTGGTGGTGGTGTTTTTTTTGTTGTTTTTTTTTTTTTTTGCCTTTCTTTTCTCCTCTTGGGACTTTGATCACAAGAATGTTAGATCTTTTGTTATAGTCCCTGGGGCTCTATTCATTTTATTTTTATTGCAGTCTGTATCCTCTCTGCTTTCCAGATTTGGTAATTTCTATTGTTCTGTTTTTCATTTCACTGATTGTTTCATCTGTTTCCTCTATTGTGCTGTTGAGTGCATCCACTGTTATTATATTTTTCACTTCTAAAATTTTTGTTCATTTTTTCTTTTTTTTTGAGACAGAGTTTTGCTTTTGTGCCCAGGCTGGAGTGCAGTGGCATGATCTCAGCTCACTGCAACCTCCGCCCCCCGGGTTCAAGCAGTTTTCCTGCCTTAGCCTCCCTAGTAGCTGGTATTATAGGCGCCTGCCACCACGCCCAGCTAATTTTTGTATTTTAGTAGAGATGGGGTTTCGCCATGTTGGCCACGCTGGTCTCAAGCTCCTGACCTCAGGAGATCCACCCATCCTAGCCTCCCAAAGTGCTGGGATTACAGGTGTGAGCCACTGTGTCCGGCCCATTTTTTTGTTTATGCCTTCTATTACGTTGCAGAGAATTTTTCCTTGCCTTGACTTTCTATTTTTCCATTTGTTTCAAGCATGTGTGTAATTGCTGTTAAAACATTTAGCATGGCTGCTCTGAAAGCTTTGCCAGTTAATTCTGACATCTCTGTTATCTTGGTGTTGGCATCTATCGATTGTCTTTTTTCATTCAGTTGGAGGTTTGGAGGTTTTCCTGTTATTTGGTATGATGAGTGATTTTTGGTTGGAACCAGTGCTTTTTTGTATTATGTTGTGAGATTCTGGGTCTCATTTAAGCCTTCTGTTCTAGCTGGCTTTCCCTGACACTGCTTCAGCAGGGTAGGGGTGTGCTGCCTCCTTATTGCCAGGTGGAGGTAGAAACCCAGGTTGCTTGGTTTCCGTTGAAACCCGAGGGAGATGGGTGCTTCTTGTTACTGCTGGGTCCCTGGAGGAGTTCCAGCTTCCCATGTGGCCTCCACTGGGCCTTCTCTGACACCATCCCCGTAAGGAGTGAGAAGGGAGTCTCAGTACTGCCTAGTGGGTGTGGAAGTCCAGTCTCTGTCTGGTGTTTCGCCTGATACCATGGGGGTTAAAGCCTCAGTATTGGCCAGCAAGGATGAACCTCTTGTTTGCTACTGTATGGCTGACACTGACACAATCCCAACTGGAGTTTGGAGTGCCTTCTTTCACCAGTGAGAATGGAAATCTGGGGTCCCAGCCTTTGCTAGCATGGGTGGGACCACAGGTTTTTCTCTGATGCTTGGCTAGAGTAGAGCGGTTATTGGCTAAAAGTTTTCTGTCTTGCTAGGCTTCCTCTTCTCTGGGGGTTTGTTGAGGCTTTTTTGTCTGTGCCTGTTGGTCTTTCCGGGTTGTCAGCTTTTTCAGCTCCAAGTCTGGGTTTTATGCTACAAAAAGTAAACCTGGGGAACTCACCGTCATACTGTTCCTCACATCCCAAGTTCACTAGCTGGTCTGCTTTCTGCTCACCTTTCAGAGTCGTCTTATGTTTGTTTGACATGTAATATGCAGGGAGTGGTACTTAGAGTAGGAGTGGGGAAACATATCTCCATTCCTTCTTCCCAGAAGCAGAAGTTCTTCAATCAAGATCTTATTTTAGAGATTGCTCTATGTATAAATGAACTTTGCTTCCTTGGTGTTATTTTGATCTAATTATAATAAAATTTGGACTTAGATTATATTGATAATGCCAGTGTGCAAATTTTAACTGCAATAGAATTGAATTTTGCACATGGGTGAATCTGATTGAGAAAAAGAAAATCCTATTTTTTATAATTAAAAAACTGCTTTTAATATTTTTAGTGCTGTTTACAGTTTAAGAATGTTAGTATATTTTTAAAAGCACAACCAGTGGGGAAAATTCTATCCCTTTTCTTGGCAAATTAACAATCTAAGCATACAAAAATTTATAGGAAAATTTTGCCAGCTCTCCATCAGAGTGCTGTCATGATGATTAGTTCATATTTCCTTCTTACGAAGCTTGCCCTTTCTTGT
Source organism: Homo sapiens (assembly GCF_000001405.40). Lineage (NCBI taxonomy): Eukaryota > Metazoa > Chordata > Mammalia > Primates > Hominidae > Homo > Homo sapiens. Next base: position 80,697,149 of record NC_000005.10, read on the forward strand.
TTATCACCCACAGAAAAGCATCAAAGTTAAAAATTAAAAGTATTTGAAGGAACCTCCATACCAAGTGGATTCAGAGAGCCCAGAGGTCAGAAATCGTGCAGAGTCTTATGTTGACAGAGGAATGGCCCTGCCATAAGAAAGGTGCCTGAGTTATACAAGGTGTTGGCAGCTGGAGCCAAGTTACACCTGGTTTACTTACCTGATATAATTTTAAGTGCTTCACAAATAACGTTTTTTACCTTCATAGTTAAATATTTACTTAAGGTATATTAAAAACATATAATCAGTGAATCAAACCTGTGATTTCATAAATGTGTTGCAAAGAAAGATTCTTAAGTTGGTATTTGAGTTAAAAATGTGAGTTAACTTAACAAGAACTATCAGGTTATAGTAGTGATGTCCTTACAAATATGTCAGTATTATTGAAGGTAAAGGGGAATGACTGAAGTTAAGGAAACATGTTGGAGCAATTGTAAAGGCAATGTGTGTCACATTTTCTGCCACTTGTCATTTAGATTGTGTAAGCTAAATCTAGTATAAGTGGGACCATTGTTTGAATGAAAAAAAATCCAAACTTGAGATGTAGAGAAATATAGATGAATTTGAAGCCCAGAAAGGACATTTAAGCTCTCTTAAGATGAGTTACTCCATTTTTTATAGTAGCTCACCTTTTTAAAGGTATTTTATCCTGCTGTCAAGTTTATTTTATTAAATTGGATACCAGGAAATTCTAATTGATTTTTTTATATCAAACAAATCGATGTTATTTATTTATTTTTGAGACGGGGTCTCACTCTTCCTCAGGCTGGAGTATGGTGGCACCATCGTGGTTCACTGTAGCCTTGACCCCCCAGGCTCAAGCAATCCTCCCACCTCAACCTCCTGAGTAGCTGGGACTGCAGGTGTGCTCAACCACACCCAGCTAATTTTTTTTGTAGAGATGAGGCCTCTCTATGTCTTCTATACTGGTTTTAAACTCCTGGGCTCAAGCAATCCACCCACCTTGGCCTCCCCAAAATGTTGGAATTACAAGCGTGGACCATTGCGCCTGGCCAAAATCTGCATTTTGATGGATGTTTCCAGTAGATTCTCAAGTTGTTGATACATCTTCTAAGTTGAACATTATTATACAGTCATTCATTTATTCATCCTTAAACACAGTTATTGAGTGGCTGCTGTGCGCCAGCTTTGTTACTAGGTGGCAAGGATACAGAAATGAGAAAGATCCCTCCTTTCCAAGTTCTTATAGTCTAGAGGGGAGGTAGTCATGGAAATAATTGTAATGAAAGCGCTGGTTGAAAATATCTTAGAGTTACTGGCAGCCCTTGAGCATCATGCTAGTTTGCTAGAGGGGTGTGTTAGAATTGAGACTGGAAGAATGAATGCCAGTCAGGTGGAGGTGTGAGAGAGCGTGCTTTTCTTAGGAAGCAGAAACTAGTTTGGCTGGGTTACTCTGCCAGCATGAGCAGGCAACCTGAGGCAGGACAGACGTGTTTTGGAGAGAAAGGGTGTATAAAGCTGGAAACCATCATTCTCAGCAAACTGTCGCAAGGACAAAAAACCAAACACCGCATGTTCTCACTCATAGGTGGGAATTGAACAATGAGAACACTTGGACACAGGAAGGGGAACCTCACACACCGGGGGGCCTGTTGTGGGGTGGTGGGGGGGACGGATAGCATTAGGAGATATACCTAATGTAAATGACAAGTTAATGGGTGCAGCATACCAACATGGCACATGTATACATATGTAACAAACCTGCACGTTGTGCACATGTACCCTAGAACTTAAAGTATAATAAAAATATACAAATAAATAAAAAATAAAAAGAGAATCAAGAGTGAAACGGTGGAGTGAGAAAGCGGCATTACACAGGGCCTGGATAAAGAGTTTCCTGTGACAGAGACTGAGCTGAGATGGCTGGTGATGGGGACCGTAGCCTAGTGACCCTTTGTGTACCCAGCACCTATCAAAGTAGCTCACACATAATAGGTGCTTAATAAATGCTTGGTAAATGAATGATTAAATAAGTGATGTTTAGAATAAAGAGAATAATGGGTATCTCCTATTTGTTTTTCTTAACAAAACTGATTTGGGTTTTTTAAACATAGAAGGGTTGTTGTAAGGCTGGGCGTGGTGGCTCATACCTGTAATCCCAGCACTATGGGAGGACGAGATGGGTGGATCACCTGAGGTCAGGAGTTCCAGACCAGCCTGGCCAACATGGTGAAACCCCACCTCTACTAAAGGTACAAAAATTAGTTGGGTGTGGTGTCAGCACCTGTAATCCTAGCTACTTGGGAGGCTGAGGCAGGAGAATGGCTTGAACCCGGGAGGTGGAGGTTGCAGTGATTCAAGATTGCACCACTGCACTCCAGCCTGGGCAACAGAGTACAACACTGTCTCCAAAAAAAAAAAAAAAAAAAAAAAGGTTGTTGGAGTAGCTGGAAATCTATACATTAACATATATGGTAATCAATGTCTATTTACATTATATAGATTTACATTATACAGATGTAGCCAATTCATTTACTCTTTTGGAAAGATCATATTGATTTCTTATCGTTTTTTCCCCATTATGTTTATTTCTTTAAAAAATTTTTTAATATCACTGTAAATTGATTGAAGCATCCTGACATTTCCATAGATATTCCTTTACAGCAAATATTAATGGGATCTACATGGCTAAGTTACTGTTTAAAGATTGATATTGATGATAACTAGGCACTAGCCTCCCCTCTGGCGCTTGAAACCTTTTCTGTTGTGGTATTCGTAGGAAATCTCTTTTTTTCTTTATATTTTGTCTTCCCCATTTTCCTCATTCCTCTTTTCGAGAGCAGAAGATAAATATAAAGTTGACTACTTTGTCATTCTGTTTCATTATGTTTATTAGACGGTAGTTTCACTTAACTATTTAGATAATCTAGAATTAGAAAATAAATTGTGGGCCTGGCAGGGTGGCTCATGCCTAAAATCCGAGCACTTTGGGAGGCTGAGGCGGGTGGATCACTTGAGGTCCGGAGTTCAAGGTCAGCCTGGCCAACATGGTGAAACCTCATCTCTACTAAAAATACAAAAAATTAGCTGGGCATGATGGCACGTGCCTGTAATCCCACCTTCTCAGGAGGCTGAGGCAGGAGAATTGTTCGAACCTGGGAGGCAGAGGTTGCAGTGAGTCGAGATCTCCCCACTGCACTCCAGTCTGGGCGACAGAACAAATCAATTCTGGTAGTAGAGATGGTAGTGACTAAATGGAAGAAATAAATCTCATATGCTGTAGGAAAATGTTTGCCACTGGGAAACCATTTAAAGAGGAAGTGTTATTAGTATTAAAAAATCTGTCATTTTGAAATTTCTTTTTAAAAATTACATTAATTTCTTCCCTGGTGGTAATGCCATTGTATTTTCAGTAGGTTTTTTTTTTAGTCCTGATACTTTTTGTATATCTAGCTAGCAATTTTAATGGATGTGCTTAACTCATGAAAATCCAGATTTTAAAACATGATAAGTTAATAGGTGATAGTTATTTTATAAGAACATTTGCCATGAGTTTATTTAAAGAATGAGAGCTTCTTTGTGCATTTTCATCAAGTGCATTCTCCTCAGGAATATATCTCCTTGAAAAGAAAAAATGGGGTGTATTTGCAGTAGGTTTATTGATAGTCGAATAGGAAGAAACAGCATTTGAGAAGTGTGGAGAAAAGATCTTCCTGATTACTACAGAGACCTCCTAAAGTGGGGCCAGACTGCTTGAACAGAAAGTTTGGAAGCAATTGTGTGAGGTGTGCTGCATTTGTTTTACTAATTCGACTTGATTTTTGTAAATACACCTGTTCATTTGGGTTTGAGGATTTAATTGCATAAAGACTCTTTATTTAGCTAAAGCGTCTTGTCCTCATGGCTTTTCCCAGAAGTTTGTGTTATAAATGTTAATATATTAAAAGTGCTTTTAAATGATTTATTATTAGCATCTTAAAAAAATCCTACACTAAATATTAAAGTAGTCTTTATTATTTCAGGTGAAGGCAAAGGGAAACAGTACGAGTTGCAAGGTAGGGGGTAAATGGAAAGGAAGAAAAAGGAAAGACAGGAGATGAAGGGAAAGATTGAGTCCCATCATTCTTGAAGACACATTGTTCATGGCTTCAATAACCCTGGCACAGCCCTCTGAAGAAAGTGTAGTTATCCTCTTCTTTCTGCAAGGAGGCAGAGATGCTGTGAACCTCTCTTGAAGTTACAGGATCACTTAGGTAGTAAGTGGCAAAGCCCACTAGAGCCCTAACCCTGTTTGATACTGGTGAGTTCACCTGCTATCATTAAGGTGTAACCTGACAGCAATGTAAAAGACAAAAATCCCCCTTCACTGAACTCCAAATACAGTTACTGTCTGTCCTCAGGATCTCTTTATTTTTTTCTTCTCCTTTTCATGGTTCAAGGAGAGATCCCTTTTAATCTCTTCCCTTCCAGCAAAGCTTCCTTTCACTTTCTACCTGAAGTCAAAAACTTGAGGCCAGCTTAGTTCAGAGCTCCTCTGGGCTTGCTTATCTCCCAGCCTTTGTGGACTCCTTCTTGTCCATTTGTCTTTGTAATGACTTCTTCCTGTCGAACCTCCCTGCTGAAGGGAGACTTCTTACTAATTTCTCTTATTTTCCCTGCTTGCTTGCTTTGAGATTATTTTCTTATCTCTTGTTTTCAGGCCAGGAATTTCTTCCTCCTGCCAGCTTTTTTGTGAATCCTTTTTAACCTCTGGCCCAAGTCTTGATCCCTAAAGCAGTAAAAGCCTATGGAGGCCTGGTATGGTTTTTCTGTACAGTTTTTCCTCCCTCCCTTCTTTTTCTACCCTTCTTTCTGAAAAAACAACAGAAACAAAAAAAACCCAAAAACCCTCTGATACTTGATTTTGTATCAATAATCAATATACATTAATATAAAATTTATTAATATAAATTGACTTAATATACACAATACTGAGTTTTTTCCAGGCTTTTGTGGAAGCTCCCCACTGCAGTCCAGAATGCTCCGTGACCAGGTCCTAGGATTCTTTCCCTTGGTGCCATTGTGACTGCTCCCTTATTTTATACCTTCAGCTCTGTCCAGTTCTCTTCTTGGCCTGGCTGAGCTGGGCTCTGCACCTCATGGGAGTGGACATGAATCCTGAACACACCATGTGGGTGTACTGGGTTGTCCCCAACCTTAATGTGAAGGCAAGTTTAGAGAAGAATGCATGATGAGTGGGCTTGCATGCCTCCCTGATGGCCATATGGGAGCATGACCACACCACAGGGTTAGTCCTTACCTGGTGGGAGCCACTGGGAGCAGAGGAGTGCTAGGTATCGCATGGCATATTTAAGATAGTTTGTGTCCAGCCATGACATTTCAAGTGCTCATTAACTGCATGTGGTTAGTAGCTACTGTATAAGGCAATGTAGTTTTATAGACAGTAGCACAGCTGTATGCAAGAGATGGGCCTAGAAAGACAGGTAACACTTAACTAGACAGATTTGGGGGAAAATACATTCCTCAATGAAAGCAAAGTTTAAACAAGGTTGAAATAATTTATTTAAAAAAAAAAATAGCTGGCTGGGTGCAGTGGCTCACGCCTGTAATCCCAGTACTTTGGGAGGCTGAGGAAGGTGGATCGCTTGAGCTCAGGAGTTTGAGACCAGCCTGGGCATCATGGTAAATCCCTGTCTTTACTAAACATACAAAAATTAGCTGCGCATGATGGCAAGCAGCTGTAGTCCCAGCTAATTGGGAGGCTGAGGCAGGAGAATCACTTGAACCCGGGTGGCTGAGGTGGCAGTGAGCCGAGATCATGCCACTGCACTCCTCCCTGGGCGACAGAGCGAGACAAGCAACAGCAACAAAACAAAAATAAAAACAGCTAATGAAGTTCTTATTATGTACCTGGTACATTCTGCCATTACTGAAATTAACTGATGTCATCTTCACAACAATCCTTTGAGGTGATTACAATTATTATTTAATATGTCCATAATAAATGACAGGTTTAGGAATGTACATTTGAATTGTGGTTCTGACTGAAACATTGGGCAGTTGAGGAAGTACTTGATAAAGTGATTAGTGCCCTTTTTAAGTGTGAGCAATTTCTAGTTGCTAAGTCAGGGTATCATTTATGTATGAATTACCTTATAGGTAAGTATACTTTACATTCTTTTATGTAACTCCTAACTATCAACCTCCAGATATCACAAAGTTTACTTGTGGGTGATTAAATTGCTTAAGACAAGAGATTGCCCACCCATACAGAATTTCTATTGCTTCTGCCTTCCAGAGAACAGTGGGAGCAGCCTGGCCTGCAGGTTGATTGTCAGATTCTGCCTCCCTCCCACCTACTTATTCCTCCAGAGAGACACATAGCTTAGCCTCCTGTCACACTCTGTCATTTTCCTGGGGCTGCAGAGCAAAGGGCTCCCTCAGGTTAATTCTGAAGTCCTGTGTATGCTGAAGTCTGCTTGAAGAAGGAGAGAAGCTTCCATCTTGCATATTTCCTAATACTTTATCTTTCCTTCTGTAACAACAGTGCACAGATTTTACTTCAGGAATGTGTTTTTATTCACTCCTGCTGTTATCCTGTATACTAAAGTAGTCCTTTGTCAATGTGCTGATGTGCTCTAGAAACATATAAAGAGTTTTTTTTTTAATTGGTTTGTTGACTGGACGTAAACACTAGTATAACACTAAATCTAAGTGCAGAGAGTGGGCAGCCTGATTTTGTTCATAATCTCAGGGGAATCTTTTATAATGGGCCAGGAAGCACGTGTCTGTGGTTTCTGCATAGGGCGTGTTCTGTGGTGCCCAGCCAGCTGTAGTATGTCCTGCGAGATTTGGCCTGCAGGCCACAATGGTGGGCTTCTGGGAGGAAGAATCTTCCTTAGAAGTCCTGCCCTTTGACACTCCTTCTGCTGAAGTGTCCTGATCTCAGTGGGGCTCCCTGATTTTCTGTTCCGGGGTCTATCAGCACTGGGTCTATCAGTGCTACCCACGCCGCCGTGACTGTGGGTCACTGAGGGTGACCTGCGTGGGTCCCATGGGCTCAGCCTGGCCTTCCCAGGTCCTACAAGGTCCTCCTTACTGTCCGTCCCTGCTCAGTCACCAAAGAATGACTTTTTTGAAAGTACAATTCCAGAGTTAAATACTGGCTAAGTGTAGAAAACAATACTGGAATTCAGTCTTCACCTCCACCAGTCCTCATGGTGAGATGAAGTGTTTATGGGTTTCTTTGTTGTAACCTCAAAAGTGGAATGCATTTCCTGGTTGGTGCTGCTTGCCCTCCAGGTGCTTAGTGAGTGAAGCTTCATCTTCCAGATTTCTCTTTGTGGCTTAGGGTATCTGTATGATTTTCCTGCTTTTGTTTTCAGAGGTGCTAGGCTGTGCTGATCTCTCTGGAGTGATTATGGTGCTTTTTGCCTGGTAAGCCCATCCTTATGTGTAAAAATCAGGATTTAGATGTGAGGCAAATAAGGTGGTGGTGATTTTGTTTTACAGAGAGATTTTCACTTTGCAAACTTTTAGACCTTTTCAAATTCTAATTTGATTTGATGTATTTAAATAACAAGTTATGTAAAAACATTGAAATGACCCATTTTACAGAAGTTTGGTTTACAAACCCATTGTTTGTGTAAGGTAACATACCTGAGGCCAGGAGCATGATACCTTTCCTCTAGTCTTGCCCTTGTCCCTCGCTTTGGGCTCCAGCTACATCAGAGTAATTGCCATGCTCACAACCCCATACAGTGAGAGCACAGAATAATGGTCTGGGTACAGTCTGGGGCCAGACAGCCTGTGTTTGGACTCTATTTTTCTTACTACCTGTGAATCTTAACCTCTCCATGGCTCAGTTTCCCCATTCAAAAACAAGTATATGTTGATAGAACGTTTTATAGAGTAGCAAGCATTAAATGAGTTAATACAGTGCATGAAACATAGTGCTCATTAAATATTACCTCCTGTTATTCATTCAGCATTTATTTCTCTACCATTCTTAAGCTATTCTCACATTGTGCAATGCATTTTTGTCACATCTGTCTTTTTAAATATTCTGTATACTAACAGTCTTATTGCTTTCATGAAGCTGCCCTACAATTTCCAGTTGAGGTTCTAATCTTAGCTGTACATTGGGATTACATGTGGATTTTAAAAAATGCCGATGCCTGAGTTTTTGGCCTGTGCTAGAGCCGCTTGTAGCTGCTTGTAAGAATTGACTGTTATAGTTCCAGGACTTTGTACCAGACGGTGAAAGCATTGGTAACTTGAAATCAACTATGTTGGGAATATTTGCACTCGTAATTGGCAAATACTACCACAGCTCTCTCTTCAATCTGTTTGATGTTCTAGTGATTTGTTTATAAGCCTGTCTCTCTCAATAGGTGTTGACCATTTTGGTGGAATGTATTAGTTTGCCAGGGCTGCTGTAACAAAGTGCCACCAACTGAGGGCTTAAGCAACAGAAATTCATTATTTCATAGTTCTGGAGGATAGAAGTAAAAATATCAAAGTATGAACAGTATTGGCTCCTTCTTGAGGACTGTGAAGGAAGGATCTGTTCCAGGCCTCTCCTTGACTTGTAGACGGCCACCTCCTTCTTACGTCTCTTCATATCGTCTTTCCTCCATGCATGTCTCTGTGTCCATGTTTTCCCTTTTTACGTGGACACCGGTCATATTGGATTAGGGCCCACCCTGATGGCCTCACTTTAACTCTCTGCAAAGACCCTATCTTCAAATAAAGTCACATTATATACTGAGGGTGTGGACTTCCACATTTGAATGTTATAGGGACATAATTCAACTCATAACATAGGGCGAGGACATTCTTTTCCACCTCCCTCCTCAGTCCGTTTGTGCCTGTGGTAGTTGCACAGTAAAGATTTGTAGATTTGAAAAGGAAATACCTTTTGGCTGATGTTATTTGTATATACTTTTTTATTCATTGAGCTATGAACTCCAGAGTTAGTATGGTTTAAAAAAACTTTTTTTGTTGTTTTGTTTTGGAAACAGCTCCTTCTTGGGAAAATAAGAGTTAGTATTTCTAGAGAAAAATGTTAGTTTAGAAAGAGTAGTTATTTTAGGCTAAGGCAGACCTGAGCTTGTTAATGAACTTGTGGACTCAAAAGGCGTATGATTGAGTGAAGTGGTCTTGATTTTGTGTCAGTGGCTGACAAAAAGCTTTTAATCATGCATGAAAAAAATGTTTGTGATGAATTTCCACTGATTTGAAAATGTCTTAATGTTGCTAGTCCTCTTCAGGATTATGTAAGACTGTAGAGTTCTTAGAAGAGTATGGCCTTTCTTGCTTTTTCTCAAAGGCAAATATAATGTCAGGTAATTTTGCTGTTATGCTATTGAAAAAATACCTCCTGAGTCACAGGAAGCATAAATTATTTTTTAAAGATTTACCATGTGTTAGGATGATTGTGTCATATATTAAATATATAATGGATGACATTTAGACTATTATCATCTCGAAGCATGTAAATATAGAATATACTTTTTGAAGTTAGTTTTCTTCAAAACGAGAGATATTTCTCACCATTGCTTTTTGCTGAGTAAATACCAGAATTAGAATCTTATGCCAAAAATATATTTGGAGTACACATTTGCACAGGAATTTGTTTTTTTCCAGACTTTTTAATAGAAAATCTTTAGGTATAAATTACATACGGCAAATATAAAAAGTTTTATTTTTAATCAATTTTAATCAGGTGTAATTTATATGCAATAAAATTTATACATTTTAAGTGTATGAGTCAATCAATTTTGACAGATACACACATCAATATAACTACCACCCAAATTAAGATCTAGAACATTTCATCTTCCCAAAACGTTCTCTTTGCCTTTTTGCAGTGGTTTTCTCCCCACCTCCACCTCCCACTCCAAGCAACTACTGTTCTGATTTCTGTCACTATAGGATAGTTTAGACTGTTTTAGAATTTCACATAAGTGGAGTCAGTACAGTGCATACTTTTTTGTGTCCAGCTCGTTTTACTCAGCATAATGCCTATGCAATTCACCCATGTTGTTGAGTGTATCAGTAGTTCATTCCTTTTTCTCACTCAGTTGTATTGCATCATATGCATATACCAACATTTGTTTATTTACTTGCTGAACATTTGGGTTTCCAGCTTTTGGCTATTTTCATTAAAGTTACTAACATTTGTGTACTAGTCTTCTCACAGATCTATATTTTCATTTTCTTCACATAATTAGGAGTGGAATTGCTGGATTATGTGGGTAAGTATATGTTCACTGTATAAGAAACAGCCAGGCCAGGCACAGTGGTTCACACCTATAATCCCAGCACTTTGGGAGGCCAAGGTGGGAGGACTGCTTGAGCCCAGAAGCTTGAGACCAGCCTGGGCAACATAGTGAGACCCTGGCTCTAAAAAAAAAAACAAAAAAACCCCAAAAAGCCAGATGTGGTGGCACAAGCCTGTAGGCCTAGCTACTCAGAAGGCTGAGGTGAAAGGATGGCTTGAGCCCCCGAGGTTGAGGCTTCAGTGAGCCATAATTGTGCCCCTGCACTCCAGCCTGGGTGACAGAACAAGACCCTGTCTCAAAAAAACAAAACAAAAAAGTAACAGCTGAAGTAGGTTTTGGAGTAGTAGTTAATTTACCCTCCTCTCAGCAGTGTGTGAGAGCTGTAGTTGCTCCACATTCTTGCTGACTCTTGTCAGTCTTTTAAACTTTAGCTATTATAGTTAGTGTATGGTGTCATGTTTTATTTTTAACTTGCTTTTTCTTGATGACTAGTGATGTTTTCATGTGCCTATTGGTTATTCATTTATGTATCTCTTTTGCCCATTTTGAGACTTGGATTACTTGTATTTTTTAGTTATAAGAATTCTTTATACATTCTGAATAAAAATCCTTTGTCAGTTATAGGTATTGTGAATATTTACTCCCAGTGTATGGCCTGCCTTTTAATTTTCCTGATTATGACCTTGGAACAACAGAAGGTTTTAATTTGGTGAAGTCAGATGCATTAGTGTCTTCTTTTATGGTTACTAGTGCTTTTTGTATCTTAAGAAATCTTTGCCTACTCCAACATCATGAACATTTTCTCATATTTTATTTTAGTTCTATAGTTTTAGCTTTTAATTTTAATATATTAAATAGTTGGATTTAACTTTGGGGCATCATGATATGAGGCAGGGATTGAGGTTCCTTTTTCTTTGTACGTTTACCAGTTGTTTCCACACTGTTTATAGAAAAGACTTTTATATGCATTGAATTATGTTGATGCCAAAGGCTTCATTTTGTCTTTGTTTTTAATTAATATTTATTTATTTATTTTTTTTAGAGACAGGGTCTCGCTTTTTCGCCCAGGCTGGAGTGCATTGGCACGATCATAGCTCTCTGCATCCTTGAACTCCTGGGCCCAAGTGATCCTCTCAGCCCTGCAAGTAGTTGGGGTACAGATTTTCTTGTGGAGATGGAGTCTCACTTATGTTGCCCAAGCTGGTCTCAAACTCCTGGACTTGATCAAAGGTTTTGTTTTGAATTTGACTTTGAAAAATGACCTAGATTTTTATGTTCTTATATTAGATATTTTAGACTTTGACTTTCTAGGATGTCATTTAAAAATGTTTTTAGGTCTCCCTTTTTCTTTTTTCTTTTTTTGAGACACAGTCTCTGTCACCCAGGCTGGAGTGTGGTGGCAGGATCTTGATTCACTTCAACCTCCGCCTCCTGGGTTCTAGCGATTTTCCTGCCTCACCGTCTCGAATAGCTGGGATTACAGGCGCCCACTACCATGTCTGGCTAATTTTTGTATTTTCAGTAGAGACAGGGTTTCACCATGTTGGCCAGGCTGGTCTCAAACTCCTGACTTCAACTGATCTACCCTCCTTGGCCTCCCAAAGTGCTGGGATTACAGGTGTGAGCCATGGCACTGGACCCTCTTTTTCTTTTTTTTCAGAAGTTATTGTATTTATCACATAATAGAAATAAAGGGTGGGATGGGAGCTCTAGAAATCTACCATTTCAGCTTCTTCCTTAGTAGACCCACATTAGCGATGAATATAAAATAGATATGTGTGTGTGTGTGTGTGTGTGTGTGTGTGTGTGTACCCTGAGCTAATGGAATTTGTGGAACATTTGGTAAAGCTCATAAATATTGCACAACTGGTACAATCTTAAGTAATCAATTCTAAGTTTTTAGGGCCGGGTGCGGTGGTGGCTTACGCCTGTAATCCCAGCACTTTGGGAGGCCAAGGTGGGCGGATCACGAGGTCAGGAGATCGAGACCATCCTGGCTAACATGGTGAAACTCCGTCTCTACTAAAAATACAAAAAATTAGCCTAGCGCAGTGGCGGGTGCCTGTAGTCCCAGCTACTCCGGAGGCTGAGGCAGGAGAATGGTGTGAACCCGGGAGGCGGAGCTTGCAGTGAGCTGAGATCACGTGAGATCGCGCCACTGCACTCCAGCCTGGGCGACAGAGTGAAACTCCGTCTCAAAAAAAGAAAAAAAGAGTTTTTAACAACTTTTGTTAATTTTTCTTATGTTTAATAATAATTATAGATAAGCTTTTCTTTACCTTTGGTTTTCTCATATTTGAGGACTGCAATTTAAATGATCTTCAGGAACTTCTTTTCTTCTTGTATTTTGTGAAATGAAATGCTTTTAAAGGCATTTCAGGCATCAGAGGTAGATGAGGTGGTATTTTGGGCAGTGGCAGTTGTTTCTGAAATCACACATTAGTAGCTTTTCCTATCCTTTATCTTCTGTTCCCCTGGAGTGAAAAAGGTGCTGTTGGAGGCAAAATTTGTGGCTACTGAAAATATTCCTTAATGCTGGTAGCTTCTTGACTTCGTGCCTTTCTTACCCAATTACATCTATTCTAAAGCTGTCCCACTTCTTTTCCTTTGAGCACATGACTACTGCTATCTATCTCCTATTCTTAACCAGCATTAATTACACTGTGTATTAGATACTGTTTTAAAGGCTTTATGTTTGTTGACCGACTTAATCCTCATAAACACCCTTGTGAGGTTGCTGCTGTTATTTTATTACGGGTTTTATAGATGAGGAGACTGAGGCTCAGAGATGTTAAGTAGCTTGTCTAGGTTATACAATTACTAAGTGGCAAAACTGGAAGTTGATACAGACTTCCTGGCTCTAAAGCACACTATGTCATACAGCCTCTCAGGAAAAACACAGAAGGGAGCAGCTATTCCCTTCCTTCACCTTTACTTTTGACTGCAAAAGGGGTAATATTTTATAGCACAATTAAAATTATTTTGGTTAATATTTTATGAAATTTCTTTCCCTTATAATGCATATTACAGTCTGAATTTCTCTCTGGTGGTAAAGTTTCTGACAAAGCATCTGTGCTTAAAACAAAGCAGCTTTATTTATGAAGGTATTTCTTTACAAACCACAGCCCTGGTATCCAGCAGAAAGCATGGGTTGTCTTTACATGTGGTTATTCTTCTGGGAAAGCATCTTAGAGGAGGTGAGCCTTGACCTGCTTGTTAACTGAGAATATGTGCACAGGTCTGGGGTATAGTATGTGTAGATTCGTGGTAAAAAGACTTGGGATTGTGAGGGGCTGAAAGATTACGAAAGGATAGGGGTTTTAAAATATTATTACTAAGGAGTTCTGTCCTTAGAAAAGATTTCTAGGATCAAGAACCAAGAGCTGGACGATGATGACAACAGGCAGAAATGAGTGGCTTCTCTCAGCCCTTGACTTCTCTGCCATTCCCTCCCCCTTCGAGTGTTCCCCTTTCCTTTGGTTTCCAAGTTGCACGCTGATCCTCTTAGTGTTTTTAACCTCATTGCAGACAGAAGTACTTTCCCATCAGGTTTGCCAAGACAGACTAGAATTTTTTTGTTAGAATTTTACCTTTAAAAACAAAACCAAAACCAACCATTACAAAAGAAGCAAAGGTATAATCAAAAGTGTAGAAAAAACTAGAAAAAAAGTTTTAGAACAACACGAGTTTACCTAGTATAGACTTTCTGCCTTATGGTAATACCTCCTGTCTCTCTTAGCCTTTTGAACAGCCCAGCTCTCATTGTGCTAGCCTTGAGTCTGAGGCCCCATGGAGTTCCCATAGTGGGGAAATTCTCAATCCTCCCTTGCTCCCAAACAGGCCTCTCCTTTGCGGATAGGTCCTGGTGTGTTTCTTCACCTCAGGCCTCTTTAAGCCTGAAGAAGCGTGGGCCCTACATCTGCTTTTAGTTTTCAGTCCCTTGTGGTAAGTTGGCTAAGGCCCTTTCGCCTCTGTTGGTAAGGAGGGGTTTTTTGGGCCTCCAGAACCTCCCACAGGTGCTGTGTCTTCCTGTTGGCTCATTCCGAGGAGGACTCACCAGCTGACTGTCAAACTGGGTCTTCCTCACCTTGGTTCACTGTTGGCCATGTGGACTTCAGTAGGGGCTGCCATCCTTCTAAGAAGCTATGCGATTGTGTCTATTTCCTTCTCTGGACAGCAGGAGACCCCTTTTTGAAGACAGCACATTTTCTTTTTTTCTTCTTTTTTTTCTTTTTTTTGACATGGTGTCTCATTCTGTTGCCCAGGCTGGAGTACAATGGTGTCATCTCGGCTCACTGCAACCTCCGCCTCCTGGGTTCAAGCGATTCTCCTGCCTTAGCCCCCTGAGTGGCTGGGACTACAGGCCTGCACCACCATACCCAGCTATTTTTGTATTTTTAGTAGAGACAGGGTTTCACCATGTGGGCCAGGCTCGTGTTGAACTCCTGACCTCAAGTGATCCACCTGTCTCGGCCTCCCACAGTGCTGGGATTACAGGTGTGAGCCACCACGCCCGGCCAGCACTACACTTTCTAATGAGTTTTTATTGAAAAAAATTTTAGTTGAAAATGAAGCTGTTGGCTCGTAAGTGAAAAGCTTGAAGGCAGGCTGGAATCAGGCATGGCTGGAATTGGGCATGGCTGGTTGTAGGGGCTCTGCTCTTTCCTCTCCTCCTGTGATGGCTGCCTCCTGGTGTTCCACAAGGTGGCAGGATGCTCCAGTGCTCTGTCCTGACTCCCAGCCTCCAGGGTTCTAGTCCAGGGAAGAGGACCAGCATCTCCTTCTGGGAGCTCCTGTATAAATCCTGTAATCCATTTTTTCTCTTCTTTCTCTTTTCTAATATGCCATTTTATTTTTTAATAAGTTGTATATTTTAGTTCAAAAAATGGAAAGTATTTTAAAAAGATTATGAGGTAAAGAGTTTCTTCCATCCTGTCCCTTTTACTATTATAAAAACACCCTTCATTGTCCTGTTTTAATGGTTTTTATTCGAATTTTATTTTTCCTGGTAATAAGATTTGATCTCATACTTTCTTTTTATTTGTATTCACCTAATATATACCTCTAGGCAGTTGTTGTTTTTCAGCCATCTTTTTAATTTGTAACCTTTCTGAATTACTTTGTTTTGGATTGCACTCCTATTTGTAGCATAGAATTTTGGGGTTTTTTTCCCCTCTGTGATCCAATCTGAATTTAATTTTCTTTTAATAG
Organism: Homo sapiens; assembly: GCF_000001405.40. NCBI lineage: Eukaryota > Metazoa > Chordata > Mammalia > Primates > Hominidae > Homo > Homo sapiens. The sequence goes on from NC_000005.10 coordinate 80,712,646, forward strand.
GTGAATTTAGCCCTTTAATATGTCAGATATATTTGATATTAGTTTATACTATTTTGTGTTATATTTTCTATTTTTATATCTTTTAAATAATCTTTCACGATGTGATCTGTTTTCTTTGCATCTTTTTTTTTTGTTGGTTTTGTCCTGGTGGTTGGTTTTAGAATTATAATTTCAAATAATGCCCTTAGTCTTCTAAGAAAGTGGTGGTTGTTCCCTACTGTGAGCACTGATAAAATTAATGAGTTTCATAGTAATTCTAATATGGAGATATTAAAGCCAGGTTACCTTGTCTGTCCTACTCAGTCAAGAACCCTGTTTCATTCTGTCTTCAGAGGAGAGAATGAATTACTCGGCTTGGAACTCATCAGTGCTATTATTACCAATGAGTTCACTGTCAGAGGGGGCCTTGTAAGTTTTCCCAGAGGATACTGTCCACCTTTAACAAGGCTCTTTTTGTCTATGAGTTTCTAAAGTCGGTATAGATCATGCAATTGGTAAGCTGACATTTGTTTGTTCACAGTTGAACATTAGTTCAGAGTCTCTGTTGGTGGTCTGTTATTTGATGCCAGAGAGTCACCAGTTTTATTTCCAAGCAGACATTAAAAGATATTATTGGTTCTGAAGTTCCCTTGTTTTAATGTGGGCTCAACACTTGCTGAGAGAGCATTTAGTTTTTCAAAAGCAATATGGTAGGCAACAGAGAGGCATGTTACATGTGAAAAGGATTTCTTTTTTTTAAAATTAGAAGCTTTAATTTAACCGTCTAGCTTGGCATGCCCTGTGTAATGACTGAGAGACCGAGATGACTGTCTTGTTGTGAGTCCCACCAACAAGGACAGAAGGGAGGTTGCCACCTTGGGAGGAGCACATCTTCTGTTCATGCTCCTCTCCATTCAGGAGGCTTCAGCCCCACAGCACAAATAGCCTCTGTAGCGGTCAAGGGAATGTGGTTTTATAATTTTTTAGATCTGGGTCAATTATATAATCATAGATAACTTAATTTTTTTGATGCAGTGGTATTTACTGTCCACCTCTAATAAAGCAGGTGAATCATAGACTACCATTGGATACATGTCTTTGGAGCAGATTTCCATCCATTTTTACTCCAGTCCTATGGTGGCTACCGGTATTGTTCTTGTCGCCTGCTATTCTTAAGTCTGCAGTTTGCCTGTGACTCACCCCAGGAAACCTGTTGAAAATGCTCGCTCTCCTCTAACTTCCTGCTGAATTCAGATTTAGCACCTTTCGGGTGGGAATCTGTACTTCTTTGCAGGTGACTCTGATGCCGGTGTCCCACAGACTACAGTTTGAGGAAATCAAGACTGACAGTTCTGCAAGGTTTATTACCCTTTAATTTTTCAAAAAATACCTTCAGCAACAGAGAGGCATGTTACATATGAAAAGGTTAAAGTAGAAATTTTCCTAAAATCTATGTGACAGAATTCTGGTAGGATGCTAGGCATGTGTGCAGAATTTCAAATAGACTTTTTTTTTTTTTTTTTTTTTTTGAGATGGAGTCTCACTCTGTCACCCAGGCTAGAGTGTGGTGGTGCAATCTTGGCTCACTGTAACCTCCGCCTCCCGGGTTCAAGCGATTCTCCTGCCTCAGCCTCCCGAGTAGCTAGGATTATAGGTGCCCACCATCACACTCGGCTCATTTTTGTATTTTTAGTAGAGACAGGGTTTCACCATGTTGGCCAGGTAGGTCTGGAACTCCTGACCTCAGGTGATCCGCCCTCCTGAGCCTCCCAAAGTGCTGAGATTACAGGTATGAGCCACCACGTCTGGCCCAAATAGACTTTTGTTTCAGAGATACAGTGATTTGAATTTATCATAACGTTCTTTAATTAAGAAATCCAGGAAAATAGAGATAGGAGATTTTATAACTTTAACCAGTTTGAAAAAATATTTATGTGAAGATGGTTTAATATACAGATTGCAGAACGATGAATTTAACATTCTTGTAAAGCTTCCAGGAAAGCCTCAAGGATAAGTGACAAGTCCATTTTTATCAAACTTAATGGGTTTCTAAATCCTTATCTGCTTATCAAACAAAATTTTAATTAGAACTGTAATTGAGTAACCAGCTGCCTCTTGTGTTCACTCTAGGAACTTGTCTAAAAACATTGTGGAGCTCATGTAAGGTCATTCGTTTTTGAGTTGCTAAATAAACTTTATTGCAGACTTCTAAAAATCCAGGTATTGAGGAAGTCTACAGGAAGATAAAAATTGATAAGAACTTTGCAGTAGTTAGTCCGATACTCTCTCTCTCTAGTGGATTAAGGTAGAAAAATCCTTCTTCAGCACCACAGATGGGAGAATATCCTCCCTCTTAGGTTTCTTCCTGAATCAGCTTATGCCTGCCTAGGCTTGTAGTAGAACAGATAAAGCCTTTGGACCTAGCTACTCTTGGTTTGAATATCTGTTAATCTGTTATCTCTTCATTACTTTGGACATTGTACTTAATGTCTCAAGTTCAATTTACTCATTTTTAAAATGGGAATAATGCCGCCCACAGCAAGGAGAGCCGTAGTTCTGGAACTTGTACTCATTCATTCCTTTATTCAGCACTACTTTATAGGTTGAGTACCTGTTTTATACTAGGCACTGTTCCAGGCATTGAATACAGCAGAAATAACACTGACAAAAGTTCCCATCCTCATGGATCCTAGTGAGCAGAGCCATTTCACACCAGGTGATCGGGGAAAGTTTCACTGAGATGATGACTTGAATGGAGACCTGAGGAAGGTGAGGGAGTCAGATCACCATAAAAAATTACTTTTTAACATTATTATTATTTTTCTTTACTATTTTCTGCTTAATCCTACTAGAAAGTAAGCTCTATGACAGTGGTGGGTGGGGGGTGGTATTTGTTTTGTTAGAGAATTTTAGATGTGCTCTGTTGTATTAGTTTGTTCTTGCACTGCTATAAAGAACTACCTGAGACTGGGTAATTTATAAAGAAAAGAGGTTTAATTGGTTCAGGGTTCCATAGGCTGCACAGGAAGCATGGCTGGGGAGGCCTCAGGAAACTTACAGTCGTGGCAGAAGGTGAAGGGGAAGCAGGCAAGTCCTACATGGCTGGAGCAGGAGGAAGAGAGAGGGGGAGGTGCCATACACTTTCAAACAACCAGATCTCATGAGAACTCACTCACTATCACAAGAACAGCAAGGGGGAAGTCCACTCCCATGATCCAGTCACCTCCCACCAGGTCCCTGCTC